>NC_000022.11:49975365-50275365 GCF_000001405.40 Homo sapiens | reverse complement strand
AGCCGCCTCCATGCCCTAGGTTGGGCCCCTGGGGGATCTGAGGGCCTGTGGCCCCCAGGGCAAGTTCCCAGATCCTATGTCTGTCTGTCCACCACGAGATGGGAGGAGGAGAAAAAGCGGTACGATGCCTTCCTGACCTCACCGGCCTCCCCAAGGGTGCCGGCACTCTGGGTGGACTCACGGCTGCTGGGCCCCACGTCAAAGGTCAAGTGAGACGTAGGTCAAGTCCTACGTCGGGGCCCAGACATCCTGGGGTCCTGGTCTGTCAGACAGGCTGCCCTAGAGCCCCACCCAGTCCGGGGGGACTGGGAGCAGTTCCAAGACCACCCCACCCCTTTTTGTAAATCTTGTTCATTGTAAATCAAATACAGCGTCTTTTTCACTCTGCGGGTTGGCTGAGTGTTCCTCCTGGGGCTGCAGTGCCCCTGTCCACCACCCCTTCCCTGGGCTCTGTGGGTCCTGCTGGGAGGGGAGCTGTGGGGAGGTGGAGGGGGCTGGGAGGGGTGCTGGGGGAGGTGGAAGGGGCTGGGAGGGGTACTGGGGGAGGTGGAGGGGGCTGGGAGGGGTGCTGGGGGGAGGTGGAGGGGGCTGGGAGGGGTGCTGGGGGGAAGTGGAGGGGGCTGGGAGGGGTGCTGGGGGAGGTGGAAGGGGCTGGGAGGGGTACTGGGGGAGGTGGAGGGGGCTGGGAGGGGTGCTGGGGGGAGGTGGAGGGGGCTGGGAGAGGTGCTGAGGGGAGGTGGGGGGGGTGGGAGGTGGGACTGCTTCTGGTGCCATCTGGTGGCTTCTTTCGTGCAACACATTCTTACCAAATGCCCGCTGCACACCACGCATGCACTGTCCTGAGCGCTAGGAACAGCAGCAACCAGGACGGGCAGGGCTCAGAGCCTCCCCTGTGTGCCAAGAATACAGACAGCCCAGGCAGAGGGCATTCGGTGCTCCAGACACAAAGTGAAGGCCCAGCTTCAAATGTGGCTGGATCCAGGCACACATCCTGAGGTTCTGCTGGTCTGGACTGCTAACCCACTCACGAGGATCCATTCTCAGGCAGCCCCAGCCTGTCTCCCCACCTGGGCACGTCATGGCTGGGGTCTCTTGATGGGCAAGGCCTCCATTGATCGAGTCCCCTTTGGACTGGGGCAGCTCTGTAGGGACCAGCCCCACAGGGTCAGTGGGTCTCTCCGTGTGCGGCGACGAGAGAGTGTAGAAATAAAGACAGAAGACAAAGAGATAAGAGAAAAGGCAGCTGGGCCCAGGAGACCACTACTACCAATGCATGGAGACCGGTAGTGGCCCCGAATGTCGGGCTGCGCTGTTATTTATTGGATACAAGGCAGAAGGGGCAGGGTAAAGAATGTGAGTCATCTCCAATGATAGGTAAGGTCACGTGGGTCATGTGTCCACTGGACAGGAGTCCCTTCCCTGCCTGGCAGCCGAGGCAGAGAGAGAGAGGAGACAGAGAGAAAGACAGCTTACGCCATTATTTCTGCATATCAGGGACTATTAGTATTGTCACTAATTTACTACTGCTATCTAGAAGGCAGAGCCAGGTGTACAGGATGGAACATGAAAGTGGACTAGGAGTGTGACCGCTGAAGCACAGCATCACAGGGAGACGTTTAGGCCTCTGGATAACTGCGGGCAAGCCTGACTGATGTCAGGCCCTCCACAAGAGGTGGAGGAGCAGAGTCTTCTCTAAACTCCCCTGGGGAAAGGGAGACCCCCCCCCCTCTTTCCCGGTCTGCTAAGTAGTGGGTGTTGTTCCTTGACACCTTTTGCTACGGCTGGACCACGGCCCGCCTGGTAACGGGCGTCTTCCCAGACGCTGGCGTCACCGCTAGACCAAGGAACCCTCTGGTGGCCCTGTCCGGGCATAACAGAAGGCTCCCACTCTTGTCTTCTGGTCACACCTCACTATGTCCCCTCAGCTCCTATCTCTGTATGGCCTGGTTTTTCCTAGGCTATGATTATTGAGCAAGGATTATTATAATATTGGAATAAAAAGTAATTGCTACAAACTAATGATTAATGATATTCATATATAATCATATCTAAGATCTATATCTGGTATAACTATTCTTGTTTTATATTTTATTATACTGCAACAGCTCGTGTCCTCTCTCTTGCCT
Source organism: Homo sapiens (assembly GCF_000001405.40). Classification (NCBI taxonomy): domain Eukaryota; kingdom Metazoa; phylum Chordata; class Mammalia; order Primates; family Hominidae; genus Homo; species Homo sapiens. The sequence continues at coordinate 50,273,239 of NC_000022.11, read as the reverse complement.
CGGTGCCTGGGTGGCTTGCCGCCCACACAGCTCCATTCAAGCCACGATGAAAAACGGGTGGCCATCTCTCCCCCACAAGAGAAAGGGGTACAAGGCCAACTGACATCCCCTGCTCCAAGGATCCCTGAAATGACATTGGGTTCCCCCCTTACCCAGAGACATGGCTGGTCAGGAGATCAGAGCAAGGGGGTGGACCGAAGGCTTAAGTGCTGAGCGGGAGGTCTCAAGTAGGGAGCTGGGAACCTGGAGGCCTGGCTTCCGTACTAGACCCCTGCAGTCCACCTCTTCCCTGTCCCACTGGGCAGTCAGGAAAGAAGGGAAGGGTCAGTGAGACCCCACACACATGAAACTTGGGGCTGGGGAGAGGCTGCAGGCCCAGCAGTCCAGCATCTGGGTGGGGGCAGGCACCGGGTAGAAGCTGGGCATAGCTGCTGGGGTGCATGCGGTGGGCTGGAGTGGTCAGCTGGCGACAGACGAGGGGTGGCCTGTCCTTCCTGGTGCTTTCCAAGTCCCATTTTCCTCCCAGAGTGGTGGGAGGAGAGGTGGCGGGTAGCTTAACAGCCCAAGGCTACATCCTGCTTGCTTCTTACAGGCAGGACAAGTCCCCTGCTAAATCAGCTCCGCGACCACCATCGCCTGGTCTCCCGGTGAGCAAGGCCAGATTTGCCTTTTAGGAAGTTCACTGACTGCAGGAAGAGGCCAGCTGGGAGGGACCAGCAGGACCAGAGAGGAGCTGTCACAGTGACAGCTCCAGTGAGGAGGGGTGGCCAGGACCAGCGGGGGTGGGGTGGGGGCATGAGCACGGAGAAGGGGTGGCCTGCTGTATTCAGGGGCCACAGCGAATCAGCTGGGTAGGAGAGGCGCCTCTGGCCCAGGGCTTCTCACTCCTGCCCTGCCACCGGCCCTTCCTGGCTCCCCTGCCGCTTCCCCTCTGGGCCTGGGACTGTCCTCCACCGGCGGCTCCCTCCAGGGGGGCTTCCCTTGCCCCCGCCGAGCTCTGAAGGTGCCTCTCCTGGAAGATGGCCTCCAGGCCCTGACGCCACCCGAAACTCCTCAGTGATCACTCCCTTGCAGTGCCACGACCCCACACTGTCCCCAGTAGGCACATGGGCGGGACCTCTAATGCCTGGGCAGGCAGGGGGTTCCCGGGGCAGGTCAGCTCAGTGATGAGAGGGGCCCGTTTCCACCGCCCCCCGCCCCCACCCCCACCCCACACGCCCGCCTGACCTGCTGAGCGGCCGGGGCCTGCAGCGAGGCCGCGAGGATTGCGGGCGGACGCCTGGGGGAAGCCTGACACCTCCCCACCTCCATGTCCCCCACCCTAGGGGCGAGAACGGAGCCGCCCAGTCCACGGGGAGGCGCAGGGGCGGGGCCGGTCGCCATGGGAACCCGACTCCCGCCCCGCCCGGCCGCGGCGCAGACAAAGGCCGCTCCCCTCCCCCGGCGGCCGCGGCCGCGGTTCCCACAGCTCCGGGGCTGCGCTCCGGCCTCCTCCTCCTTTAGCTGAAGCTCCATTAACTCTGCACAAAACCTCGGCCCGCCTCGGCCGGGCCCAGTGAAAGGCGCTCCCGGGCGGGGGCCCTCGGGGAGGCTGCCCGTGTCCTCGCCCCAACCCAGCCCGAGCGAGGAGAGGGGCCATCCCCGGGCCCGCGCCAGGCCCCCAGCCGGATGCCGGCTTCCAATGGGGAAACTGAGGCACGGGGCTTGGTCATGCAAAAGGGGCCGGAGCGGCTGGGACTGAGACCCGTTCCTTCGCCGCGGTCCGCATGGGTCCGGTGGCCAGCACCGTGCTGGCTGTTTTAATTTGGTTGCCGATATATAAAAATCAGATTTGACATTAAAACTCGGATTTTAGTGTTTTAAAAAAGGAGTGTTTTGGGCCACTGGGATCCTGATTTCTCACTTCGCTGGAGGGGGTCGCCCAGCCGCGAAGCCTCCCACCACGGCTCTACCAGGGCGGAGGTCGGTGGCCGGTGTTCCAGGGAGCAATGCTCCGCCGAGCCCCGGTCGCTTTCAAGTGGGAATAAAAGTAGCTGTGCGGCCCCGAGCGCGGCAGAGACGCCGAGTGGGGCGCTGCCCCCGTCACCGCCAAGGCAGCCCCCCGCGCCTGCCCGCCCGCGGGGCTGACTTCAAGGACCCTGCACCCAAAGGCGGCTCCTCGGACCTGGGATAGTCAGGGTGGGCTTCCTAGAAGAGGTGGCCGCTAAGGAGGAGGAAAGGTTCTGGGCAGCAAAAAGGATCCGTTTGGGGCCGCTGCTTGTGGGTAGGAAGGCCCCGGGGTGACGCCGCTGTCCCTGGTCCTGACAGTCCAGCGGTCGCGCCTCTCTCAGAGGGGAGGTCAGGGCGAGCCGGGGCAGGAGGCCTGGAAGGTTCCCGGGGCGCACCGCGGACCAAGGCCTGCAGGTCCTGCGCAAGAAAGCCAGGCCGGCCCTGTCCCAACGCCTTTCGGCTTATTTTCCTATCCAGTGCCGAGTCTTTAGAAGGTGCTATTCATATTTCTGTCTTGAAAAATACTTCCCATGGTTTACCCCTGGCTTCTTCGCTTTTGACGGTTCTCCCTCGTTGGGGAGGGCGCCGCCGGGGTAGGGAAGCCCGGGCCGAGCCCAGACGCGGGCGCAAGTCTGGAGAAGCGCGCGGCCCCCAAGAGGTGAGAGCCGGAGGGAGGTGTCCGCCCTCGGCGCCCCCCCCGGGAAGGGGAGGGCTGGTTTCCGCTCTGCCACCGCCTCCGAGGCGCAGGAAGCAGCGCATTTGTCTCCGGGAACCCCCCCACGCCCCGGCCACCCAGCCCGGGAAATCCGCCCGGGCCTCCCGGCCCCGCCCCGGAGCCCCGCCCCGCCCGCCGCCGCCGCCGCCTCCGCCGCCCTCCGCTCCGCTCGGCTCGGGCTCGGCTCGGGCGCGGGCGCGGGGCGCGGGGCTGGGCCCGGGCGGAGCGGCGGCTGCTCCGGACATGTCGGGCCCTCGCGCCGGCTTCTACCGGCAGGAGCTGAACAAGACCGTGTGGGAGGTGCCGCAGCGGCTGCAGGGGCTGCGCCCGGTGGGCTCCGGCGCCTACGGCTCCGTCTGGTAGGGGCGGGGCAGAAGGGGTGCTGGGTGGGGGCCGGGCCGGGCCGGAGAGCGCGTCCCCTCCTCGCCCGCGCGAGGTTCTCGGCGTGGGGAGGGGCCTCGCCCTGCCTCCGCCCCCGGGCGCCAAGCGGATCTGAGGAATGAATGGGGGGGCGGGGGTGGCGGCGTAAAGAAACTTTCCAAGCAGACGCCGTTACCGGGAGGGAGGGGGGTCCTCCGGCCTCTCCCGATTCGGACTGCTCCCCACCAGGCCTGAGGCCTGGGAGGTCACAGCTGGCGTGAGGGTGGGTCTCACGCGACCGAGCCCCGAGCCACCCTGATGTCCGGGCCCCTAAACGTCTGAGCACCCACCTGAGATTCACTGAGTCGGGTCAGGCAGCCCCCCGGGGTCTAGCGGATGACCCTCCCCCGCCCGGGCTGGGGGCTATTGTCTGAAAAGGGAAGCCCCGCTCCCGGAAGCCAAGATCTCTCCCCCTGGGATGGCCTCAGACTCCCCCTCAGACCACAAACCCCACTTAGGCCCTGGGGCCAGAGGACCTGGCCTGGGGCCCAGGAAGACGACAGAGTCTGGGTGGGGGAGGGGGGTCAACTGGGCCAAGGTCTCTGTTAGACCCGGGTAGCCAGGGCTGGAGGGGCTTAGGGTGAGGTAGTTACCGGGAGTCCTAAGTTTCAGCCTCCATGTTGACTGGGAGGCTGATCATGGGTACAGGCTTTGAGAGGTGCAGCTGAGTCCTCACCATGGCCAATGCCGCTTAGCTGCTGCCCACTGGGGGGTCCTGGTGGGGCGCAAAGGCAGAGGCAGCCAGGGCAGAGCTCTGCCCCAGGCACTTGCAGGTTGGAAGTGGGACCTCTAGGCCCACCAGATTTGGAGCTCAGGAGCCGGCATCAGGGGCCGGGGGTCCCAGGGCAGGCTGTCTTCTGGTGTGGTCCCTAGCCTTCCATCAGAAGCTGTAGGTGGGTCATTCTAGCCATCATGCCAGCACAGATCTGTCTTCCTCTTTGAGACCTGAAGGGCAGGAAGAGGGTCTGGGACGGTGTGGGAGTGGCCATAGGGGACTAGGGTGGGTCATGGCTGGACTCGCCGTCTGGGAGTTGCTGAGAGGTGTCCGGTTCTCTGAGTGAGGCCTGGTCTCCCCCCTTGCACCCCTGGCCCATTTTCTTAGTTCCACTGCCAAGGCTGCGGGCCAGGTGCCAATTCCCTGTCACCTGACCGCACAGATGCAATTGGCCAAAAGAACTTGCTGCCCCACGTGCAGGGCCACTCCCCTCACCACCTCAGGAGCACCTTTCCCTGGTCATAGGCTGGGAGCATGGCTGCCCCAGGCACCTCGACCTGCGCCCATGAGCATCCCAGACCCAGCAGGAGCCGCTCCTGCTCCCCTTGTGTGGGCATGGGGGGTGGCCTCAGCCTCCACTTGCTCTGAGACAGGATCCCAAGAGACAGAAGTGGGAGGGAGAGAAGAAGCAAGTATCAGCCAGAGGGAACAGGCTGTGCAAAGGCCTTTCCTTTAGCAGGGCTGAGGGCAGTGGGACATGGGAGGGTGGGATGAGGGTCACCTGCAAAGGGAGGGTGGGCTCAGGAAGCTGGTGCAGGGTAGAGGGTCTGGACCTCTGGGAAGTGGGGCTGGGCGAAGGGCTGTTCTGTGGGTCCAGCTGACGCCCTCAGCTGTACATCACCTTCTGTCCCGGTTTTGTTCCAAATAATGATGCAATAAACACCTCTGACCAACTTTCCCTCCGTATTTTGAACATTCGGAGGCACCAGGGGTCCAGGGGCTTTGAGGTGGCTCTAGAATCCCCCTCTGTGAGCCTCCTGGGCCCATGGGGTCTATGGGGCAGAGGGAGGCCCGTCTGCTGCAGGTGAATGCCAGTGACTGTTTTCCTGCTGTGTTTTTCCACGCTGGATGGGGCACCTCTCCCCCAGCCTTGCTTTGAATGGGGGCCCCTGGTTGAGCGTGGGAATCAGTGGGGCCAGGGGACAGAGAAGGTCCAGGACCTTGTGGGGTGAACACACGCATGGTGGTCCAGCCCCAGGGGCTCCTTCCCAGCAAGCGCGGAGTGGGTAGGCCCGAGGGTGGGAGGCCGAGCTGGGGCGGCGGGGCCGGGGCAGAAAAGCCCCACGGCCCCATCCCCACGGAGAAGCGGCGAGAGGGACGCCGCCCGGGTCCACGCGCGTGCGGCCGCCCTCGGACCCCTCCCGGCGCCGCCTCACTCGCCCGCCTTCCAGTTCGGCCTACGACGCCCGGCTGCGCCAGAAGGTGGCGGTGAAGAAGCTGTCGCGCCCCTTCCAGTCGCTGATCCACGCGCGCAGAACGTACCGGGAGCTGCGGCTGCTCAAGCACCTGAAGCACGAGAACGTGAGCCGGGGGAGGGCCGTGGGGGGAGGGCGCGTGCGGGGGCGGGGCCGCGGCGCAGCCAATAGGCGGGCGAGCCCTGGCGATGGGGGCGGGGACACAGGGGGCGCGGCCTGGCACTGGGGGCGTGGCCCGGGGGGAGCTGAACGACAGCCGGGGGTTCGTCGCCCGGCCCTGACGCCCCCCGCCACCTAGGTCATCGGGCTTCTGGACGTCTTCACGCCGGCCACGTCCATCGAGGACTTCAGCGAAGTGTGAGCGGCGGGGCGGGCGAGGCAGCGGGGAGCGCGTTCGCGGTGGGGCGGTGGGGCCCTGTCCTGACCCCCTGACCCCGCCCCAGGTACTTGGTGACCACCCTGATGGGCGCCGACCTGAACAACATCGTCAAGTGCCAGGCGCTGAGCGACGAGCACGTTCAATTCCTGGTTTACCAGCTGCTGCGCGGGCTGAAGGTGGGGCGCCCTGGGCTTCGCGGGTCCTCTCGCAGGGGGGCGGGCGGGCCGGGCCCGGCGCTCACCACAATCCCCCTCCCGCAGTACATCCACTCGGCCGGGATCATCCACCGGGTAGGTGCGACCGCAGGGTGAGGGTCGGGTCCAGCAGGGCTCCGTCCCAGCCTCCTGTGCTCACGCTCCGCGTGACCTGCAGGACCTGAAGCCCAGCAACGTGGCTGTGAACGAGGACTGTGAGCTCAGGGTGAGGCCCGTGGGCAGGGGTGGGCAGGGCGGCGGCGGAGCCCGTGCGGAGCTTGAGAACACCACGTGGTCGCCCCAGATCCTGGATTTTGGGCTGGCGCGCCAGGCGGACGAGGAGATGACCGGCTATGTGGCCACGCGCTGGTACCGGGCACCTGAGATCATGCTCAACTGGATGCATTACAACCAAACAGGTGCAGGGGGAAGGCCTTGGGGGGACGAAGGCCAAGGGCCTCGTCTGGCCCTCGACTGGCTCTGCATGCCAGGTCTTAGGGGGCAGGCAAGGTCCCCAAGAATGTGGGACCCACATTCAAAAGTAGCCCTTCAGAGGCCGCTAGAGCATGATGGGTGCTGGCCTCCTCTGGCTGTGCAGCTATGGACCTCCCCCTGCCTAGGGGGGTTGGGTATGGCAGAGGAGGGGGTCTGCCCATCTTGGGGTCTGGATGTGACTGTGGGTCTCCTGGAGGAGGGACGTGGGGTGGGCACACTGATGGAGGTCCCCTCGCCCTCGCACAGTGGATATCTGGTCCGTGGGCTGCATCATGGCTGAGCTGCTCCAGGGCAAGGCCCTCTTCCCGGGAAGCGACTGTATCCTTGGCCCAGGTTGGGGAGCAGGGTCAAACAGGGCCCCTCCTGTAGGGTAGGGACCAGCGCTGGCCCCTTCTGGCGGGTCTTGCCTCCTCTGCCCCCCATGCTATGCTACTTTGGGCTGGCCATCCTCACCTATAGGAGAGCGGGCTCTGGGCAGCGCCCCAAAGTTTTGGGTCTGGGGGCCCAGGAGGGGTCTGTGGCTGGCCCGTGGGTGTTTCCTGAGTGACACAGACATTGACCAGCTGAAGCGCATCATGGAAGTGGTGGGCACACCCAGCCCTGAGGTTCTGGCAAAAATCTCCTCAGAACACGTGAGTTGGTGCCCGCCAGCCAGCAGCTCCCTCTCCTGGCTGAGCCCCCAGGCTCTCTGGGGGAGAGGGTGGTGTGGAAATGCGGGGACCATATGGGGAACATGGGATGTGGTGGGATAGAGCCTAGGGCAGGTGCCCAATCCCTGCAGGGGAAACAGGAGAAGGGGGAAGACATTCCTGACACCAGGGACAGTGAGTGCAAAGCCATGACCCCAGCAAGCAGTGCCTGGCCAGGGCAGTGGGGGTGGGCTGGGGGCCCAGCAAGCAGTGCCTGGCCAGGGCAGTGGGGGTGGGCTGGGGGACCCCAGCAAGCAGTGCCTGGCCAGGGCAGTGGGGGTGGGCTGGGTGGAGGGAGTGTACTTGGACCCAGCTCCTGCAGGCATTAGGGGCCAACTGAGGAGCTAGAACCACCAGATCCTATATGGAGGGGGTCACTGGTCTGCCTGTGCCCTTGTCCTGGCCTGTTGGAGTGAATGAGTCTGGGGGCTTGCCAAGAGAAGCCCCAGTTTGGGGCCAGGGAGGCAGAGAGTGAGCAGCCTCCCCAGGTGTTCTTGTGTGCCCCCAGGCCCGGACATATATCCAGTCCCTGCCCCCCATGCCCCAGAAGGACCTGAGCAGCATCTTCCGTGGAGCCAACCCCCTGGGTGAGGACTGCCCTGGGCTAGACTGGGCTCCATATCTGGCCCTGGATGTACAGCTGACCCCCCTCCCCACCACTGGCTTCCCTGCAGCCATAGACCTCCTTGGAAGGATGCTGGTGCTGGACAGTGACCAGAGGGTCAGTGCAGCTGAGGCACTGGCCCACGCCTACTTCAGCCAGTACCACGACCCCGAGGATGAGCCAGAGGCCGAGCCATATGATGAGAGCGTTGAGGCCAAGGAGCGCACGCTGGAGGAGTGGAAGGGTGAGCATGGCAGTGGCTGGGGGTGGGTCCAGGGGCCTGCGGGCTCCATTTCCCCAGAGGCAGGAAATGCCCCAGTTCCTCTCCAGACTGGTCAGGTGTGGAAGGGCGTTCAGGTGTCCAGCACAGGCTGGGAGCGGGGCGGAGGAGTGACACAGGGCAGGTTCTGGCTCCCAGACTGTGCTGAGGCTGCTGTCACAGGGTGGTGGGCCTGGGCTGGGTGGCAGGTGCCAGACAAGCAGGTGAGGGGCCGGGCTGTGGGAGGCACAAGCTCACCCTTTCCCTTCACCTCCTAGAGCTCACTTACCAGGAAGTCCTCAGCTTCAAGCCCCCAGAGCCACCGAAGCCACCTGGCAGCCTGGAGATTGAGCAGTGAGGTGCTGCCCAGCAGCCCCTGAGAGCCTGTGGAGGGGCTTGGGCCTGCACCCTTCCACAGCTGGCCTGGTTTCCTCGAGAGGCACCTCCCACACTCCTATGGTCACAGACTTCTGGCCTAGGACCCCTCGCCTTCAGGAGAATCTACACGCATGTATGCATGCACAAACATGTGTGTACATGTGCTTGCCATGTGTAGGAGTCTGGGCACAAGTGTCCCTGGGCCTACCTTGGTCCTCCTGTCCTCTTCTGGCTACTGCACTCTCCACTGGGACCTGACTGTGGGGTCCTAGATGCCAAAGGGGTTCCCCTGCGGAGTTCCCCTGTCTGTCCCAGGCCGACCCAAGGGAGTGTCAGCCTTGGGCTCTCTTCTGTCCCAGGGCTTTCTGGAGGACGCGCTGGGGCCGGGACCCCGGGAGACTCAAAGGGAGAGGTCTCAGTGGTTAGAGCTGCTCAGCCTGGAGGTAGGGGGCTGTCTTGGTCACTGCTGAGACCCACAGGTCTAAGAGGAGAGGCAGAGCCAGTGTGCCACCAGGCTGGGCAGGGACAACCACCAGGTGTCAAATGAGAAAAGCTGCCTGGAGTCTTGTGTTCACCCGTGGGTGTGTGTGGGCACGTGTGGATGAGCGTGCACTCCCCGTGTTCATATGTCAGGGCACATGTGATGTGGTGCGTGTGAATCTGTGGGCGCCCAAGGCCAGCAGCCATATCTGGCAAGAAGCTGGAGCCGGGGTGGGTGTGCTGTTGCCTTCCCTCTCCTCGGTTCCTGATGCCTTGAGGGGTGTTTCAGACTGGCGGCTCCAGTGGGCCAAAGGGCAACCACATGAGCATGGGCAGGGGCTTTCTCCTTGGATGTGGGACCCACAGCAGCTTCCTGAGGCTGGGGGTGGGTGGGTGGGTGGTTTGGCCTTGAGGACGCTAGGGCAGGCAGCACACCTGGATGTGGACTTGGACTCGGACACTTCTGCCCTGCACCCTGGCCCGCTCTCTACCTCTGCCCACCGTTGTGGCCCTGCAGCCGGAGATCTGAGGTGCTCTGGTCTGTGGGTCAGTCCTCTTTCCTTGTCCCAGGATGGAGCTGATCCAGTAACCTCGGAGACGGGACCCTGCCCAGAGCTGAGTTGGGGGTGTGGCTCTGCCCTGGAAAGGGGGTGACCTCTTGCCTCGAGGGGCCCAGGGAAGCCTGGGTGTCAAGTGCCTGCACCAGGGGTGCACAATAAAGGGGGTTCTCTCTCACTTGGCTTGTATCCAAAGGCTACTCCAGGCCCGGGTGCCCCCACCATCCCTGCTGCTGGGCGTGGGGGGAGTGTCTGGGTCATCCTGCATCACTCACCTCCAGCTGGCCAGATCCCTCAGGCCCCCAGTCAGACCAGCGGCCATCTTCTGGCACCCTCCCTGCTCCCTGGAGGGTCTGAGAGCCCAGGGGGACCAGGGGAAGACATGGCTGATGGGCAGACTTTGAGGGCACAGGGTGTGACAGCCACCCAGATGGTGACCCCAGCTGCCCTGTGGGGATGTACTGGGCAGGCTTGGCTTTGGGCCAAGATCCAGACACCACCCCCGCCTACCCCTCAGTGTTCAGGGAAGCTGGCTGGGGAGAAGTTGGGTGTCTCAAGGAGCAAGGGTCTGCCCATCCCTGGGTGGGGGCTGGGCAGGGTAGGGAAAATAGCTTTCCTTTCCCTCCTGGTGAAGGAAAAAGAGGCCACTTTAACCCAGGGAATGTGCACGCTGGTCCCGTTCCCACTACGCGCTGCAGCTTATGTGTGGGGGAGGGTCCAGGCCATTTGGGGTCAGGCAGTGTCTCTAAGGACCAGGGACAGTCTGTGCCCTTGCTTGGGTCTTGGGTAGGGGTGGAAACCGTCTGGGAGTTGGGGGCCTCCTGGGGCCTGGTCAGTGTAGTGGTCAATCCCGGGGGAAGTCCAGTGTTGGCGGTTGGGGGTGGGAGGAGAATGGTGACACAGCCCCACCTCAGAAGCCTGGTCCGTGCAGGGCCTGCTGGACCCCTGAGCCCCACCACGGGGAGTAAGGGGGACAGCGTGGAAGCTGGGCTTCCTGGAAGAGGTGGATGGAGTGCCACAGGCAGCCCAGGGCACAAAGGGTATGGGCCACAGGCAGCTGTGGTTTGGGTGGCCCTGGGCTGCCCCGCTCACTGGTCACGAGCTGGTGAATGCCGTGGAGCACGGCCCAAGCCCAGGTGTAAAGCTACTACCACCCTTGAGCGGCTGAGCTGCTGATTCATGGCAGGAGGGCGGGGCAGAAGGCCCTAGGGATCCTGTTACCCACCAGCCCAGTGGGCTCCTGGGGTGCCCCAACATCCCTTCTGAGATCCAGGTTCCTGGGCTGGTGAAGGGGTGTCAGGGTGGGGCTTTGCCCTCAGGAGCATCTGGTCCAGGATGGGGCCAGACCTATGGGAGGACAATGCCCACACAGAGGGGTCAGGCGGAGGGCCCCAGCAGGTCCCCATCCCTGCTGGAGAGAGTGCAGCCACTCTCAGCCTGGGTTTTGCAGGACAGGACAGGCAGGGGTGGGATGGGCAGAGACACCAGTACTTGCAATGCTTGGAGCAGGCACCCCACAGATGGGGGGAGCAGGGGGAGGAGCTGGGGGTCCAAAAGGGCCCACGGGGACCTATGGGACTGAGAGGCCCGGGGTCAGTGGCCACAGGAGTGGGGTTGGGGATGCAGCCTGAGGAGTTTGGGGGACAGACCCCTCCGTGTAGAAAGAGGGATACAGGCAGGACAGGTGCAGATGGACCCCTTGTTGGGGGACGGATGGATCAGGCTCAGTGGTAGGGCATCCTTGGGGGTGGCCTGCGAAGTTGACCCCGGGAACACAGGGCTCAGCCCGACTTGCGGCTGCCATAGAAGTCAGCGCTCAGGCTGTCAAGGATGGGCCCTGCGCCCTGGAGCCGTGGGGAGTTAGGACTGGAGCGGGCGGGGGGGGGGGGGGGGGGCTCCTGCTGAGACCCCCCCAGGGCGGGGAAGTTCAGCCAAAGGGGAGAGGCTGGCAGAGGTATCTCCGCGCCGCGTCCGGCCCTTTATGGGGACGAAGCTGCGGGGCGGCGCTCCCCTCCCCCTGCGCTTCCCCCCAGGCTCCGGCCCTCCCCAGGCTCCGGCCCTCCCCCGGCGGCGGCCGCCTCGGGTTTCCGGAGGGGCCGGAGGGCGGGCGAGGGCGTCACGTGCGCGCCGCCCGCGGGCCGGTTGGTCCCCGGGCGGGGGAGGGGCCGTGCGCAGCCTGGGTCGGGGTCGGGCCGGGGTCGGCACCTGGGACATCCCTGAGGGAAGGGCCGGGAGCGGGAGCGCCCCAGCGGCCGGCGGGCGGGCGGGCGAGCGGACGAGCGGCGCGGAGCCGGCCCGAGGCGCGCGCCGAGGGAGCCCCGTCCCCGGTCGTGGGGGCACCGCCCGCAGGCTCTGCGGGGTGGGCAGCTCCCGGGCCTGCCATGAGCTCTCCGCCGCCCGCCCGCAGTGGCTTTTACCGCCAGGAGGTGACCAAGACGGCCTGGGAGGTGCGCGCCGTGTACCGGGACCTGCAGCCCGTGGGCTCGGGCGCCTACGGCGCGGTGTGGTGAGCGCGGGCCGGGCGGGGCGGCCGGCGGGGCGGGCGGGGCCTGCGCGGGGTGCCCGGCCTTCCCGCTAAGCGGTCCGCCCCGCAGCTCGGCCGTGGACGGCCGCACCGGCGCTAAGGTGGCCATCAAGAAGCTGTATCGGCCTTTCCAGTCCGAGCTGTTCGCCAAGCGCGCCTACCGCGAGCTGCGCCTGCTCAAGCACATGCGCCACGAGAACGTGAGTCGCGCGGCCCCGCTCCGGGAAGGCGCCGCGGCCTCGGCTTGGTTCAGCTGGGCTGGGTTCCCCCACCCGGCAACCCCTCCTCCAGGCAGCCTGCTGTGGGGCCGGGCGGGGGTCGGGCCGTGGGTCCCCAGGGGAGAAGGAGAGCAAGGCCTGTCTCTCCTTGGGAGACGACTCCCCCAAGGGCCGTTCCCCATCCTCCGCCAGCCCCGGGAAGGACTCAGCCCCTTGACTCGGCGCCTCAGCCAGGCCCTGGTCAGGGAACACGACTTGGCCAGGCCCAGGGGATCCTCCAGGTCTCACGCCAAGCCTTGCCCCCAGCCAGGAAGCCCGCGGTGAGAGCATGCTCCCGGCGGGAGGATTTTCCTGGAAGGGGCACCTTCCCTCTTCCCCATCCCCTTTCCAGCCCCTCTGTGGAGCCCACTCTGCTGCTGTCCATCTCCCGAGTCTTCCGACCCGGTGGTGGAGGGGGAGGAGGGGGGCGCCAGAACGCAGGGAGTGTGTTGAACCCTCAGGAGCCCCTGGGGGTGAAGGGTTTAGGGAGCTGCTGTTTGAGGAGCACTGGGCGTGGTGGCCGCCTCACAGACACCCTCCTGTGCGTTGTGGGGGCCCATCCTTTCCAGTCCTTCCAGTGAGATGCCACGTACAGCTGCCCTGGGCCTCTCCCATGGCGGTGGCTGGCTGCTAAGAACCCGATCTCTCTGCCAGGGGTGCTCTGGTTTCTGGATACAGTCCCACTTGTCCACTGCCCCCCACGTCACTCCTGCCCTCCCCCTGGTCTGGGCCCAGCCTGAGGGCTGGTGGTCTGGGCACCCGGACCCTACCTACAGGGTGAGATGCTCTGGACCCTCCTGGGTCATCTGAGCCACCGGTGCCTTGGGAGAACGAGTCCCTGCGTCCACCAGCAAAGTGCCCCGTCCACCAGCAAAGTGCCCCGTCCCCCGGTTCCTGGCCACCGCTACTCCCTCAGCCCCTTGGATGGGTCTTTTTCTCTGAGGCTTCCCATGCCCACCCTGACCCCCAGCTCACTACCCTGGGCCCTGTGAAATCCATTTGCAGTGGACACCAGCCCTGCCCGCACCTCGACACCCCGTCACACCCAGCCCTGCCCCCACTTCGCCGGCACCGCACCCCCCCACCACCCGCCCATCACACCAAGGCCTTGCCCCAGGACTGCAGCCTTCCCCACGGCCCCCTGCTCCCACCCACCCACTCACCCACCCGTGCCTTGCCCCATCCAGCCAAGCGCTCTGGGGCTTTTTTTCTTTTTTTTTCTTTTGAGACCGAGTTTCGCTCTTGTTGCCCAGGCTGGAGTGCAATGGCACGATCTCAGCTCACTGCAACCTTCGCGTCCTGGGTTCAGGCGATTCTCCTGCTTCAGCCTCCTCAGTAGCTGGGATTACAGGCGCGCGCCACCACGCCTGGCTAATTTTTTGTATTTTTAGTTGAGATGAGGTTTCACTATGTTGGGCAGACTGGTCTCGAACCCCTGACCTCAAGTGATCTGCTCGCCTCGGCTTCCCAAAGTGCTGGGGTTACAGGCGTGAGCCACCGCGCCGGGCTCCACCGGGGCTTTTCTTTAGCCACCGCCCCGCTGTGCTGGGATCTCCGCTGTGCCTGTGGGCCCACCCCCTGGGCTCCTGGCCTGCAGCTGAGGCTCTTTCCCTGGAACCCCATCTTCCTGGGAGACTGAAGCTCTGTGAGGCCACGTGCCTTGCTCAGCGGGGGAGGAGGCTCTGCCACAGGCCTCAGTCCTGCCAGGCCGCCTCCCTCTCCAGGCCAGCCCCCATACCACAGAGGCCAGGCCAAGTCCTGTGGCCCCTAGCCCACAGGACCCTGCTCTCCGTCTTCTGCTAAAGCACTCTCCCGGGCACCCTCCAGCTCTCATGTCCACAGTCCCCGCTGCCCCCTGGACACCCCCTCTGTTCCCTCTCCTCCTCCCTCCACATTCTTGCCCATGGCTCTGGCCCACGTGGCTCCGGCGGAGCTGTCCTTCCAGCTTGTGTCCATTCTTACCTCACTCTGGCCGGTTCCTACACCACGGCCAGGAGGACGCATTTAGCCTCACGTCCCCATTTAAATCGTCCCCGTCTCTTGGGATCAAAGCCAAACTTCCACCTGGTGTGTGCTGCCCTGCCGGCTCCCTCTGGCCTCTCCTCAGCCCCTCCCTGGCCTGGGCCTCCGCCACCTGGCCTCCCTCCCTGTATTCTTCAAACTATCCAAGTGTGCTCCCTCCTGCCTCGGCCACTCTGTGTGTGCCCTCTGCCAGGTGTCCCGCAGCCCACATGTCTACCTGCCCCTCCACCCTTGGCTGTGCAAAACTCCAGGCCTCCCTGGGACCGTCACCCCAAAATGCTGAGGCGGCAGTTGTCACATGACCTGTCTACTGTCTATCTCCCCAACCAGGGGTGCTGAGGGGACCAGGTCTGGTGGGTCACGGTGCTGTCCGCCTGGGCCTCACCAGCAGAGGCCTGGCCTCTTTCCATAGCGCTGTCCCCACCCTGGGCCTGGATCTGTTTGGTTGGGGTGAAGAGGGGTGAAAGGGTCAGGCGGCAGGAGCCCTTTGGATGGTTCGGAGCCATCCCAGACTCCGGGTTGCCCCTCCCCCAGAAGATCCCGGTTGTCACCGTCCAAAAATAACCTTTCTGTGGGTATGTGTGCCAGGGCTGGGCCACACTGCCAGTGGGTATGTGTGCCAGGGCTGGGCCACACTGCCAGTGGGCAGAGCCAGGCCCTTTGGACAGTGGGGCATGACAATGACAGCTGCAGAGGGGGTTTCCTGCCCAGAGGGTTGTGCCACTCTTGGGGGGTGCCCCAGCCCGTGTCCTCTGCTGCATTCTCAACCCTATGTGGCCCCCCCAGGTGATCGGGCTGCTGGACGTATTCACTCCTGATGAGACCCTGGATGACTTCACGGACTTGTGAGTGCCGACCTGGGCTGGCCGCTGGGCACGAGGGGTGTTGGGCAGCTCTGGGCACTGGCTTCAGGTTCTAGGTTGGCAATGGGGTTCTCTTCCTGCAGCCTGAGTGGGGGATGCACACCGCCCACCCCCTCCCCATACCACTGTCCACCCCACGCCCTCCCCCACATGGTCCTGGGACCCACGGGCACTGGCACAGCTGGGCAGAGCTGGGGCTGCTGCCTCTCTCCACGCCTGGCACCTGGGCCCTCTCCAGCACCGGAGGTGTGAACCTTGGACCTGACCATTTGTTAACAGGAAGGTCCCGTGCTCGGGACCCTGGCACCAAGTGTGTGGCCGGTAACTGGAGCTGCTGACCTTTTCCAGCGGGTGGGGGAGAAGCGGTAGGGAGGACCCACCCTGCCCCTGCCCTGCAGCCGACCACCCTGGGACTCACACCCTGTCGGCCAAGAGTGAAGGGCCAGGCCGAGGAAGGCCTGGAGAGGGTAGCAGGCGCCTCCCGCCTGACTTGCAGAGGTCAAGTCAGTGGCCTCTGGGAAGGTGCTAAATACCATTCTCCTGTGTCTGTCTCCACCGGCCCAGCCGACCCCTCTGACCCAGATGCCTTGCCGCGCCCCCATCGCCCCCAGGCACCTCCCTCATTTCTGGCACAAAGTTGTGAAGTTGAAACCTGACTGCCTCCCTCCCCTGCCTGTGAAGACTCGAGTCCTGCTGCCTCTACCATGGAGCCTCAGCCCCTAGCCTGGCACGCAGGGCGCTTCAGCGGAGGGTTCAAAAACCCCAAGGCAGCCTCCTCCCTGCCTGACAGTCCTCAGGGTGGGAGGGGGGTGTGAGCGCTGCTGGCAGTAACAGTTGCGGGAGGATGGAGCCTGGCACTGCAAGGTGGGGCTGCGAGGACACCGAGGCCAGTGTGGATGTGTGCTGCAGGGGTGACCTTCCTGGGGGTGCCTGTTGGATCCGGGACGGGTCTGAGCCTGGGCCTGCTGGGTGGGTCTCTGGGATGCAGAGGCTGGCTCTGTCCGCTGACAGCGCTCCGGCCCCTCCCACAGTTACCTGGTGATGCCGTTCATGGGCACCGACCTGGGCAAGCTCATGAAACATGAGAAGCTAGGCGAGGACCGGATCCAGTTCCTCGTGTACCAGATGCTGAAGGGGCTGAGGGTACGGGCCCCGGGGGAGGCTGCAGGGAGGCAGGCAGGGCCTCGGGGCTGGGCAGAGGAGGGCCCTGTGGCTCTGAGAGGGTGCGCTGAAGCCTGCCAAATCCTCTGCCCCCCGCAGTATATCCACGCTGCCGGCATCATCCACAGAGTGAGTCCCGGTGGAGAAGCCGCTCATCAGCCCTCCCCCAGTGCAATCCCCCCGCCTCCACGTCCCACCTGTGAGGATGTGATGGGGTCTGGGTGCTGAGCCACGCCCTATGCACAGCCCCTGGTGGGAACCTGCCTGGGTGCCCAGGTACCTTGGTCTGCCCTTGAAGGGCTGCAGAGAGCAAGGGGGCCAGGTCCGGTGGCCCCATCTTTAGGTGCCACCCAGGCTCTTGGCTGTGCCCATGCTTGGGAGGGTGGGGCACAGTGGCCACCTTTCCTCTGCCCCCAGGACCTGAAGCCCGGCAACCTGGCTGTGAACGAAGACTGTGAGCTGAAGGTGTGTGCTGCCTGGCAGGGGGCCCTGAGGTGGGGCAGGGGCCCCCTCTGGATCTGCCCATCTATCCACCTGTCAGGCCTGGGCAGGGGGCCAAGGTCCCAGGCTCTGGGCAGTGGCTGAGGAGCTGGTGGGTGGGTGAGCCCAAGAGGCAGTGGTACACAACATGCCGTACCCAGGGCACCTGCTCCGTCCCGAGGGCTGCTGGGCTTGGTGCACTGGCCAGAGGGAGGAGCTCGGGGCAGTTTGGGGTCCGAGGGCGTGGCCTCAAGTCCTTGAAGGTTGTCAGGAGGCCCCAGCTTGGGAGCTTCAAGTCCAACCCCCCGGGGTCTCCTGGACCGTGGGTGGCCTGTCCGCTCCTTGGGAGTCCCCTAGAACCCACCTCCCCAATTCTTCCCACAGATCCTGGACTTCGGCCTGGCCAGGCAGGCAGACAGTGAGATGACTGGGTACGTGGTGACCCGGTGGTACCGGGCTCCCGAGGTCATCTTGAATTGGATGCGCTACACGCAGACGGGTGAGAAGCTGCCCAGAGATCTGGGCCTCTCAGGCTGCACCATCTGCTTCTCCACTTCTTCACGGACAGCCCTGTGGTGGCTGCTCCCAGGGAGGCTGTTGAGCTGGGGTGGGAGCCGGGCAGGTGGGCTGTGTTGGTGTCTCCTCCCTCCCCGTCTCATCCTGTCCCCCTGCCCACGGAGCTGACCAGGGCTTCTATCTCAGTGGACATCTGGTCTGTGGGCTGCATCATGGCGGAGATGATCACAGGCAAGACGCTGTTCAAGGGCAGCGACCGTATCCTCCAGCCGCAGGGCGGCACCAGGGGCGGGTGGGGATGGCTCCTGCCCAGGTGGGGGCAGTGGGGGCCCTGATCTCTGGCCCCCGAGCTGTGTTCCTGACCTCGGTGCAGACCTGGACCAGCTGAAGGAGATCATGAAGGTGACGGGGACGCCTCCGGCTGAGTTTGTGCAGCGGCTGCAGAGCGATGAGGTAAGGGGTGAGTGGGGAGCTGGGTGGGGGTGGGGGCGGACCTGGGCCTTGGTGTTGGCCCCTCACCCTTTCTTCCCACACAGGCCAAGAACTACATGAAGGGCCTCCCCGAATTGGAGAAGAAGGATTTTGCCTCTATCCTGACCAATGCAAGCCCTCTGGGTACGGCTGGCTAGTGTGGGGGCCACCGGGTGCTGGAGTGTGGGGCCTCCCGTGGTCTGGCCTGATGCACCTTCCCCCGCAGCTGTGAACCTCCTGGAGAAGATGCTGGTGCTGGACGCGGAGCAGCGGGTGACGGCAGGCGAGGCGCTGGCCCATCCCTACTTCGAGTCCCTGCACGACACGGAAGATGAGCCCCAGGTCCAGAAGTATGATGACTCCTTTGACGACGTTGACCGCACACTGGATGAATGGAAGCGTGAGTGGGGGGCTCCTGGCACGGCCTGTGTGGACCCAAGTGGGGGGCTCTGGGCAGGGCCTGTGTGGACCTGTGAGTTGGGGGCTCCGGGTAGGGCCTGTGTGGACCCGTGAGTTGGGGGCTCCGGGTAGGGCCTGTGTGGACCCTGTGGGCCCTGTGCAGGTGGCCAGGCTCAGAGTCCTAGATCCCCATCCCTGGGATGCAGGTCAGGTGAGGAGGATGGGAGGTCAGGGCAGCATGGGGCCGTGTGGCCTGGTGGAGATGACCTCTGGCTGGAGCTGGAAGTTGAAGGGAAGGGTGTTCCTGGCAGGCTCAGCACAGAGGCTGGCACAGAAGGAGCCGGGAGTGGTGAAAGGCAGCTGTGAGTCAGGGAACCAGGGCCCACTTAGCCCCTCCTGGCCCCCAGACCTGCTGCCCTTCCGCCATGTCCAGGCCAGAGACCTGGGCCACCCTGACACCCTCACCACGTCCGCTTGTCCCTAAGGCCTCTCTGCTCACACCTCCTGAATCTGTCCTTGCCTCTCCTTGCCCCATTTTTGTTTTTTGAGACGGAGTCTCACTCTGATGCCCAGGCTGGAGGGCAGTGGCACGATCTTGACTCACTGCAAGCTCCGTCTCCCGGGTACACACCGTTCTCCTGCCTCAGCCTCCCGAGTAGCCGGGACTACAGGCGCCCGCCACCAGGCCTGGCTAATTTTTTGTATTTTTAGTAGAGACGGGGTTTCACCGTGTTAGCCAGGATGGTCTCGATCTCCTGACCTCGTGATCCGCCCGCCTCGGCCTCCCAAAGTGCTGGGATTACAGGCGTGAGCCACCGCGCCCAGCCCTCTCCTTGCCCCACTTTAGGATCCCTCCCCCCTGGACAACTGTATACCCAAGACAGTCCCCAGGGCCTCGCCTGTCTCCCCCAGCCCCCGCTAAGCAGTCCAGACTCCAACCCCAACTGCTGGGGTCCATCATCCCCTATACCAGGGGCTATCCCCTCAACTTGGAGGGCTGGCCAAAGCCTGTGCAGCCTCAGGCTGGACTCAGAGAAGCCTCCCCAGCTCCCGCAGCTATGCTGCGGCCTGAGGCTGTGCTGGACCTGGCTTCATTTCTGCTCCAGGATGGCAGGCTGTGTCTTCTTCATGGCTGCATGACCAGCCTGGGGTGGGTGTGCCCGGGGAAAGTAGGTGTACACTGGGAGCCGTGCCATGTTTCAGGCCCTGTCCTGGCTCTGCCTCGGGTGCGGGACCTTGGTCCTCCACACTGGCTGGGTGGGGCTGGATGGGTTGAGATTCACATGTGCTCCTTACGACCACGGGTCCCTGGGTGCCCGCAGCAGGGCCTCCACCCTTCGCTGTGTGCATATTCGTGTGCTTATGAGTTTGGCTTTGTTTGATTAAAGGTTTCTGCTGCTAGAAAGATAACTTGAAAGCCATGGGCCATAGGATCCTCTCTGTAGTCCCCACCCACACAACTGTGGCTGAGGCCTCAGCTCTTAGGACAGACCGTGGTGGACATGTGGCCAAGCCCTGGCCACCTCCCCTTTCCCTGGAAAATCCAGATCTAGAGCAATGGCCTCTTCACACAAACCTTCTCTCAGTGGTTCAGACCACATTAGGATTAGAGAAGGGCCCCACGAGGCACCGCCAGGCGTGTCTGTGAGCGACTCCCAGGATGGAAGGCAAAGGCTGACCCCCCTCTCTGTTGTGCCCGCCCCCCCACCCCCGCCAGGTGTTACTTACAAAGAGGTGCTCAGCTTCAAGCCTCCCCGGCAGCTGGGGGCCAGGGTCTCCAAGGAGACGCCTCTGTGAAGATCTCTGGGCTCCGGGGTGGCAGTGAGGACCACCTTCACCTTCCACCTGAGAGGGGACTCTCGTTGCCACCTTGACCTTGGCTGGGGCTTGCATCCCAAGGCATCCATCAGAGCAGACGCCCGGGTTCCATGGACCCTCCTCCCCACGGCCATGCCTCTGCTCTTGGGCGCCCATCATGGAGGAGCACCTGAACTTTCTGGACAAGACCTCTGGCCGACCTGGGGATGGCCTCTGATCCCTGGAGCAGTGGCCCACTTGCCCGGTGCTCTCAGAAACCTCAGAGCTGGTGGGGCTCCAGATCAGGCCTTGGCCTCTGAGCCCTGCCTGCTCTGGGCCATGCAGAGGAAGGACAGAGGGTGGGCGCAGGGCACCAACTCAGGGACATCCCCTCTCCTGGGCGACGTCAGTGGACCTTCCTGCACCCCCAGCCTGGAATGTAAATCAGCTGTGTGGTGCCCGCGTGGCTGGAAGGAAATAGACCCTTTTGTAGCTCCCTGTTCTGGCTGTGCGTCCTCATGCCGGGTCCCACCTTAAGACCTCCGGGCCCTTGGCCTGCATGTAGAGGAGGCTGGCCTGATAGCTCAGACCCTTAGAGCCAGGAGGGGGGCCTGAGCATCCCATCTCTCCCAGGCCACAAAGCTGGTGCCCACTTCCCCCAGGCCTGTGCCAGTGATCTTCGAACCCCCACGTTAGGGCTTGGCCCCTCCCCTTTTACGGGGTGACCTGCTAATGGCTTAGACTCTAAGCCACTGTGTGTGGATCCTGAAGCCAGACCCAGGGGCAGGGCCTGATGGGGAGGAGTGTTAGGATCTACCCTAGCTCTCTGCATCCTCCAATGCCAGCAGGTCCCTGGGGGGAGGGGGCACGCTGGGCACGTTGAGACCCCTGTGGTGAAGTGGTGAGCGCCAGCCAGTCCCTGGGGGGACGGGGCACATTGGACATGTTGAGACCCCTCTGGCCCCTGTGGTGGATTGGTGAGCGCAGAGGGCTGGGTTTTATTCTTGATCAAACCTCTAGCCCCTACTACCCTGCTCCAGTGGTATCTTCGTGCCCAGGCCGCCCTCTGCAGGCCACTCGGTGTTTCCAAGGGTGGCGGCTGGAACACAGGCCATGGGCACCTCCAAACCTGTCCCAGGGCAGGGGTTACAGCAGAGAGACCAGTGAGGGGCAGGGCAGGGCAGGCCAGGTGTCCTCGGTGGACATGCCCACAGCTGGCCCAGCCAAAGTGGACCTGATGAGCTGCCACGACAGATGGGCCTTCTCTGCCCAGCGACCCTCATGCCTCTCCAGGGCATCCGGGCCTGGGGGACGTGATCGCCATCAGTTCCGGAGCCACGCTGACTTGTGGCATGGCTGCTGTCCACACTGGGCCCAAAGTGTGGGCCCATAGGTGGCCTGAGGACTGGGGGCCCCAAAATTCTGTGACCCAGCTGGATGTGAACTCCCGCGGGGGCAGGGTGTCCCCTGGGCTCCAGGGGGCCTCAGGTTTCCTCTCGGGCATCTTCCTCCGTGGCTGTGCCCGTGCCTCCTATCTTCCTCAGTCCCCCACCATGCTACCGCAACCCCGGTCCAGTGTCCCCACCTCCACCGACCTTGACTCTGCTCTTGGGCCAGGGGTCTTCTTGGAGCTAGAACCGGACTCACTCCCTCCTTAAACCTCGGGGGCGGTGCTGCGCCTCCATGCAGCCACGACCACCGCCCTGAGCCGGCCGCAGCGCCACCTGCCTCCCCGCGGGCTCCTCCCGCCTCGTGGCCTTTGCCCTGCAGACCCCTCGCCCCCCTCGCCTTTCACCCCAGGTCTTCCTGCGCCCGGGCCGGGTGGGCCTTGGGGCTGCGCTGGACCCTGACCCAGCTGGTGCAGAACGGGGCTCTCATGGGCAGGCTCGGCCACGGGCGTTCGGGTGGGGCTGCGGCGACCACTCGCCTAAGGCCGGGGGACCCCGCCCCTCTTGGAGGGGATCGGGGCGGGGCCAATGGGGAGGCGGAGCCGCAGCGCAGCTCCGAGGGCTGGCGGCTCGGGGCGCCGAGGCTTCCGCGCCCGCTGGTTCCTCGCTCCGGGGCGGAGCTCGCGATAGCGACCGGGAGCAGGGCGCGGGGCGGGACCCAGGTCCGAGGCGAGGAAGCCGGAAGCCAGGCGCGGGGAGCCTCCCCCTTCGACTGCAGCCTCGCTCCGTGCCTTCTGCGCGCCTGGGATCCCGGAGCCTGCCTAGGTTCTGTGCGCTCCCGCCCAGGCCGGTGCCCGCCGCCCGCCTGCGCCCCAGGCAGGTCCCAGGCCTCCGGCTGCTCCCGGCCGAAGGTGGGGACAGGCAGTGGCAGGCACCACTAGCGAGGGCGTTTGGGAACCCAGGGTGACCACGGCGCAGCCATGGGGACCGCGCTTGTGTACCATGAGGACATGACGGCCACCCGGCTGCTCTGGGACGAGTAAGTGGGACCTGGCCGAGGTGGGGTGCGGGGAGGGACCTCTGAACTGAGCTCCTCATCTGCCCCAGCCCCGAGTGCGAGATCGAGCGTCCTGAGCGCCTGACCGCAGCCCTGGATCGCCTGCGGCAGCGCGGCCTGGAACAGAGGTGTCTGCGGTTGTCAGCCCGCGAGGCCTCGGAAGAGGAGCTGGGCCTGGTGCACAGGTCAGGACGGGGGCAGGCCCCACGATGGGGGGCGGGGCGGGCAGCCCAGCTAGAAACCTAAGAACCTGGGCCTACCCCGAGCCTGCCAGCCTCGAATACAGAGCCTCTCCCTATGCACCTCGGGTGGGCTCACAGGCTTGAGGAAGTGACAGGGTGGCCACTCCCACCATGAATCCCAGGTCCCCGCCTCCCGCCCCCCTGCTCCTGCTGGTGACCCTGCCTCTCCTGCCTGCCCATCTGCATGCAGCCCAGAGTATGTATCCCTGGTCAGGGAGACCCAGGTCCTAGGCAAGGAGGAGCTGCAGGCGCTGTCCGGACAGTTCGACGCCATCTACTTCCACCCGGTGCGTGTCCCCGGACACACTCACCTGTGCAGACACACATGCACGTGCCTTTGAGCGTTCACAGCCACGGCCGCCAACCCCAGCCAGTGTCCCCTGGTCCATACACATGACATTGCCCTGCACACCTGCCTGCTGGCACTGCCAGAGCCTGGGGCTGGCCTGTTCTGCTCAGCAGCTGGTGTCTTGCAGCCTGGCACAAGTGTGGGTATGGCCTGCAAAGGGCAGCAGGGAAGGCAGGGGGCTCATCTGCGCCCCTGCGCCCACAGAGTACCTTTCACTGCGCGCGGCTGGCCGCAGGGGCTGGACTGCAGCTGGTGGACGCTGTGCTCACTGGAGCTGTGCAAAATGGGCTTGCCCTGGTGAGGTGAGAGCTGCCCCTTCCCCTGGCTGCTCCTCCGTGGGTGGCCCTGTGAGGGGCCAGGGCGACCCTGACGTGACCCAAATCCTACTCTCACGCCGTAGGCCTCCCGGGCACCATGGCCAGAGGGCGGCTGCCAACGGGTTCTGTGTGTTCAACAACGTGGCCATAGCAGCTGCACATGCCAAGCAGAAACACGGGCTACACAGGTGTGTGCCAGGCTGGCTGCAGGGGGGTGGGCCCAGGCCACACAGCAAGGGGCAGCGCAGGAGGCGAGAGAACCCAGCCAGCACCTTCCCATCCCTGGCCGGGCTCCTGGAGGTGGGAGGCCCTGCCCCTTTGCCACCAGCGCTGTCTGTACCCAGGATCCTCGTCGTGGACTGGGATGTGCACCATGGCCAGGGGATCCAGTATCTCTTTGAGGATGACCCCAGGTGAGCAGGGGTGCGGAAACCACCCTTCCCTGCAGCCCCAGTTTTTGGGTGCACAGCCTGGCCTGGGAAAATCCAGGGGTGAGATACAGACATGTGCTCAGGGGTCAGCGTTCTACAGGGAGCTGTAGAGCTGTTGAGGGTCCTGACCTTTGACCTCTGGCCCTGGCTGGCTGTTGGCAGCGTCCTTTACTTCTCCTGGCACCGCTATGAGCATGGGCGCTTCTGGCCTTTCCTGCGAGAGTCAGATGCAGACGCAGTGGGGCGGGGACAGGGCCTCGGCTTCACTGTCAACCTGCCCTGGAACCAGGTGCCCACCCTCAAGCCCCAGGTCCCCACCCAGCCCCCTCCCCCTGGGCCCCTCCCCTCCCCCACAGTTCACCCTCAAGCCCCAGGTCCCCACCCACCCCCTCCCCCGGGCCCCTCCCCTGCCCCACAGTTCAGGATGTAGCCTGGGATGTCCTGCCAGGTTGGGATGGGAAACGCTGACTACGTGGCTGCCTTCCTGCACCTGCTGCTCCCACTGGCCTTTGAGGTGACTGCACGGAGGGCTCCCCCAGGGCAGCCGGGTGGGAGGGGGACCTTGTGCCTGGAGTGCGCCAGTGAAGGCAGGAGGAGGGTTATGAGCTGTCCCACTCCTGTGTGGCTGGGGAAGGTGCTCAGGAGGGGATGGGATGGGCCTGGCTCGCCCTCACCTGGGCTCCAGCCCCTCTCTGTCGACCCTCCCCACTCCGGCCTGGCCTGTAGTTTGACCCTGAGCTGGTGCTGGTCTCGGCAGGATTTGACTCAGCCATCGGGGACCCTGAGGTGAGGGCCTTGCCTTGCCAGGGAGGGCTTCTGGGGTCCTGGGGCCCAGGTCCCCCATCACACATGGCTCTGGTTCCAGGGGCAAATGCAGGCCACGCCAGAGTGCTTCGCCCACCTCACACAGCTGCTGCAGGTGCTGGCCGGCGGCCGGGTCTGTGCCGTGCTGGAGGTGACTGGGGAGGGCACACAGGGAGGGTCTCTGGGCCAGAGGCCTGGGGGTCAGGAGCATGGGAGCCAGGTGCCCACGGGGTATTTGGGAGGGGCGTCCTGCCCGGGATAGAGCCAGGCAGGGGCTCTCCCGGTGACATCCCATCCCAGTGATATCTCTGCCCCAATCATGTCTCCACCCTCCTCCCAGGGCGGCTACCACCTGGAGTCACTGGCGGAGTCAGTGTGCATGACAGTACAGACGCTGCTGGGTGACCCGGCCCCACCCCTGTCAGGGCCAATGGCGCCATGTCAGAGGTGCGAGGGGAGGTAGGGCGGGCAGGGCCGGGGTGTGAGACCAGGTGTCACGACTGTTGTGTCTCCCTCACAGTGCCCTAGAGTCCATCCAGAGTGCCCGTGCTGCCCAGGCCCCGCACTGGAAGAGCCTCCAGCAGCAAGGTCAGTGTGGCCGGGTGCTAGGCTGCAGGATCCCACCTCGGGCTCCTGTGCAGTGGCTATGACTCCGAACTGTCCCTAGATGTGACCGCTGTGCCGATGAGCCCCAGCAGCCACTCCCCAGAGGGGAGGCCTCCACCTCTGCTGCCTGGGGGTCCAGTGTGTAAGGCAGCTGCATCTGCACCGAGCTCCCTCCTGGACCAGCCGTGCCTCTGCCCCGCACCCTCTGTCCGCACCGCTGTTGCCCTGACAACGCCGGATATCACATTGGTTCTGCCCCCTGACGTCATCCAACAGGAAGCGTCAGCCCTGAGGGAGGAGACAGAAGCCTGGGCCAGGTGGGCAGGGCTGGCCTGGGGAGAAGGATGGGGCCGCATCTACACCTGTGCCTGTGTGTGCCTGACCTGCGGTCACTCCGTGTCTGTGTGTCCCTCTGGTCTGTCCACCACAGGCCACACGAGTCCCTGGCCCGGGAGGAGGCCCTCACTGCACTTGGGAAGCTCCTGTACCTCTTAGATGGGATGCTGGATGGGCAGGTGGGAGCACCTGGGAGGGGTTGGGGATGCTGTGGACCTAGGGGCAGGGACCAGGACCTGCCAACGAGATGTGGCCTGTCCAGAGGAGGGCTGGGTGGTGCAGAACCACATGGATGTGAACATTGCCTTGTGCCAGGAACTGTTCCCAGAACAGCCCCAGGGGTGGGGATCACTAGTGTGTCTGACCTCTGACCTCAGCTTCTTCAGTTAAATGCTCTTTGGCAGAGAGGTGAAGGGGGTGATTTAAAGTATACATTTAGGCAGGGTGCAGTGGCTCATGCCTGTAATAACGGCAGTTTGGGGGGCCAAGGTGGGAGAAACGCTTGAGCCCAGGAGTTCAAGACCAGCCTAGAGAACATATGGAGACCCTGTCTTCACAAAAAATAAAAAAGTCAGCCAAGCGTGGTGGTGTGTGCCTGTAGTTACTTAGGAGGCTGAGGCAGGACGATCGCTTAAGCCCAGGAGTTTGAGGCTGTGGTGAGCTACAATTGCGCCACTGCACGCCAGCCTGGCTACAGAACGAGACCCTGCCTCTCTAAAAAAAAAAAAAAAAATTATAGACGTAAGCATCTTATTTACAGAAATGGAGTGATTGACCTTAGTGTAAGAAGATGTGTGGCTGACAGTAGCCGCAGAGACACACCGAATGAAGGGAACTGTGGATCTGTTTACCTGGCTTGGGAGTTGGTTGGTGCCTCATTCTCCACTGTTTATTCATCCCACAGGTGAACAGTGGTATAGCAGCCACTCCAGCCTCTGCTGCAGCAGCCACCCTGGATGTGGCTGTTCGGAGAGGCCTGTCCCACGGAGCCCAGAGGTAAGCCTCACTTGGCCATCCTGAGCCTCTGACGGCAGGACCTGTGGGCACCCCTATCCTGGCTGGCCAAGCACAGAGAGTTCTGGGAATGGACTCTGGACAACATGAACACCTGTCCTGAGGCCAGCTCTTCTTCCAGGCTGCTGTGCGTGGCCCTGGGACAGCTGGACCGGCCTCCAGACCTCGCCCATGACGGGTAGGACTCTCAGGTCTTGCATATGTCCAGCCATGCATGTGGACGGGCATGTGATGGACGTGTGCCTGGGCCCCAGGGTGACGGGTGGGTGGGGCACTGTGTGGTACTGAATGGAGCCTTCCTCAGCTGGGGTGTGGGAGAAGGGCTGCTGGAGGCAATGCCAGGTGGGTCTCCAGCACAGAGGCTCAGCAGTCACAGCACCCCTGCCCATGGCCCCGTGAATGCTCTTCCACCTCTGCCTCTGCGGTTTGGGCTCAGGAGGGTGAGCAGGGCCTTACACTTATGCACCTGTGTCCTGGAAGGAGGAGTCTGTGGCTGAACATCAGGGGCAAGGAGGCGGCTGCCCTATCCATGTTCCATGTCTCCACGCCACTGCCAGTGGTGAGTGACCATGCCACGCGGCAAGGCAGGTGCTGGGGAGCCCATGGATGTGTACAGCTGCTGTTTGCTGGCATTGTCATGATAGCAGGCCTCTGGTCCTTCCTGTCTCCCTGCTCCTACTCCAGGGGCCCTGAGATTGGGAGGTTGGGAGGCCAGAGCCAGCAGGTGTCCGTAGATGAGGAGCTGGGCTCTGCTGTCCCCACAGATGACCGGTGGTTTCCTGAGCTGCATCTTGGGCTTGGTGCTGCCCCTGGCCTATGGCTTCCAGCCTGACCTGGTGCTGGTGGCGCTGGGGCCTGGCCATGGCCTGCAGGGCCCCCACGCTGCACTCCTGGCTGCAATGCTTCGGGGGCTGGCAGGGGGCCGAGTCCTGGCCCTCCTGGAGGAGGTAAGCTGGGCAGGGTGGAGGTGCTGCGGGGTGGGACGAGGGAAAGGACCAGTGACTGCTTCCGTCTTCGCCCCTGGTCCAGAACTCCACACCCCAGCTAGCAGGGATCCTGGCCCGGGTGCTGAATGGAGAGGCACCTCCTAGCCTAGGCCCTTCCTCTGTGGCCTCCCCAGAGGACGTCCAGGCCCTGATGTACCTGAGAGGGCAGCTGGAGCCTCAGTGGAAGATGTTGCAGGTGAGGCTGACTGCGGAGGCATGGCCCTGCCCTGGGGCCTGGCTCTGCCGCACAGATCGGTGGGGAGGGCAGGGCAGGGGAGTGCCCTGAACCAGCTCCAGCGCCGGAGGCCAACTGCGCGCCTCTTCTCGGCTCCTCCTGTAGTGCCATCCTCACCTGGTGGCTTGAAATCGGCCAAGGTGGGAGCATTTACACCGCAGAAATGACACCGCACGCCAGCGCCCCGCGGCCGCGATCCGGACCCCAAGCCCACGGCTCCCTCGACTCTGGGGCACGGAACCCCGCCCACTCCCAATCCCCGCGCCCCGCCCTCTCCCACCCGTGCTTCCCCCGCTCCACCCCTCACCTCACCTCGCCCCCGCCCCACCCATCGCGCCCCGGCCCGTCCCATCGAGGCCCATGCAACCCACGCTCGGTCCCGTTCCGGCCCCTGCGCCCCGCTGCGCTTCGCTCCCCGCCCTTGCGCCGTTAGTAAACATCGCTCAAACGAAACGCTGGCTCTGCCTCCTTTACTGAGCACGCTCGGCCTCGGTCTCTCACCCGCGGTGCCGGACTCAGGCCGGAAGTATGCCGCGGCCCAGGCCTCACCAACTTCACGCGCTGCCGGCGTTCCCGTGACGTATTTCCGGCGCGCCCGCCCTAGTGCTCTTCACACTGGCGCGGCTGTGACGCGACGGAGGCGGCGAGAGCGGCAGCCGTGGGCACTTTCCACGGGTGAGGCCTGGAGAACGGGTGGACGTGCAGGCCAGAACCCGGGACCCACCCGGCTGAGCCCCCAGACTCTCCGCTGCCCACGACCCTCGGAGTGGCACCCTCTCCTGGCCGTCTCCTCTCGTGGGTCCCGAAGAACGGGTGCAAAGCCGAGTTCGTCCGCTGTACTGCGCGGGCGCGCGTTTCGTTCTTCGGTTTTGCCACGGTTCTGTGACTCCCTAAAGGTTGAGGGCTACTGAATTAGAAGAAACGCCGAGCTGGCTTCTGGTGGGCTGCCGGGCGCCGGGCAGCGTGCTTGGACTGGGGAGGGCAGGGCGTGTTTACTCTGAGTAGAGCAACCGCAAGACCTCCTTTAAAAAATACCAGTTCTGAGCTTCGGCATTGGAGAGGCCGCCTGTCATTCAGCCTCTTCGGACCCTCTCTCACTCCCTGTCTTCCGGAGCGTGAGTGAAGCCCGGGTGAGGTGTTTTCCCACACGCCGGGGGCCCGGAGCTGAGAAGGGGCATGGCCAGCATCACGCAGCTGTTCGACGACCTGTGTGAGGCCCTCCTGCCGGCTGCCAAGACTCACCTGGGCCAGCGCAGTGTGAACCGGAAGAGGGCAAAGCGGAGCCTCAAGAAGGTGGCCTACAATGCTCTTTTCACAAATCTTTTTCAAGATGAGACTCAACAGCTGCAGCCTGACATGTCAAAACTACCAGCGAGAAACAAGATCCTCATGTTGTCCTTTGACTTGAGAGTGGGTGGCCTGGGCCCCAAGGCCGACCGTTTGGAGGAGCTTGTGGAGGAGCTGGAAGCAGCCCCTTGCTGTCCGCTTTTGGAGGTGGGGTCTGTTTTGGACCTCCTGGTTCAGCTGGCAGGGAGTGGTCCCCCTCAAGTTCTGCCGAGAAAACGAGACTACTTCCTTAACAACAAGCATGTGGGGAGAAACGTTCCGTACAGCGGCTATGATTGCGACGACCTGAGTGTGTTTGAGATGGACGTTCAGTCTCTGATCTCCAGAGAAGAGTGTTTGTGTCACAGCATGATCCAGGAAACACTTCAGGTTATGGAGGCTGCTCCAGGCACTGGCCTGCCCACCGTCGGGCTCTTCTCATTTGGTGACCCTTGTGGTGACAGGTTCGAGAGAGACACCCGGGTCTCGCTCTTCGGGGCCCTTGTGCACAGCCGCACTTATGACATGGACGTCCGACTGGGCCTGCCCCCCGTGCCAGACAATGCGGACCTCTCTGGGCTGGCTATTAAGGTAGAATGTTTAGTTTTTCCTCTTTCATCTCTCTCGGGGTTTGGAAAATGCTTCCTGTGACCTTTCTTCTTCTTCTTCTTCTTCTTTTTTTTTTTTTTTTTGAGACAGTGTCTCACTCTGTCACCCAGGCTGGAGTGCAGTGGCGCGATCTTGGCTCACCTTAACCTCCACTTTCTGGGCTCAAGCAATTCTCGTACCTCAGCCTCCCGAGTAGCTGAAATTACAGGCACCTGCCACCACGCCCGGCTTAATTTTTTTTTTTTTTTGAGATGGAGTCTTGCTCTGTTGCCCAGGCTGGAGTGCCGTGGCGCGATCTCGGCTCACTGTAACCGCCGCCTCCCGGGGTCAAGTGATTCTCCTACCTCAGCCTCCCGAGTAGCTGTAGCTGGGATTTAGGTGCATGCCACCACGCCCAGCTAAGTTTTGTATTTTTAGTAGAGATGGGGTTTCACCATGCTGGCTAGGCTGGTCTTGAACTCCTGACCTCTTGATCCGCCTGCCTCGGCCTCCCAAAGTGCTGGGATTACAGGCGTGAGCCACCATGCCCAACTAATTTTTGTATTTTTAGTAGAGGCGGGGTTTCACCATGTTGGCCAGGCTGGTCTCCAACTCCTGACCTCAAATGATCCACCCGTCTCGGCCTCCCAAAGTGCTGGGATTACAGGCATGAGCCACTGTGCCCGGCCCGGTGACCTTCCTTTTATCATGGTAAAAGGGGGGATAGTCTGGTGGCTGCATTGTCCTGAGGTGGGGCTGCTGGAGTGGGCTTACTGGCGGCCACCCTCCTCTGCAGCGACAGTGCTGCCCACCTGCCGGCCAAAGCAACATGCTGCTTTTCATCTTTACCTAATGGGGTATATCGTTAAGCCACCTCTGCCTTCTAGAGCTGCCGTTTAAATTGAAGTTAATTAAAACAAAATAAAATACTCAGTTCCTCAGCCCCACAAGCCACATTTCAAGTGCTCAGTAGCCACGTGTGGCAAAAGTGTTCATGTTCTGTAATTCGTGCAATTGGATATGTTTTTGCTGTCTGTCGCCTGAGGCTTTACCATGGTACGCTGTAGCTCCTCATTTGAGTTTTGTATTTTATTGCTTTATCAGTGTTGCCAAAAGGATACATTGTTACTAGTCGTTCTATTCTTATGCGATAGCTAGATGATTTAGAAACATACATAATGCTACAGCAAATGTCTTGGTGTACAGCAGTTTTGTTTTTTGTTTTTGAGACAAGTCTTGCTCTGTCGCCCAGGCTGGAGTGCAGTGGTGTGGTCTCGGCTCACTGCAACCTCCATCTCCTGGGTTCAAGCGATTCTCCTGCCTCAGCCTCCTAAGTATCTGGGACTACAGGTGTGCGTCACCACACACAGCTAATTTTTGTATTTTATATGTTTGTATTTTTATTTTTTTATTTTATTTGATTTTTTTTTTTGACACAGTCTCGCTCTGTCGCCCAGGCTCGAGTGCGGTGGCACAATCTTGGCTCACTGCAAGCTCTGCCTCCCAGGTTCACGCCATTCTCCCGCCTCAGCCTCCTGAGTAGCTGGGACTACAGGTGCCTGCCACCACGCCCTGCGAATTTTTTGTATATTTAGTAGAGACGGGGTTTCACCGTGTTAGCCAGGATGGTCTCTATCTCCTCACCTCGTGATCTGCCCGCCTCGGCCTCCCAAAGTGCTGGGATTACAGGCGTGAGCCCGGCCTGATTGTTCTTTTTTTTTTTTTTTTTTTTTTTTTTGAGATGGAGTCTTGTGTAGGGACCAGCCCTACAGGGTCTGTGGGTTTTTCTCTCCATATGCGGAGACCAGAGATGGTAGAAATAAAGACACAAGACAGAGATAGAAGAAAAAACAGCTGGGCCCGGGGGATCACTACCACCAACACGTGGAGACCAGTAGTGGCCCCAAATGCCAGGCTGCGCTGTTATTTATTGGATACAAGGCAAAAGGGGCAGGGTAAGGAGTGTGAGTCATCTCCAATGATAGGTAAGGTCACGTGGGTCACGTGTCAACTGGACAGGGGGCCCTTCCCTGTTTGGCAGCCGAAGCAGAGAGAGAGGAGACAGCTTACACCATTATTTCTGCATTTCAGAGACTTTTAGTACTTTCACTAATTTGCTACTGCTATCTAGAAGGCAGAGCCAGGTGTACAGGATGGAACATGAAAGTGGACTAGGAGTGTGACTGCTGAAGCACAGCATCACAGGGAGACGTTTAGGCCTCTGGATAACTGCGGGTGGGCCTGAGTCATGTCAGGCCCTCCACAAGAGGTGGTGGAGCAGAGTCTTCTCTAACTCCCCCAGGGAAAGGGAGACTCCCTTTCCTGGTCTGCTAAGTAGTGGGTGCTTTTCCTAGGCACTGACGCTACCGCTAGACCAAGGTCCGCTAGGTAATGGGCGTCTTCCCAGGTGCTGCCATTACCACTAGACTAAGGAGCCCTCTAGTGGCCCTGTCTGGGCATGACAGAAGGCTCACACTCTTGTCTTCTGGTCACTTCTCACCTTGCCCCTTCAGCTCCTGTCTCTGTATGGCCTGGTTTCTCGTAAGTTACAATTGTAGAGCGAAGATTATTATAATCTTGGAATAAAGAGCAATTGCTACAAACTAATGATTAATAACGTTCATATATAATCATATTTATGATCTATAGTGTAACTATTCTTGTTCTATATATTTTATTGTACTAGAACAGCTCGTGCCCTCGGTCTCTTGCCTCGGCACCTGGGTGGCTTGCTGCCCACAGTCTTGCTCTGTCGCCCAGACTGGAGTGTGGTGGCGCAATCTCGGCTCACTGCAACCTCCGCTTCCCGGGTTCAAGCAATTCTTCTGCCTCAGCCTCCCGAGTAGCTGGGACCACAGGTGCCCACCACCACGCCTGGCCGATTTTTATATTTTTAGTAGAGACGGGGTTTCACATGCTGGCCAGGCTGGTCTCAAACTCCTGACCTCAGGTGATCCACCTGCCTCAGCCTCCCATAGTGCTGGGATTACAGGCGTGAGCCACTGCGCCTGGCCCCGGTGTACAGTAGTGTTTTAATGTTGAGTGTGATTTTTTTAATTCTGGGTTCCCCACATTGGAATTTCCAGGTCTGAGGCATCTCAAAAAGTTTCACTCTAAGTTCCACTGAGGCTTATGTGTTACATGGAATTGGAAATTGGCAGCCTTGACGACTTATTTTGTTTAATTCCTTAAATGGCTCATTGGTGGGAAACATTGTATGGTA
Organism: Homo sapiens; assembly: GCF_000001405.40. Taxonomy (NCBI): domain Eukaryota; kingdom Metazoa; phylum Chordata; class Mammalia; order Primates; family Hominidae; genus Homo; species Homo sapiens. Next base: position 50,240,498 of record NC_000022.11, on the reverse strand, counting down.
CACATGCGCTTGAGAAAAACAGAAGAAACATTTTGTTAGGTCTTTGCATAAAGTTCCTGAAATTCTCATCGCCCTTGGATGAAACGTGGACACAGCAATAAGTGGCGGTTTGCCCTTCCCTGTGTCTCCAGGTCCCACCGAGTGTGGATCAGTGGGAAGACGAAGGATTCCAGTCAGCGTCCAACTTGACTCCTGATTCCCAGTCTGAGCCCAGCGTGACCCCAGACGTGGACCTGTGGGAAGCCGCACTTACCTATGAGGCCAGCAAGCGGAGGTGCTGGGAGCGAGTTGGCTGGTGTGTGCCCTTCTTTGCCTTGGCATGCAGTGCCCCTACCCCTGCATGAGCGTGGCCTTGGATGGGGTGTGTGGGGGGCGTTGTGTACTCAGGGGTCCAGGCAGTTGTGATGGGTTAGTAACCTAAGCTAGTGTCCAAAATTGACTGAGTCCTGGGAGTTAAGAGAGATGCAGAGGGGAAAGCACTAACAGCCTTTAAGGAGGCCTCACCTCCCCATCCAGTAACCAGATCACACCTGTCGGGCAGAACTCCCCTCCCTGTGCCAGTAACCAGATCACACCTGTCGGGCAGAGCTCCCCTCCCCGTGCCAGTAACCAGATCACACCTGCCAGGCAGAGCAGTTGGGGCAGCTAAGTTATGTCCTTAAGAGCAAGAGAGCTGCCTGGCAGGCTGTGTGATTAGTGCCAGGAAGAAATGCTCACTGGGCATGGGGTGCTGATGAAGGAGCCTTTTCCATTCATGTCTAGAGGAATTGGGGTGCTGATGAACACGGAACCTTTTCCGTCCGTGTCTGGAGGAGTTGGGAGGGGCAGTCTGGGTGATGAGAAGCTCCAGCTGCAGCAGCTTTTTCCTGACTGGTACCAGCAGCTTGCTCTCTGGATGCGGTAGCCACTCACTCCCTGGCTCACCTGGGTCCAGAGGCCTCTGCACTCAGCACCTCTCAGAGTCTTTAATGTGGTGGTATCTTTTGATAACTCCCAGAACCCAGGCAGAGAATATGCATTTCGCCTGGGCGCGGTGGCTCACATCTGTAATCCCAGCACTTTGGGAGGCTGAGGCGGGCAGATCACTTGAAGTCAGGATTTTGAGACTGGCCTGGGCAACATGGTGAAACCCCGTCTCTACTAAAAATACAAAAATTAGCTGGGCGTGGTGGTGCTCGCTTATAATCCCAGCTACTCAGGAGGTTGAGGCACAAGAATCACTTGAACCTGGGAGGTGGAGTTTGCAGTGAGCCGAGATTGCACCACTGCACTCCAGCCTGGGTGACAGAGTGAGATTGTCTCAAAAACAAAAAACAAACAAACAAAAAAACACGCACTTCCCCAAATGTTTGGCCATGGAATGCCCCGTTCACATCCAGTCCACTGGTGATCCTGTGGGTATCGGTTTGGGGAGTGTTGGGTGAAAGGGTCAGGGCTGGCTGGGAGCTGAGTGCTCTGGGATGCAGTGGCTGGGCTCTGGCAGCCTGGACAGGAGCATGTGCCCCCGGGTGGGCGAGCTTTCCTGACATCATGAAGATTCCCTCAGGGTTGGCTGTCTCCCTGCTTCCCAGCACGGTGGTGGTGGCTTTATCCTGACTGCCAGGGCCTTCCTGCTGTGTCACTTCCTGCTGGTGCATCAGTCAAAGCAAATCTCATGGTCCTGCTCTCTGCCAATCCCTCACACGTTTAAAAACTGGCCTTTGGGAGGCTGAGGCGGGTGGATCACGAGGTCAGGAGATCGAGACCATCCTGGCTAACACAGTGAAACCCCGTCTCTACTAAAAATACAAAAAATTAGCCAGGCGTGGTGGCGGGTGCCTGTGGTCCCAGCTACTGGGGAGGCTGAGGCAGGAGAATGGCGTGAACCCGGGAGGCGGAGTTTGCAGTGAGCGGATATTGCGCCACTGCACTCCAGCCTGGGTGACAGAGCGAGACTCCGTCTCAAAAAAAAAAACAAAAAAAAAAACTGGCCCTACAAGTTATTGCTTTATTCTGTACATGTCTGCTAATAGTATTTTTTTCTGTTTTTTTTTTGTATTTATTTATTTATTGAGGCGGAGTCTTGTTCTGTTGCCCAGGCTGGAGTGCAGTGGCACCATCTCCAGCTCACTGCAACCTCCGCCTCCCGGGTTCAAGTAATTCTCCCTGTCTCAGCCTCCTGAGTAGCTGGGATTACAGGCACCTGCCACCATGCCCAGCTAATTTTTGTAAAAACTCAGAACCTTCCAACACCAGGTTCCCTTCACCTGGAACATTCTTCAGCTCACCATAATTAGGCAACTCCTTTCATCCTAAACAAACTAGGTCCCCCAAACTCTCCCTCATAAGTCTGTCTGTCTGTCTCTCTCTCTCTCTCTCTCTTTTCTTTTTCTTTCTTTGTCCTTGTTGCCCAGGCTGGAGTGCAATGGCGCAATCTTGGCTCACTGCAACCTCTGCCTCCTGGGTTCAAGCGATTCTCCTGCCTCAGCTTCCCAAGTAGCTGGGATTACAGTGGGATTACAGGCATGGGACACCACGCCTGGCTAATTTTGTGTTTTTAGTAGAGATGGTGTTTCTCCATGTTGGTCAGGCTGGTCTTGAACTCCCACCGTCAGGTGATCCACCCGCCTCGGCCTCCCAAAGTGCTGGGATTACAGGCATGAGCCACCGTGCTGGCTGTATTTCATTTATTAACTCCCCCTTTTCTAGGTTCATTTTTTCGGGTTGCTGATGAGGAGACATGGTCACTCACTCTCCTCATCACCCTGTTCTGAATACGCTGGAGACTGCGGAGCTCCCGCACGGTGGGGCCCGGCGGTGGTTCCTAGGCTGCGGAGCTCCGGCACGGTGGGGCCTGGCGGTGGTTCCTATAGGGAGGTGCTGCTGTGTGCCTGGCAGTGTGCTGAGCACAGCCTGGGCAGCTCCTGTAGGGACTTTCTCTGCCCAGGGCCCTGCAGAGTGAAAGTGCTGTGGTCATCTCAGTGTCCAGTGGCTGACCTGCACAGGGCCACACAGTGGCTGGACCTGAGTTTACGTCTCCTGGGCCCCTCTACTCCCTGATCCCACGGCCCCTGACACTGCAGTCGGGTCAGCCTGATGCTGTGGTTCAAGTTCCTTTGGCAAATCGTTTGGTCTTGTTTCATTTTAAATCCCAGCCACCTGCTAGTTTCCTGCTGTGATGAGCTCTGACCAGCAGGTGGCTAAAGAAACTGCCGCCTAGCCAGAAATTGAGCCTTCTCCACTCTCCAAGACATCAACCCTGCTTTCCCACAGGTCCCAAGACCCCACGGGGGGCCACTCGCCCCTGCTGTTGCCCACCCTGAGAACCACCATTGTCCGACTGCTCACGGCCCTCCCTGCTGCTGAGCTGCAAGGGCTGGGTTAAGGCGGAGGGAGGCCTTTCAGACCCTGGAATGGTCTCTTTCTCTGCATGTGCCACCCATCTGGGGGAAGCATTTTGCTACATTTTGGGTTGTGTTCTCTCTGGGGACCTGTTGGGGCGGGGGGTGTTCACTCCAGAGCCTGCAGGATCCTGCGCTGTGTCTTTGTGTTTCCGCTGTGGGCTTTTTTTCCCTCAGTTCTGAGTCACCAAGAGGGGTGTGCAGCCATGGCAGTGCTGGGGGCCAGTCCTGGAGGAGATGGGGTGGAAGTGGCTGCAGGGGGAAACAGGGTTGTGCCCACAGCCTGCACCCCTGCCGAGGCCATCTGCAGGAAGAAATGCAGGGGGCAGACAGAGGCTCTGAGAGGCTGTGTCTTTCTCATGCTCATCTCATCCTGAGGGAGCCTGGGCAGGCGTCTGGGGTCCAGAGCGGCCCCACCTGCTGACTGGACATCTCAGGGCTGGTCTCCTTCCTCCTGCCCCCTCCAGCCCACCCTCTTCATAGCAGAGGTGGCCAGTAAAAGTGTGTTTCTTGGAGCTGATTGTTTTCGCAGGGAGGACGGGGGTGTGAGTGTGTGTAGTGCCAGTACATGTGGTTTCACAGCCTCAGCACCAGCAGAAGGCAAATTTCCTCAGAGTTGCATGTGCCCAGGGCTGCCTGTACCAGCCCACCTTACCTGTTACTGTCTTAAAAATTTGTGAACTTAGCCAGGTGCAGTGGCTCACGCCTGTAATCCCAGCACTTTGGGAGGCTGAGGTGGGCGGATCACGAGGTCAAGAGATCGAGACCATCCTGGCTAACACGGTGAAACCCCATCTCTGCTAAAAATACAAAAAATTAGCCAGGCATGGTGGCCCGTGCCTGTAGTCCCAGCTACTCGGGAGGCTGAGGCAGGAGAATGGTGTGAACCCAGCAGGCAGAGGTTGCAATGGGCCAAGATCGTGCCACTGCACTCCAGCCTGGGTGACAGAGCGAGACTCCGTCTCAAAAAAAAAAATTGTGAATTTTTTTTTCTGTATCCATCTCTTACGGTTTTTCTGAGGTGGGGCAGTAAAATTTATATAATGTTTTTACCGTCTTAACCAGTTGTACAGCTTTGTAATGCTGTGTGTATTTTCACTGCTGCACAGCAAGTCTGCAGGAAACTCTGAACCCATTAAACAGCTCCCCATTCACTCCACTTTTTTTTTTTTTTTTTCCGAGATGGAGTCTTGCTCTGTTGCTCAAGCTGGAGTGCAGTGGCACGATCTTGGCTCACTGCAACCTCCACCTCCCGGGTTCAAGCCATTCTCCTGCCTTAGCCTCCTGAGCAGCTGGGATTACAGATGCCCGCCACCACGCCCAGCTAATTTTTGTGTTTTTAGTAGAGTCAGGGTTTCACCATGTTGGCCAGGCTGGTCTTGAACTCCTGACCTCGTGATCTGCCTTTCTTGGCCTCCCAAAGTGTTGGGATTATAGGCATGAGCCACCGCACCTGGCCTCCACTTTCTGTCTCTAGGATTTTGGCCACTGTAGGGACCTCATGTAAGTGGAGTTGCACAGTGTTTTGTGATGGCTCATTTTACTCCACTTGGCGTCCTCGAGCGCCGTCCCTGTGGAGACAGTGTTTTGTGATGGCTCATTGCACTCCACACGGCGTCCTTGAGTGCCGTGCCTTCTGGAGCACGTGTCTGAGCTGCCTTCCTTTTTAAGGCTGAATGATGGGCAGGGGTCTGCACGGACGGTCTGTGTTTATCCTCCTCTGTTGGGGGCTCAGGCTCCTCTCCCCCTGGCTGTTGTGGATGTTGTTGCCGTGGACGGGGGTGTGGATGCTGCTGTGGACAGGCATGTGGATGTTGCCGTGGACAGGCATGTGGATAGGCATGTGGATGTTGCCGTGGACAGGGATGTGGATGCTGCCATGGACAGGAGTGTGGATGATGCTGCCGTGGACAGGGATGTGGATGATGCTGCCGTGAATAGGGGTGTAGATGCTGCCATGGACTGGGGTGTGGATGCTGCCATGGACACGGGTGTGGATGATGCTGCAGTGGATAGGGTTGTGGATGATGTTCCCATGGACAGGGGTGTGGATACTGCTGTGGACAGGGGTGTGGCTGATGCTGCCGTGGACAGGGGGTGGATGCTGCCGTGGATAGGGGTGTGGATGATGCTGCGGTGGACCTGGGTGTGGATGCTGCCATGGACGGGAGTGTGGGCGATGCTGCCGTGGACCTGGGTGTGGATGCTGCTGTGGACAGGGGTGTGGATGATGCTGCCATGGGTGTGTGTGGGTGATGCTGCCAGGGACAGGGGTGTGGGTGATGCTGTCGTGGACAGGGGGTGTGGATGATGCTGCTGTGGACCTGGATGTGGATGCTGCTGTGGACGGGGGTGTGGGTGCTGGTACCATGGGTGGGTGTGGGTGATGCTGCCGTGGACAGGGGGTGTGGATGATGCTGCTGTGGACCTGGGTGTAGATGCTGCTGTGGACGGGGGTGTGGGTGATGCTGCCGTGCACAGGGGGTGTGGATGATGCTGCTGTGGATAGGGGTGTGGATGATGCTGCCGTGGACGGGGGTGTGGGCGATGCTGCCGTGGACCTGGGTGTGGATGATGCTGCTGTGGAACTGGGTGTGGATGCTGCTGTGGACAGGGGTGTGGATGCTGCTGCTGTGGACGGGGGTGTGGGCGATGCTGCTGTGGACCTGGATGTGGATGATGCTGCCGTGGACTTGGGTGTGGATGCTGCTGTGGACAGGGGTGTGGATGATGCTGCCGTGGACCTGGGTGTGGATGCTGCTGTGGACAGGGGTGTGGATGCTGCTGTGGACAGGGGTGTGGATGATGCTGCCATGGGTGGGTGTGGGTGATGCTGCCATGGACAGGGGTGTGGGTGATGCTTCCGTGGACAGAGGGTGTGGATGATGCTGCTGTGGACCTGGGTGTAGATGCTGCTGTGGACGGGCGTGTGGATGATGCTGCCGTGGATGGGTGTGGGTGATGCTGCTGTGGATAGGGGTGTGGATGATGATGCTGTGGACAGGGGGTGTGGATGCTGCCATGGATGGGGTATGGATGATGCTGCCATGGACAGGGGGTGTGGATGATGCTGCAGTGGACCTGGATGTGGATGCTGCTGTGGACAGGGGTGTGGATGATGCTGCCATGAACAGGGATGTGGATGCTGCCATGGACCTGGGTGTGGATGCTGCCATGGACAGGGTGTAGATGCTGTTGTGTACATGGGTGTACAAATCTTGTTTTGTTTCTAACAGAAGAATACTTTATGAGTGAATCACCATCTTGAGGGCCACTGGCGTGGCCTGGGGTGCTCTTCCAGGGCTGGGCCAGTCGGATACCCCCGGCCATGCCCAGGACCCCAGGAAGGTGCCCTGGAACACTTTCCACATGAGTTGTCCTGATAGAATCGATCGTGCTGGTATTCACAGCAGCAGCATCCACAAAAGGCTGGGTGGTGAGCTGACATTCATACCTGGCTATGTTTCTTAGAGTTTATTGTTTTGAATCACTTCCATTCTTCTGTTCATGCCCATTCCCGAGAGAAAGCACCCTGGTGCTGAGGTGCAGGTCACCACGTCTGCTCATGGCCTCTCTTCTGCACCCCTCGCAGCCCCCCTGGCCACAGAGAGGAGCCTTACCTGACGGAGGCGGGAAGGGACGCTTTCGACAAGTTCTGCAGGCTCCACCAAGGGGAGCTCCAGCTGCTTGCTGGGGGCGTCCTACAGGCCCCGCAGCCCGTGCTGGTGAAGGAGTGCGAGCTGGTGAAAGACGTGCTGAACGTCTTGATTGGGGTCGTGTCTGCCACGTTTTCGCTCTGCCAGGTGAGAACTGCTCACTCCCCGCCACAGTGGTGTGGGGCTGGCCTGCCCTCCACCACGCAGTGCCCAGCCCTTTATGGGGCAGAACAAGCCCCAGTGCAGGGAGTGGGGAGTGGCAGGGAAGGCCAGCTCCCAGGGCCACCAGTGATGACAGCCAGCATCATCCCATTTCGGTTCTAAAAAGTGTTAATTTATTAATGTCCTTTTAAAAAACTGCAGAGAAATAACATGTTTATTGCTGTCAGCAAAGCGATAGAAAATGTTCCTCCCCGCATTTCCATTTCCGTCCTGAAGTGCCAGGCGCCTTCCGAGCCTTCCCACCGCTCGGGAGGAGCATCTGCCTGCCGAGAGCGTCCCGAGACTGGGGCCTGCGCTGCTCTTCTCACTGGATGCGGTGTCATCCGGGATGGGGCCGGGCCTTACTGGTTCTGGCACCAGCTGCAGTTTAGCCAGCCCTCTTGCTGGGCACTGGAGAAGTGAATGGATATATTCAGAAAAATGAAGTCTTGCTCTGCAGCTTTTTCATTTAAGTGCTCATCCCCTTCCTTTGTCTTAAATGTTCTTTTATGGTGGCCATTCTTAGACTTCAGAATGGACTAGAAGCACAGCCAGTGACTGCCCCAGAAAAGTGCTCACCAGCAAGCTCCAGCTGCTGCCGGCGCTGAGGGCGCCTGTTCTCAACACCGTGCTCACAGCTCATCTTGTCTGTTGTGGGGATAGCCTTATTGTGTGGAACCAACCCTGACTCTCTTTTTTTTTTTTGAGACAGGGTCTCTCTCTTGCCCAGGCTGGAGTGCAGTGGCACCATCACAGCTCACAGTAGCCTCGACCTCCTGGGCTGAATCTCAATCCTCCCACCTTAGCCTCCATGTAGCTGGGACTACAGGCACGTGCCACCACACTCAGCTCATTTTTTTCTTTTCTTTTTCTTTTTCTTTTTCTTTTTTTTTTTTGAGACAGAGTCTCGCTCTGTTGCCCATTCTGGAGTGTAATGGCACGGTCTCGGCTCACTGCAAACTCTGCCTCCCGGGTTCAAGCAATTCTCCTGCCTCAGCCTCCCGAGTAGCTGGGATTACAGGTGCATGTCACTACGGCTGGCTAATTTTTGTATTTTTAGTAGAGACGGGGTTTCACCATGTTGCTCAGGCTGGTCTCTTGACTCCTGACCTGAGGTGATTTGCCCACCTCAGCCTCCCAAAGTGCTAGGATTACAGGCATGAGCCACCACGCCCGGCCCACCCAGCTAATTTTTAAAATGCCTGAAGAGATGGGGTCTTGCCGTGTTGCCCAGGCTGGTGTTGAACTCCTGGGCTCAAGTGATCTGCCTGCCTCAGCCTCCCAAAGTCCTGGGATTGCAAGTGTGAGCCGCCACGCCCGGCCCCTACTTTTCATTTCTGATTTTAGTAACTTGATTTTTTTCTCTTGTTTTCATAGTCATCTTTTCTTTTTTTTTTTTTTTGAGACGGAGTCTCGCTCTGTGGCCCAGGCTGGAGGGCAGTGGCGCGATCTCGGCTCACTCCAAGCTCCGCCTCCCGGGTTCACACCATTCTCCTGCCTCAGCCTCCCTGAGTAGCTGGGACTACAGGCACCCGCCACCGCGCCCGTCTAATTTTTTGTATTTTTAGTAGAGACGGGGTTTCACCATGTTAGCCAGGATGGTCTTGATCTCCTGACATTGTGATCCGCCCGTCTCGGCCTCCCAAAGTGCTGGGATTACAGGCGTGAGCCATCGTGCCTGGCCCTAGTCATCTTTTTTCTTAATTATTCTAGCTAAGACTTGTCAATTTTGTTGATCTTTTCAAAGAGCCAGCTTTTTGTTTGGTTCTCTCTATTGTTTTTCTATTTTGTATTTTTTTTTTCTTTTTGAGACGGATTCTCACTCTGTCGCCCAGGCTGGAGTGCAGTGGTGTGATCTCAGCTCACTGCAGCCTCCGCCTCCTGGGTTCAAGCGATTCTCCTGCCTCAGCCTCCCAAGTAGCTGGGACTACAGGCATGGACTACCACGCCTGGCTAATTTTTGTATTTTTAGTAGAGATGGGGTTTCACCATGTTGACCAGGCTGGTCTCAAACTCCTGACCTCAAGTGATTTCACCCACCTTGGCCTCCCAAAGTGTTGGTGTTACAGGTGTGAGCCACTGTGCTTGGCCTACTCTGTATTTATTTCTGCTCTAATTATTTTTTGTTTCCTTCTGCTAGTTTTGGGTTTAACTGCTTTTTTTTTTTTTTTTTTTTTTTTGAGATAGAGTCTCGCTCTGTTGCCCAGGCTGGAGTGCAATGGCGTGATCTCAGCTCACTGCAACCTCTTCCTCCTGGGTTTAAGCAATTCTCCTGCCTCAGCCTCCTGAGTAGCTGGGATTATAGGCGTGCACTACCTCGCCCAGCTAATTTTTGTTTTTATTAGAGATGGGTTTTCACCATGTTGGTGAGGCTGGTCTCAAACCCCTGACCTCAAGTGATCCGCTTGCTTCGGCCTCCCAAAGTGCTGGGATTACAGATGTGAGCCACTGCGTCCAGCCTGTTTTTCTTTTCTTTCTTTTTTTTTTTTTTTGGAGACAGGATCACCCAGGCTGGAGTGCAATGGCTCAAACATGACTCACTGCAGCCTCAACTTCCTAGGCTCAAATTGATCCTCCTGCCTCAGCCTCCCGAGTAGCTGGGACCAACAGGCATGCACCACCACGGCTGGCTAATTTTTAATTTTTTTTTTTTTTTGAGACGGAGTCTTGCTCTGTCTCCCAGGCTGGAGTGCAAAGGCGTGATCTCAGCTCACTGCAACCTCTGCCTCCCGTATTCAACAATTCTCCTGCCTCAGCCTCCTGCGTAGCTGGGACTACAGGTGCACGCCACCATGCCTGGCTAATTTTTGTATTTTTAGTAGAGACGGGGCTTTGCCATGTTGGCCAGGCTTGTCATGAACTCCTGACCTGAAGTGATCCACCTGCCTTGGCCTCCTGAAGTGCTGGGATTACAGGCGTGAGCCACCATGCCTGGCCTAACTTTTAAAATTTTTTTAGAGATGGGGGTCTTGCTATGTTGCCCAGGCTGGTCTCAGACTTCTGGGCTCAAGTGATCCTCCTGCCTCAGCCTCCCAAAGTTCTGGGATTATAGGTGTGAGCCACTGTGCTTGGCCTAACAGCTCTTTTTAAAATATCTCTTTAGGGTATACACGGTGCTGTTGTGGTTTGGTATCTTGTTCCTTTGTATTGCGGGATATTTTTTTTCCTTTCTAACGTGGGTATTTGCGGCTGTAACCTCCCTTCTGGCTTCTGCTACACCCCATTCGTTTTGGTTGTCATGAGCCCTCTATTGGGGGTCTCCACTCTCTGGTTATAAACATACTGTGGAGAATGTCCTGTGGCGAGTCTTTGTGCATCTTCCATCATTTCTCTAATTCATCCCGAAGAGTCAAATGAGCGGGTCTCACGGCCGTCATGTTTTATAGCTTCTGCCCCAGGAGGCTGTCTGTGTACTTGTGTCCTGTGGAAGGTGTTCTGTTTTTTTCTACCCTTTTCTACACTTGGCATTTTAAACATGTATTTTTCAGTGTGGTCAGTGAGGATTTGTGCCTCGGTTTGGTCCCTCGGTGTGGGAGTTCTGGGTATGCCTTCTGGGCATTTGCTTTTGGGTCCTGGAGGCACTCTAGGTGGCGTGGGGTTGGGTGCAAGGGTGGAGGGAGACGGCACCTTACTGGGGGTCTGGGTGCCTGGCCTCTGTGACCAGTGTCCTCTGCCCCTGTGCAGCCGGCCCAGGCCTTTGTGGTGAAGCGGGGCGTCCACGTGTCAGGAGCGTCTCCCGAGAGCATCAGCAGCCTGCTCTCGGAAGTGGCCGAGTATGGGACCTGCTACACGCGCCTGAGTCATTTCTCTCTGCAGCCCGTCCTGGACTCTTTGTACAGCAAGGGCCTCGTGTTCCAGGTATGGCCTTTGCCTCATGGTTGTCACACACCTTTGTGAGAACGGTGCACACGACCTGGAAGAGAGAATCTCAGAGGTCCTTCTGCAGGACCAGAGAGTCTAAACCTTTTCTTTCCTTGCTAACATCTGAAACCCGATAGTGGCTCTTGAGGGATGGGTCAGTGAGGATGTTTTACCTCACTAGAAACTTGGGGCAGATGTGTGTGGGCCCTGGGCTGTGTGGGCCCTGGGGTGTGTAGGAGGCAGGTGCAGCCAGCATAAGGGGTGCGCAGGGCAGGAAAGGCGTGAGTGGGGCTCTTGCTGCCTGCTCCCCAGTGGGCCCGGCACATTGTGGATGACTGACAGCGCAGGGCCCTCCTGTTGGGTGAATTTACATTGCTGGGAGTTCTGAGCCAAGTCTGGCTCCGGAAGCTGCTGTTTGGTGAGTCTTGAAGCTGGCTCATGTGCTGGGAAGAGGCCCATGGGACAGGGGCTGCACCTTGAGTGGGAGAGAATAGGCAGGTGGATGATGGGGCATTTGGGTTTGGGGGATTGAGAGGAGGGTGTTGGGGAAGGTGGGCAGAGAGCCCTGGAGGAGCCAGGCAGCGCAGCCTCCTTTGACTGTTGCTGCTGCAGCAGGGGCTGTCGGGTGGGGTGATGTGGTGAGGTGTAGGTTTTAGATGGGCTGTGGAGGTGGGCATGGTGGGAGCTGCACGGGGCGGGGAGAGCTTCTAGGCAGAGGCTCAGCCCCGGGGGACTTGAGAGCTAGAGATGGTGGAGAAGGGGTCAGAGCAGGGGACGCTGAGAAGGGCTGGACTGTGGTTCTTGTTCATCTGGCAGGCATAGCCAGGCGGCTCCTGGGGTGGGTGGACTGAGATTGGTCCAGGGTGCCCCTGTCTTAGTGTGACCTGCAGGGCCTGCTGCTGTGGCGTTGCCCAGGATGCTGGTGCCACTGAGACAGCTGTGGTCGGAGCAGCTGCAGCCCTCACAGCACTAGTGTCTGTGCACAGAGCACGGCCGCCATTTCCCCCCCAGCCCCTTTGCCATGCCCCTGGGGCAGCTGGGCTCAGATGAGAGGAAGGGTTGGTGGTGGGCGCCCCTGGGGCAGCTGGGCTCAGATGAGAGGAAGGGTTGGTGGTGGGCGCCCCTGGGGCAGCTGGGCTCAGATGAGAGGAAGGGTTGGTGGTGGGCCACAGCTTCTGGCTTCTTGTGGATGGGCCGCATTTCCACCTGGCCCGGTGGCGGGGTGTGGCTCACAGAGGCCCATTGCTTGGAAATGGAGCCCAGAGCTGAGGCAAGAAACAAAGCGCTGTTCCCAGCACTGGTGCCCCTCAGGCCCTGGGCACGGCTGCGTCCATGTGCCTGGCCGCCCTCCTCCCAGCCTCTTTGCCCACAGGCCTTCACCAGTGGCCTGAGGAGGTACCTGCAGTATTACCGGGCCTGCGTCCTTTCCACTCCGCCCACCCTGAGCCTCCTCACCATTGGTTTTCTCTTCAAGAAACTTGGCCGGCAGCTCAGGTGAGCCTCAGCATGGCGGCTGAGCAGGGGACTTTGCGGGAGCGGTGTGGGGCTTGCTGGGTGGTGGAGGGTTTGCCCTGCTCCCTGGCAAGGAGGGCCTGTGAGAACAGCCCTCAGCAGGCGACCGGATGGCCCTTGGCCGGCCGAGTTCACCAGGTGCCCGGTGCTGAGCGGGTGTGTCTGCCGTGGGCCCACCACAGCTGGCCCCATCCAGGCCCTCCAGGTCCGGTGGCTCCTGCCTAATTGGCACACAGGGTCCCTGGAGATGTGGCGTCCGGTACACACAAGCTGGTTAGTGAGCAACCAGGCTCGGGGGCTATTGGCAGGTGCCATCAGAGAAGGAAGAGTGAGGAGCTGGGCATTGGGAGCAGTGGGAGAGGCGACCTTCCAGGCTGAGGAGCAGAGTGTGGCAGCGCTGAGGAGACCCAAGGGCTGAGACACTGTGGGGCAGGGGAGCTGGGCTGTGAAGGGTGCGAGTTGTGGCAGATGCTTGGTACCACTGTGTGGATGGGAGGGGCTCTCAGGTGCAGCCCCCAGAAGTGGGAGGATCAGGGTGATTCGTGTGTTGGCCAGATCCTGGGAGGGAGGGCCTGCTGGGTGTGGGTACTTCAGTGGGGTGTGTGTGGACAGCGCAGGGGCACAGGGCTGCACACGAGTCCTGCAGGGAGCCCGTTTCTGGGTGGTTGGGGTGCCTGTGGTTTTTAAAGCCTGCATCTAAAGTTAGTTGCCCCAGGGAGCATAAAGATACGTGGAGACTTTGCTCACGATCTGATCCAGGCCTGGGAACCCTGAGCCCGGTCACCTGGTCTCATCCTGCCTCTGGGTCTAGGTACCTGGCCGAGCTCTGTGGCGTTGGCGCTGTGCTCCCGGGCACCTGTGGAGGAGGCCCCAGGGCCGCGTTTCCCACCGTGAGTTGTGCGTCCCTGCCGAGTGTGTCAGCCTGGTGGGCTCCAGGAAACGGGGGTGGCTGAGCGTGTCCCTGGAGGGCTGCTGCCGGCAGGGCTGCGCCTCACTCCCAGCGCTGGGTGCGCTGAGCTGCCCCCCACCCCCTTTGCGGTCTGCAGGGCGTGAAGCTGCTGTCCTACCTCTACCAGGAGGCTCTGCACAACTGCAGCAACGAGCACTACCCTGTACTGCTGTCCCTGCTGAAGACCAGCTGCGAGCCCTACACCCGGTGGGCAGTGGGCTGGGCAGGCGCGGCGGGCGCGCACTCCCACCAGGCAGACACTTGAGAGCGGTCCCTTGTCAGACACCTGCTGAATGTGGGGGTCACACAGGAAGGGGAGGGCAGGATAGGTGGACTGGGCAGGAGCCCCCAACCCCCCACCCTGCCCCCACTCCACACCCCCCACCCTGCCCCCACTCCATCCCGCCCCTCATGGATGGCCACACCCCACTCCACCTCTCACAGCTACGCCCCCACTTGCCCCTCACTGACAGCCACGCCCCTGTCCCACCCCTCACTGACAGCCACGCCCCACCCACCTCTCCGTTGACCACATCTACCCCTGCTTTTCCCCCACTGCAGGTTCATCCACGACTGGGTGTACAGCGGGGTGTTCAGAGACGCTTATGGCGAGTTCATGATTCAGGTGAACCACGAGTACCTCAGCTTCCGAGGTAGGTGGCAGCTGATTGCGGGGCAGGGGTCCGTGCCTGTGGGCCTGGGTTCAGGGCCATGGCCATGCCGGCCACCGTGGTGTTCACCCTACCTTAGATAAGTTGTACTGGACACATGGCTACGTGCTCATCTCCAAAGAGGTGGAGGACTGTGTTCCCGTGTTTCTGAAGCACATTGCCCACGACATATACGTCTGCGGAAAGACCATTAACCTGCTGAAGCTCTGCTGCCCCCGGGTGAGGAGGGGCTCATGTGTGGGGAAGAGAGGGGCCGGTCTTCCCTGGGGCTGAGTATGAGGCTGGGGCTGAGTGCTGGTGGCTGTGCTTGCATCCCCTTTGGCAGCATTACCTCTGTTGGTCCGACGTCCCTGTCCCCCGGATCTCGGTGATTTTCTCCCTTGAGGAGTTGAAGGAGATTGAGAAGGACTGTGCCGTCTACGTTGGGCGCATGGAGAGGGTGGCCCGCCACAGCTCTGTCAGCAAGGAGGAGAAGGTGCGTGGCACCACAGGTCTCGGGGGCTTTCTTCGCCCCTGCCTCTGCTTCCTGGGGTCTCAGGTTGGTGGGGCGGACATGAGGGCTGTGCAAGATGGGGGCCTCCCTTCTGGCATTTTCTGTCCTGGCGGTGGCCTGGGTGGGTGCCAAGGGGGAGTTGAGATGAAGGGTGGGTGTCAACGGGGAGTTGAGATGAAGGGTGGGTGCCAAGGGGGAGCTGAGATGAATGTCCGGAGCCAGATGCCAGGCAGGGGCTCTGACTTCTCCTCCTGGGTCTGGGTGGCTCAGCCTGAAGCCCAGGCTTTGCTGGCGTGGGAAACTCCGTTGGGGCCTCCCCGGGCCCGCCAGCTGTGGACAGACAGTCCTGGCTGCACTCCAGATGGCCTTCGCCCTTTGCAAGCCCCCTTCCTGCTGGGAAGGGACAGTGTGTCAGGGACGGGCCACGCCTCTCCTGTGTCTTCTGGGAGGGGCTCGGTGGTACAATCAGTGCCATTCCCAGGAACACCCTTTCTGGCCTGGTGCCTGGTGGGCAGCAGGGATACTTGGGCAGGGGCAGGCCTAAGAGGCTGAGCGGGGAAGCCCCCTCTTGAGGCCTCTTGGTTTCCTTCCAGGGTGGGCACACACAGCCTTGGGGTCCTCAGCCCCAGATGTCTCTGTGAGAGCCGGTCAGCTCCCGTCCATGGCCTGGAACCAGCCTTGCCACTGCTGAGAGCCTGGGGGTGGGGGAGGGTGGGCGGGGGGGCGGTGTCCTGCCATCACCTGGTCCCTCCTCGAACCCTTGGACCATGTGTCTCCCCTGCCGGCCCTGAGTCCACAGGTGTCCTGGGCATCCTAGGTGAGGGGTCAGAGGATTAGGTTGCTTTTTTTTTCTTTGAGACAGGGTCTCACTGTGTCAGCCAGGAGGCTGGAGTGCAGCGGCTCGAACATGGCTCACTGCAGCCTCCACCTCCCAGGCTCAAGGGATCCTCCTGCCTAAGCTCCCCTGACCCCCGCCAAATAGTTGATACTACAGGCACCTGCCACTACACCTGGCTAATTTTTGTATTTTTAGTAGGGATGGGTTTTTGCTATGTTGTCCAGGCTGGTCTTGAACTCTTAAGCTCATGTGATCTACCCACCTCGGCCTCCCAAAGTGCCAGGATTACAGGCGTGAGCCACTGCGCCCGGCCAGGATGCTTTGATTACCAGTTGTCTTTCTCAGGAATTACGTATGGAAATTGCAAAACAAGAATTAATCGCTCATGCCCGGGAAGCAGCATCCAGGGTCCTGAGTGCACTGAGTGGTGAGTGGCCCCAAGTCCTCCCTTCTGCAGTTCCGGGGGGCCTTGCTGGGGCCTCCTTGTGACAGTGCGCCCCTTACTGTCCCAATGTAGACCGGCAGATGTCAGAACGGATGGCCTTGGATGCCCGGAAGCGTGAGCAGTTTCAGAGGCTGAAAGAACAATTTGTGAAGGACCAGGAGGTGGGTAGGACCTGTCCCTGCGGGGTCACGCCTGTCAGTTCTGATTTCACAGGCCAGGCTCTATGTGTTTTATAGCGACGCCAGGCGGCCAGGCAGGAGGAGCTGGATGATGACTTCAGCTACGCCCGTGAACTCCGAGACAGGGAGAGAAGGCTGAAGTCCCTGGAGGAGGAGCTGGAGAGGAAGGCGAGGTAGGGCAGCCCGGGCTCCAGGCCCAGGGGTGCAGTGCGGCAGGGGCCCCATAGCTCTGGCTTAATCTTACTGATGATTTTACTTTTTGTTTTGAAAACCTTCAAACATACATTAAGGTAGAAAGACCAATATGCTGAACCCAGAGTGGCTGTGGGCGTTCTGCCTTATCCAGGCATCCTTAGCTGTTCTGCGCGTTGTCTTGTGGTGGTTTGTATGGATTAGGGTCCAGGCGAGGCCTGCGTACTGTTTGGGGTCCTGTCTCTTTATTTATCTTCTTTCTGAACATCCTTCCTTATTTATTTTTAAGTCTGTTATTGGTCTGACAGAGACAGGGCGTTTTTTTTTTTTTTTTTTTTTTTGGAAACAGAGTCTTGCTCTGTCACCCAGGCTGGAGTGCAGTGGCACAATCTCGGCTCACTGTAACCTCCGCCTCCCAGGTTCAAGCAATTCTCCTGCCTCAGCCTCCTGAGTAGCTGGGGTTACAGGCATCCGCCACCACATCCAGCTAGTTTTTTGTATTTTTAGTACAGACGGGGTTTAACCATGTTGGCCAGGCTGGTCTCAAACTCCTGACCTCAGGTGATCCACCTGCCTCGGCCTCCCAAAGTGCTGGGATTACAGGCGCGAGCCACCGCGCTCGGCTGAGACAGGGCATTTGTCCAGCACAGCATCTGCGTCTGTCTCCCTGTGCTGTTATCAACCTGTCCTGTGCTGTCATCAGGCTGTCCCAGGCTGAGTAGTGCTGGATCCTTCAAGGGGCTGTTTGGGGTTTTGGAGAGAGCCCCTCACGGGAGGGGCTGGCCGCTTCCTGCTCAGCCCCACGCGATGCTGTAGGTCCCAACCTTAGATCTCTTTATGGAGCGAGTGAGGGATGTGTGTGGAGGGGTGCGCGTGCCTGTGTGCACGTGTGTCCGTGTATGCATTTATGCATGAGTACGTGTTCATGCATGTATGTCAGTCGATACTGTCCTGTTAACACATGGAGAAAACCAGGCCTAGACACTACGTCTCTGGCCTGTGGCAGCCAAATTAGAGCTGGCCAGTCCAGGTTTGAGCCCAGTTGCCTGCTGGTGAGAAGCTCAAAATCATGGGGCACGATCGGTGAAGCAGGCTTTGAATTCAGCAAATAAAGCGTTTGTGTTGGTTTTGCTTCATGTGCTTTTTTGCATTAGTTTTCAGTTCTCAGGTTTGTACCTGTAGAAGGGGAAGAGGCCTAACTTCTTAGAGGCCTGGGGCCCTCGGCCTCCTGCTCACCCCTTGCTTCAGGCCACACAGGATCTCATTCTGGTATTTGTCCAGCAGATGTTGCTGAGCCCTGGCTGGACGCTGACTCACCAGGGTCTCCCAGCCTGGCAGGTAGAAGGGCCTGCCTGGTGCTGCCCTGTAGGTGCTGTGAGGGCCCAGAGCTATCAGCCCCTGGTAGGGGGAGACGGGGGCGGGGGCCCACTGGGGCCTCTGTTATGGAGAACCATCCTGGCCTGAGGGGTGCCAGGTAGATGGGGTGGGGTGACTCTTGTGGCCGTGTCCTCTCTGGTGTGTGGCTTCAGGCAGGCACTGGTCGACCACTACAGCAAGCTCTCTGCAGAGGCAGCTCGTCGGGAGCAGAAGGCACTGTGGAGAATCCAGAGGCACCGACTGGAGAGTGCACGGCTTCGTTTTCTCTTAGAAGATGAGAAACACATTCAGGTATGTCTGCGGCTTCAGATGGCAGCTCTTCCCCTGGGCTTTGGGGGTCTGGAAACCCCCTGAGACTGCACACAAACCTACATGCTCTTCTAGGAGAGGGCTGGTGGCTTTCGCGTTTGCGGCAGAGCACTCTCTCTCCCCGTGTGCCACCAAATTGCACAGATACAGGTGGTGAGGAGCTCGTGGTTTTGGAGTACTTTTTGCAGGCCCAGCGTCCCACTGGAGCCCAGCACAAGCCTTGTCTGGTTCAGTGCACATGGCTGCCATGGGCGGTAGGGGCTGTGGCTTTGTGTGGGGTAGGGCTGTGCTTGACTCCGGCTTGGCCAGTCACCCCTCTGGCTTGAATTTCAGGAGATGCTGAAAGCAGTGTCTGAGGCTCACCAGCCCCAGGAGCCGCCAGACGTCCTCTTGAGCGTGCACCCCCAGGTAAGCGGCAGAGTGGAACCCAGGGTGCCCTATGGTTTTCCCATAGCCCTCGGCACCTGGTGTTGGTCATGGCTGCAGAGCTGAACTTGGGGGACAGTTCGAGGGCTGGGGGGTCCTGAGACCAGACTGGGTCTGATGTCACCTGTGTTTCAGGTCACGTCTCCGGGCCCTGAGCACCCAGAGGGAGGCCAAGGCTGTGATTCTGGGTCTGCAGAGCAACACTCGCCTGCCTGGGATGGCTGGAACAGGCCAGGCCTGCTGACCCCACAGCCCCTTAAGCCTCTAGCAGTGGGGGCTGGTGGCAGGGGGCTGCAGCAGGCGGAGGGGGCCAGACCCTTCTCTGACAGCCTCAGCATTGGAGACTTCCTACCTGTGGGCCCAGGGGCTGAGCCGTCCGTGCAGACTGGCATGGTCCCTCTCCTGGAGGTGGCGCTGCAGACCATTAACTTGGACCTGCCCCCCTCAGCTCCTGGGGAGGCACCCGCAGCAGCCAGCACTCAGCCCTCCAGGCCACAGGAGTACGACTTTAGTACTGTCCTGAGGCCAGCTGTGGCCACCTCACCTGCACCAGGGCCCCTGCAGGCTGCAGAGTGCAGCTTGGGCAGCTCAGGGCTACAGCTGTGGGAGGACAGTTGTGGGAAGATGGATGCCTGTGGCTCCGCCTCGCGGGAGACTCTGCTCCCCTCACACCCACCCAGGCGTGCTGCTCTGGAGGAGGGGAGCAGCCAGCCCACAGAGCGGCTCTTTGGGCAGGTGTCAGGGGGTGGTCTTCCCACAGGGGACTACGCTTCTGAAATAGCTCCCACCCGGCCACGGTGGAACACCCACGGGCACGTGTCTGACGCCAGCATCAGGGTCGGGGAGAATGTGTCAGATGTGGCTCCCACCCAGCCACGGTGGAACACCCACGGACACGTATCCAATGCCAGCATCAGCTTAGGGGAGTCTGTGTCAGATGTGGCTCCCACTCGGCCACGGTGGAACATCCATGGACATGTGTCCAACGCCAGCATCAGGGTCGGGGAGAATGTGTCAGATGTGGCTCCCACCAGGCCACGGTGGAATACCCACGGGCACGTGTCCAACGCCAGCATCAGGGTTGGGGAGAACGTGTCGGACGTGGCTCCCACCCGGCCACGGTGGAACACCCATGGACACGTGTCCGATGCCAGCATCAGCTTGGGGGAGTCTGTGTCAGACATGGCTCCCGCCCGGCCACGGTGGAACACCCATGGACACGTGTCTGATGCCAGCATCAGCTTGGGGGAGTCTGTGTCAGACATGGCTCCCACCCGGCCACGGTGGAACACCCACGGACATGTGTCTGACACCAGCATCAGGGTTGGGGAGAACGTATCGGACGTGGCTCCCATCCGGTCACGGTGCAACACCCATGGACACGTGTCCGACGCCAGCATCAGCTTGGGGGAGCCTGTGTCGGATGTGGTTTCCACCCGGCCACGGTGGAACACCCATGTACCCATCCCTCCGCCCCACATGGTGCTGGGGGCTCTCTCACCAGAAGCTGAGCCCAACACACCCAGGCCCCAACAGAGCCCCCCTGGCCACACGTCCCAGTCAGCGCTCAGCCTGGGAGCACAGAGCACTGTGCTGGACTGTGGGCCACGGCTGCCTGTAGAAGTGGGGCCATCTCTGTCCTCCCCCAGCTCGGGCTGCGGGGAGGGGAGCATCAGCGTGGGGGAGAACGTGTCAGACGTGGCTCCCACCCAACCATGGTGGCCCAACACCCCGGGAGACAGTGTCTCTGAAGAACTAGGTCAGAGTAGGGTGGCTGGTGGTCAGGAGTGGGACTGTGGGACGCACAGAGCCTGGGAGGTAGGCGGGCAGTGGGGTTGGTGGCATGTGAAGTTCCCCTCAGGCCTCCTTGTCAGCCAGGACCTGGGCTGCTGTGGGGGACATGGGAGGGGCTGCTTGAGCCAGGGCCGGCTCGGCTCTGTACCCGCCACAGGCACTCGGCCCTGATGCCCTCGTGTCCACTTGTGTCCACACAGGCCCTGGGAGGAGCGGGGACACTGAGGACCTCTCTCCAAATTGGCCTCTCAACTCACAGGTTAGGTGGATGCAGCCTGGGGGTCCCACAGCAGGCAGGGAGGGCTCTGTCCCTCTAGGTTGTCACGCGGGTGGGTCCCACATGCGATTTTCCTTTTTTTGGCACAAGCTGGTTGTGGGGACAGCGTGCAGTGGGGAGGTGGTTCTGAGGCTGGTGTTTTGTTAGGAAGACACAGCTGCCCAGAGCAGCCCAGGCCGTGGTGAGGAGGCGGAGGCATCGGCGGCGGAGGCTCAGGGTGGGGAGCAGGCCTACCTGGCAGGCCTGGCAGGGCAGTACCACTTGGAGCGGTACCCGGACAGTTACGAGTCCATGTGTGAGTGCAGCAGTTGCTGTTGGCAGGGAGCCCTGGGCTGGCTGGTTCCCAGCACGTGCTCCACCTCCTGTGGGTTGGGGCGGAGCCCTGGGCTAGCCAGTTCCCAGCACGTGCTCCATCTCCTGTGGATGGGGGCGGAGCCCTGGGCTGGCCGGTTCCCAGCACGTGCGTGCTCCATCTCCCGCAGCCGAGCCGCCCATTGCTCATCTTTTGCGCCCCGTGCTTCCCCGGGCCTTCGCCTTCCCCGTGGACCCCCAGGTCCAGTCTGCCGCTGATGAGACTGCTGTGCAGCTGAGCGAGTTGCTGACGCTGCCCGTGCTCATGAAGCGCTCCATCACGGCACCGCTGGCCGCCCAGTGAGTGCCCCTGCCCCTGCGCCAGTCTGCCCACCCAGCCCGTCCTGGCCCGCCCTGACTCCAGCTCCCTCCTGCCAGCATCTCCTTGGTGAACAAGGCCGCTGTCGACTACTTCTTCGTGGAGCTGCACCTGGAGGCGCACTATGAGGCACTGCGGCACTTCCTGCTGATGGAGGACGGCGAGTTCGCCCAGTCCCTCAGCGACCTGCTCTTTGAGAAGGTGGCCTCCGGACACGGGGTGGGGCCAGTGGTAGAGGGGAGGCCGTGGGAAAAGAGAGACTGGCTGCACGCCCACAGCCCCCTGCTGCTCTGGCACAGCCCCATGGGGTGCCGGCGAGTGCCAGGCATGTGCTTGGGACTCCTGGGGACGGTGGTCCCTTTTCTGCCTAGCTTGGAGCTGGGCAAACGCCCGGAGAGCTGCTCAACCCGCTGGTGCTGAACTCTGTGCTGAGCAAGGCCCTGCAGTGCAGCCTGCATGGGGACACCCCGCACGCCTCCAACCTCTCCCTCGCTCTCAAGTACCTGCCCGAGGTGTTTGCCCCCAACGCCCCGGATGTGCTGAGCTGCCTGGAGCTCAGGTACAAGGTCAGCAGCAGCCCTGGCCGCGGGGGATGGGACAGGGGCCTGCCTGCCTGTGGGATGCCTGCTGAGCCACGCCTCCTGGCAGGTGGACTGGCCTCTCAACATTGTCATCACCGAGGGCTGCGTGAGCAAGTACAGCGGCGTCTTCTCCTTCCTGCTGCAGCTGAAGCTCATGATGTGGGCGCTCAAGGACGTCTGCTTCCACCTCAAGCGCACAGGTGAGGCCCCGCTGGAGCCCGGCGCCCCGCACCCCTGGCTGGAGGCTGCGCTCACCTCTGCCCTCTGCCTTCTGCCCTCCGCCAGCCCTGCTGAGC
Organism: Homo sapiens; assembly: GCF_000001405.40. NCBI lineage: Eukaryota > Metazoa > Chordata > Mammalia > Primates > Hominidae > Homo > Homo sapiens. The sequence continues at coordinate 50,218,391 of NC_000022.11, read as the reverse complement.
CACATGGCCGGCTCTGTGCAGTTCCGTCAGCTGCAGCTGTTCAAGCACGAGATGCAGCATTTCGTGAAGGTCATCCAGGGCTACATCGCCAACCAGATCCTGCACGTCACCTGGTGCGAGTTCAGGGCCAGGTTGGCCACCGTGGGCGACCTGGAGGAGATCCAGCGTGCGCACGCAGAGTACCTGCACAAGGCCGTCTTCAGGTGAGGCCTGGGCAGCGGCTGCGTCCCTGTGGTCACGGCTCAGCCCACCCAGCAGCACTGCTTCCCCCCAGGGGCCTGCTCACGGAGAAGGCGGCGCCCGTCATGAACGTCATCCACAGCATCTTCAGCCTCGTGCTCAAGTTCCGCAGCCAGCTCATCTCCCAGGCCTGGGGGCCCCCTGGGGGCCCGCGGGGTGCAGAGCACCCCAACTTTGCACTCATGCAGCAGTCCTACAACACCTTCAAGTACTACTCCCACTTTCTCTTCAAAGGTGAGGCCCACCCTGGCTGGGAGGGCTGCGGGGGGGCCAGGGCGGGGCTCACACTGTGGGCAAAAGCCTGAGCTGCTCGCTGGTCCCCAGTGGTGACCAAGCTGGTGAACCGCGGCTACCAGCCCCACCTGGAGGACTTTCTGCTGCGCATCAACTTCAACAACTACTACCAGGACGCCTGAGGCTGCTCTGCGGGGGACGTGCACAATAAAGGTGTTCTCGGACCCTGTCTGCAGCTCTCTCTCCTGGGTGGGGGCTGAGGACAGGGCAGGGTGGGGGAACAATGACCACAGAGACAGACTCGAGGGAGTTGCTGGTTTATTTAGGAGCCTGGGTCCAGCCCCCAGGGACCAGGCTGCACTGCTGAGCCGGCCTCAGACAGAGACGGGTCAGGTCCTGACTGGATGTCTCTGCCATCATGGAAAGACGGGTGTGCATGGGCCAGGGCAGAATCCCCCAGTGTATAGGGCAGCCTGGCATCATCTTGGCCACTCAGCAGCACATGGGGGCCTCGGGAGACTCCAGGGGTGTGGAGCGTGCCGAGGCCGTTACGAAGATCATGTCACGCACAGTTCTGCTGCCCAGAGCGGGGGCTTACTGCTGTAGGAGCGCTGCCTGCCGTCCGCCCCGTCGGCTTCCGTGGCCTCGGCGTCTGTGGCGGCCCCCGCCTCGCAGTGGTAAGGGGTCTCCAGTAGTTTCAGCACCCGCCGCACCTGGAGGATCAGGAGGGTGAGAGGGGTCTGGGGCCGACCCCCCTCCCAGGGACCACAGGGACAGGCGTGTGCTTGCCTCTGAGAAGTCCCCGCGCTCGGCAGCCTCGATGGCATTCTGCGCGATGTAGTTCCTCAGCACGTACTTCGGGTTGTTGGCGTGCATCACGCGCACGTGCTCAGCCTGCCAGGCGGCAGCGTCCCCAGCGCCTTCCAGGTCCTTGTCCAGCCGGGCTCTGGAATGACATCCGGGCTCTGGAGTCACAGCCGGGCTGGACTTTTTCCAGCACGCGACCCGCCGTCCCCCGGTGACCATGGACGCAGGGCTCACCTGTACGCCTGTAGCCAGTCAGCCCAGTGGCCCTGGTTCCTGCTCTGCAGCTCTGCCGCACTCAGCTGCTCCAGCCGAGACTGCTGCTCCACACGCTCCAGCTCCCTGGCGATGCCTGCCCGGGTGCCCATAAGCGCGAACAGCTGCGGGTTTGACTGCGCCAGCATCAGCATCATGGATAGCTGCCTGTGGAGAGGCCAGGGTGTCTGGGAGGTAGCCCCTGACCGTGTCCCTGCCCTGCAGGCAGCTGCTCCGCCTGCCCCAGCCCGCTCTCACGGCTCACCTAGAGTCCAAGGGCCCAAGCAGCCCGGTCCCCGAGGTCCCTGGAACCCCACTGGCAGGGATGGACCCCAGTGGGCACACACCAGGCATGCCCATGCTCGGCCAAGGCCCTTTGTGGGCCGAGGGGCAGGACCACTCTGCTGCCCAGCTTTCTGCTGGAGAGTCTCCACCTCCCGAGTTTAATGCTTGTGGGATGGGCACTGCTGTTAGCACTTCCCTCATTTCCAGAAGGGTCCAGGTGGGCAGGGGCCACGCCTTCTCCAGTGGAGGGGGTTTATGCTCAGCAGGGCCTGCTGGCCGGTGCTCCCAGCCAACCCCACTGGTCTTGTTTTTTAAGTTAAAGCAACAATATTTTCCACGTCTCATCCTGCACGTGGGCGGGACTCTTCAGACAGGGCAGCCCTTCCCTTTGGAAGATGGTGTGGGAAAGCTTGACCTCTGGGAGCCCATTCTCCCTAGAAACCCAGAGGCTTTCTCTGAAGCCCACCCACAGCAGAGACCACTGTCTGCCCCCACACCTGTGTCAGCCTCGCCACTCTCTACTCTGTGACCAACCGGCCCCAGCATCGCAGAGATGCCCTGAAGCCCTGACTGAATCTGTCCCTGGGAGCGGAGCAGCCACCTGGGCCCCAGCCAGCTCTGTCTCTAGCTTCTCCCCCAGCCTCTGTTTCTGATTATGCTTCCTTTTCTGGAAACAAATCCAAAGAAGTAGGAACTGAGTACCCACCGGGGATCCATCTGGGGCCGGAAGGCCAGCCTCAGCTCCTCCAGGGAGGCACACTGCTCCATCAGCCTGGCCAGGAATTCCGCCAGGCCTGGCGACTCTAGCTCCACTGGGAAGGAGCTCAGCAAGTAGAAGGTGTTTGTGAAGTCGGCACCTGGAACACAGGCTGCTCAGGGAGCTGGAAGCAGAAGGCCCAGGGTCCCTGTCCTGGTGCCACACAGACCCCCCCCCCCCCACCCCCCTGGCACAGGTGCTGCATGGACCCACCCACATGCTCCACCACCGCCCCCCACCGCCAGCACGGATCCACACGCTCCCTGACCCACACCCTCCACCTGGCACAGTGCCATACAGACCCACACCCTCCCCCAGCACAGGTGCCACACGGACCCACACCTGGCACGCATGCCACAGAGACCCACACGGACCCAAATGCTGCCCCCAGCACAGGTGCCACACAAGCCCCGCTCAGCATTGGTCCTGGGACTCCTGAGCCCTCCACACCCCACTCCTCAGCCTCCACCCATCCACCGCCCAGGCAGCTGCCATTTGCTCACCCTCCAAGTCACCTGTGAAGTGGCCTAATACTGAGAAGGCAGAGGCTGCTGCCCGGCCCTCACATCCTCACAGTCACAACTGCCTGCTTTGGGAGCTAGCGAGTGTTGAGAAGCTGCTGTAACCCGCCTGCAAAAGGCCCAACTTGTGACAGACACTGCGATCCTCCCCCTGACTCTGGAAAACACTGTCTGAAACCACAGTGACCCTAAGACTGTCTTAAAAACAAAATGAGAAGGGAGTCAAAGCAACGTACTGCAAAAAAGTCGACTACACACAAAGGTAGCAAGGGAGAACGTGAGCGACCAGAAACATGGCAGAAGCTCCCCCTCAGTAACTGCTTTGAAAGCGAATGGACTGATCGCTCCAACAAAAGGCAGATTGGCAAAGTGGGTGAAAAGACGATTTCCATGTTGTCACCACACGATCTGCAAGACGTTCAAAGACACGAACAGGCTGGAAGTGAAAGGATGAAGAAACCCAGGCAAAGAGTAACCTAAAGAGAGCTGAGGCGACTCTTAAACTCACAGCAGATAAGTTTTCTATTTTTTGAGACGGAGTCTTGCTCTGTTGCCGGGGCTGGAGTGCAGTGGCGCAATCTCGGCTCACTGCAACCTCCGCCTCCTGGGTTCCAGCAATTCTCCTACCTCAGCCTCCCGAGTAGCTGGGATTACAGGCATCCGCCACCATGCCTGGCTAATTTTTGTTTTTTGAGATGGAGTCTTGCTCTTGTTGCCTAGGCTGGAGTGCAGTGGCGTGATCTCAGCTCACTGCAACCTCCGCCTCTCCTGCCTCAGTCTCCTGAGTAGCTGAGATTACAGGCACCCACCACCATGCCTGGCTAATCTTTGTATTTTTAGTAGAGATGGAGTTTCACCATGTTGGCCAAACTGGTCTCGAACTCTTGACCTCAGGTGATCTGCCTGCCTCGGCCTCCCAAAGTGTTGGGATTACAGGCATGAGCCACCATGCCCGGCCAGAGAAGATTTTAAATAAAAAATTGTCAGAAGGGCCGGGAAAGGTGCTCACCCCTGTAATCCCAGCTACTTGGTAGGCTGAGGCAGGAGGATAACTAGAGCACAAGAAGTGGAGGCTGCAGTGAGCCGCAGCTGTGCCACTGCACTCCAGCCTGGGCAACAAAGTGAGACACATCCACCCTCAACAAAAAGTCGTTACAAGAGACAGCATTATATATGGATAAAAGAGTCAATTCATCAATAAAAATGTAAAAATTATAAACATGCACCCAATAAGAAAGCCCAAAAATGTAAACGTTGGCAGAATGGAAGGGACAGACAACAAACAGTTCTATCTATAGTAAGAGTTGGAGACTTAAACACACCACTTAATAATGGATAGACCATCTAGGGTTGGGAGCGGTGGCTCATGCCTGTAATCCCAGCACTTTGGGAGGCCGAGGCAGGTGGATCACGAGGTCAGGCGATCAAGACCATCCTGGCTAACACGGTGAAACCCCGTCTCTACTAAAAATACAAAAAAATTACCCGGGCGTGGTGGCAGGCGCCTGTAGTCCCAGCTACTCGGGAGGCTGAGGCAGGAAAATGCCGTGAACCTGGGAGGTGGAGCTTGCAGTGAGCTGAGATCGCGCCACTGCACTCCAGCCTGGGTGACAGAGCAAGACTCCGTCTCAAAAAACAAAAAAACCATCCAGACAGAAGATCAATGAGAAATGGAAGACCTGAACAACAGCCTAAACCAACAAGACCAAACAGGCACATACACGGAACCCTCCACCCAGCAGAAGAGAGCACACCGTCTTCTCCAGGGCACACGGGTACAGGACGCTCTGCCCAGCAAAAGAGAGCACACCGTCTTCTCCAGGGCACACAGAAAGTTCTCCAAGATAAGCCACAAAACAAGTTGTAATAAACCTCAAAAGGCTGACATCTCTAGTCACAATGGAATGAAGCTAGAAATCACTTAAAAACACAACACACTGGCTGGGCGCGGCGGCTCATCCCCAGAATCCCAGCACTTTGGGAGGCTGAGGCAGATCACTTGCGATCAGGTGTTGGAGACCAGCCTGGCCAACATGGTGAAGCCCCATCTCTCCTAACAGTACAAAAATTAGCTAGGTGTGGTGGAGCATGCCAGTAGTCCCAGCTACTTGGGAGTCTGAAGGAGGAGAACCACTTGAGCCTGGGAGGCGGAGGTTGCAGTGAGCCAAGATCATGCCACTGCACTCCAGCTTGGGCGACAGAGTAAGACTCCGTCTAAAAACCAAAAAAACCCACAACATACCAAAATTGATGGACACAGCAAAAGCAGTGACCAGAAAGACATGCACAGTGTAAATGGCTACACTGAAGAAGATCTCCAATCAGTTACCTCAACTCACGCCTAAGGAACTGGAGAAAGAAGAGCCAAGATTAGAGGGAGACAATAGACTGAAGAAACAGGCACACGCTGCGTAACTCCACTTACACGAAGATTAGAGGGAGACAATAGACTGAAGAAACAGGCACACGCTGCGTAACTCCACTTAAACGAAGATTAGAGGGAGACAACAGACTGAAGAAACAGGCGCACGCTGCGTAACTCCACTTACACGAAGATTAGAGGGAGACAACAGACTGAAGAAACAGGCACACGCTGTGTAACTCCACTTACATGAAGGGTTTAGAGCAGTCAGGTTCACAGACTCGGAGCGGAGTGGTTGCTACCAGGGGCTGCAGGGAGGGGAATGGGGAGCTGGTAACCGGCTCACACAGGGTTTGGGTGGCGGATGTGAACAAGCTCCAGGGCTCGGCTGTACAGCACTGCTCCTGCGTCAGCTGTGATGTGCGGTGCCCTCCACAATTTAAGAGGATAGATCCATGTTGTGTTCCTACCACAATGAAATTGTAAAAAACTGCTACGAACAATTATATGCCAAAATTACCTACAAGACATGGACAAACTACCTGACACAGAAAATTCCTGGAAACATAAATTACCAAAACTGACTCAAGAAGAAAAGAAAATCTAAATTGAGGTAAGGCAAGCAAGGAGACTGATCAGTAATCAAAATTTTTCCAACAAAGAAAAGCCCAGGACCAGATGGCTTCACTGGTGATTTCTACCAAATACTCTTACGAACAAATGGCAATCCTTCTCAAACTTTGAAGGAAAAAAATGGAAGATGTGCGCATACCTCCTAACTCACTCTGAGGCCAGCACCACCTTGACATCAAAGCCAAACAGACACTAAAGAAAAAGCAGAACTCTAAGCTAGTATCCCTTACGCATACAGATGCAAAAATCCTCAAAATACTCGCAACATTCAGCATATTAAAATAATTATACAGCATATGGCTGGGTGCGGTGGCTCACGCCTATAATCCCAGTACTTTGGGCGGCTGAGGTGGGCAGATCACCTGAGGTCGGGAGTTCAAGACCAGCCTGACCAACACGGCGAAACCCTGTCTCTACTAAAAATACAAAATTAGCCGGGTGTGGTGGCGGGTGCCTGTAATCCCAGCTACTTGAGAGACTGAGGCAGGAGAATCACTTGAACCCAGGAGGTGGAGGTTGCAGTGAGCCAAGATCGTGCCACTGCACTCCAGCCTGGGCAACAAGAGTGAAACTCCGTCTCAAAAAATATTAAAAATAATAATCATATAGCATATTAAAAGGACCAAGTAAAATTTATCCCCAGAATGCAAGGAGATATGAATGAAATAATAAAACCACATGACCATCTTCATTGCAGGAAAAAGCATTTGATAAAATGCAATAGCTTTTCATGGTAAAAGCATTCTGAAAGAAAACTTCAGCATGGTAAAAGCCCACAGCTAACATCACACTCAATGGGTGAAACACTGAACACTTTTCCCCGAAGGTCAGGAACAAGAAAAGAATGCCCATCTCAGCTCCTTCTGTTCAACATACACGTCCTAGCTAGTGCAACCCAGTGAGTCACCCACACGACCCAGCAATCCTACCACCTGTACACCCCACGGAACTGAAAGCAGGGAGTCAGAGATCTCTGCATTCGCTTTCATGGCAGCACGGCACACAACACACAGTGCACCGTACGCAACAGCCAGAAGAGGAACACGTACGCCAGTATGTCGTGGATAAGCAAACTGCGGCCTGTCCACACAACGGGATGCTTCTCAGCCTTCAAATGGAATAAAATCCTGATACGGACCTGGGTGAACATTGAGGACCTTATGCTAAGTGAAATAAGCAGTCACTACAGAACAAGCACCGTATGACTCCACTCGCAGCAGGTCCTAGATTCACCAAATTCATAAAGACAGAGAGTAGAATGGGGGTGCCAGGGCTGGGGTGGGCCCAGGGAGTGACTGTGCACTTGGAACCTGGAAGCCAGAAGGTAAACCATCTCTAAGCACAACAGCACGGGAGGCGCCTTGCTGTGGGCACGGCTGGGTCACTCACCGGTCAGATGCATGGTCTCCAGGAGCTTGGACACCAGCGCCCCGTCTTCCTCCAGCTCCACCTGCACGAGGCCCAGCTTCCTGCGCATCTTCTGCAGGTAGTGCCTTTGGAACTCGGCGTCAAACTCCTCGGCCAGGATGGCCTCCCCCAGCTCCAGGGGCAGTTCCGGCTGCAGGGCCTCGGCCAGCTTCCGCAGGTTCCACCTGCACACCTCGGGCTGCTTGCTGTACGCGTAGCGGCCGGTGTTGTCGGAGGCATTGCACACGTGGTCGGGGTCGTACCTGCCACACGGGGCAAGAGAGCCACGCCCTGCCTGAGAGGAAGTTCCCGGGAGATGGTGCAGCCACCCTGGAGGGGAGGCCCAGGGGAAGGTCCCAAGTGGCCGTGGCTCTCTGGCCCTGTCCCACAGGGGTCCTGTCTCACCAGCCCCTGGCCAAGGCCTCCGGGATTGCCCTGGACTCTCTACTTCCTACATCAGCCCCCAGCCCCCTCGGCTCCCCCTCAAGCATCACGGGCCAGTGCCTGGGGGCAGCAGGTTTCATGCAGCCCGCACCCCCCAGCCCTGGGGCCTGCACTTTGCTGGGCCCCAGGGCCACTTACCTGTCCAGGAAGCCAAAGGGCCCGTAGTCGATGGTGAGCCCCAGGATGCTCATGTTGTCGGTGTTGAGCACGCCGTGGCAGAAGCCCACACACTGCCACTCGGCCACCATCCGCGCCGTGCGCCGCGTCACCTGGGGTGGGACAGTGTGCTTGCTCCCTCCTCGGGGTCCTGCCCAGACCTCCCCACTCGTGTCCATCCTTCCCCTCCCTGAAACCGGCTGTGCTTCGCTGAGTGGCTCTCACTCTGCAGTTTCTGGGCGATCTTCCTGATGTCCTGTCACCGCCTCAACCACAAGGTGGCGATGAAGAGTGCGTTGCACTCACAGCATCCACTCTTTAATATGCTCACAAAATTTGGCTTTTACCCAAACTAGAAAAATCAGGGAACCCCAGACTCAGGCCCAGTAGAGACCCCAAAGAAGCAGAGAAGGGTCAGTTCACTGAGGGGCCACACCTGCCCCAGGGCCAGGCCACTGTCCATCCTGGTGCCACCACCACCCTGCTGGCCTGGCCCCCCCCAACCAGACAGCAGTCCCCACCCAGCCCAGCACCGGTAACCTTGAGAATAGGGGCCAATCAACAGGGGGGCCAGGAGCCCCCAAGGTGCAGGGTGCACTGAGGGCCCCACCGGCCCTGCTGAACACAGGCCTGACACCACCTCTCTCCTTCAAGGCCACCGACGCTCCTGGGAGGCAGTCAGTGCCGTCTCCCTGCGTCACTGGCAGAAGACTGAGGCTCAGAGGGGCAGAGTGACCTGCCTTGACCACCCACGCATGTCTATGCCGGAGCACCAGGCTGCCCCAGCGGCTCCTCCCGGCCTTCTGCAGCCCCATCGCCCACCCACATGGAACATGGCTGGGGTGGACTGCAGGGATGGAGCTGGGGCAGGACACAGCCCTAGGAGCACCTGCCTGGCGCCAGCTTCTGCTGACGGCAGCCCAACAGCCCCCAGCCACGTGGCAAAGCGGGTCCCCACGCAGCCCTGGCTGCAGCTGCTCCAGGGGTGGCCTGAGACTTCTCAAAGAAGATGCTGTGCCCGGTCCCCCGGAACCCCTACTTGGCCTGACCCCGCTGATGCTGCAGGCCCCCAGCCCAGCCAGGTGAGGTGCCGGGTTCCCCCACCGTGTGCTGAATGCCCTGTGACAAGGACGATGCCATCAAGCCATGTGGGACGTCTGTGGTGTCCGTGGGGCGGGGACCCAGACCCCAGGTGGGCACTCAGCATCTCCCCAGTCAGGACCCGGCTGGCTGCCCTGGGCATCAAGACGTATCGACCCACGTGGGAGGTGCCCAGCCCATGGTCCTTCCACCCAAGCCAGCTCCCACCCCGCACCCCCGCCCCAAGCTGGCCCTGCAGGGATACCAGTAGGAGAGCACGCCCAGGGCCCCCAACACCACGGAGCCCAGGGGAGTTTCAGGTTTGTCCCAGGGCCCGAGCACACATGATGGGGTTTGCGGACAGGAGCGGGAGCTCAGAGAAGGGCGGGGAGGCTGGGTAAAAGCCTTTGTCCCCCGGCCAAAATGAGGGTGTCTTCAACACAGGTGGGGACACCCAGCATCCACCCGCAGGGAGGGGTGGCGTGCGGCCCACTGACCTCCCGGAAGAAGGCAGCATTTCTCTGCACGCTGTCGCTGGCATGAGCAGCCTGGATCTCGGGGTAAAAGGAGCTGATGACATAGTCGAGCAGCTGCACTCGAATGTCGTTCCTCCCCACGCTGGGGCCTGCACGCCCTGTGTGCTCATCTGCAGACTTAAAAATCTCAAAGGATCCAAACCTGGAGGGAAGACCCGAGGCGTCAACAGCCCAAACCTGACCCCAGCCCCTTGTGAAAATAAGAAAAAGGAAAAGACGTTGTTGTGGCTATTTTTTTTTTTTTTTTGAGATGGAGTCTCACTCTTGTTGTCCAGGCTGGAGTGCAGTGGCGCGATCTCGCCTCACCACAACCTCCAACTTCTGGGTTCAAGTGATTCTACTGCCTCAGCCTCCCGAGTAGCTGGGATTACAGGCACACGCCACCACGCCCAGCTAATTTTTGTATTTTTAGTAGAGACAGGGTTTCACCATGTTGGTCAGGCTGGTCTCAAACTCCTGACCTCGTGATCCACCCGCCTCGGCCTCCCAAAGTGCTGGGATTACAGGCGTGAGCCACCGCGCCTGGCCTGTTGTGGCTGCTAAATCATGCAGCCCTACAGCAGAAAGAGAACCTTGATTAAAACAAAAGCAAACAACCAACCAGAATGCACCACAGCTTTACCTGACACACAGACATATTCCACGTTTGGTCAACATCCAGCCACTGACCAGGCCCTGTCTGCACAGTCTGGGGCACGTGCCGGGCAGGCCCATGGGTGTAGAAACCACCAAGGCCCCTGCACTCCCACCCCAACCCCACGAGGAGTGTTTTCGGCAGGTCTTACACACGGAGGGGCGTGGCCTGCCTGCCACTGCGTCCTCGGGGAGGAGATGCAAAGGAGAGTCAGCTGCTATGGACACACATCTGTGAGCGCTCACCAGCAGCCGTCCCCCAGGGTGACTGCCCCCCAGGGGACATCAGGCAAGGTCTGGACACATTTTTCGTTGTCACAACTGGGGTTACTACTGGCAACCAGCGGGCCCAGGGCAGGGATGCTGTGTGCACACAGGGTGGACTTCACAACAATGCCAGCATTGCCGCTGGGCGGGGCCTCAGAGGAAGTCGTGGCCCCAGATCTTTCCCATCCCCCTGCAGGACAGGAAAAGCCAGAGGCCCACAGGCAGCCTCAGGGGTGGGCGGCTGGTGTCCCGGGCAGGACGGGGCTGCAAGACCAACAGACAACTACATTCAGGTGTTCAGGAGGAAGTGCTAGACGCCAGGTGGCAAGGTGACATCAAAAACTGATGGCTGGGGGCCGGGCGCGGTGGCTCAGGCCTATAATTCTAGCACTTTAGGAGGCCAAGATGGGTGAATCACCAGAGGTCAGGAGTTCGAGACCAGCCTGGCCAACATGGAGAAACCCTGTCTGTACTAAAAATATAAAAATTAGCTGGACGTGGTGGCGCACGTCTGTAACCCCAGCTATTTGGGGGGACTGAGGTAGGAGAATCGCTTGAACCCGGGAGGCGGAGGTTGCACTGAGCCAAGATCACGCCACTGCACTCCAGCCTGGGTGACAGAGCGATACTCTGTCTCAAAAAAAAAGAAAAGAGAACTGATAACTGATGGCTCACGTCAGACAGGAGCCAGCCTAGGACTCCAGACCAACGAGCAACTGGACCATCAGATCAGAAAGCCTGAGCAGGACACCGCGCACAGCTTGCGGCTCCTGCTTCTTCAGTGGCCATTTCCTCAGTCAAGTCTAAGTAGTTCCTTGTCATAAACTCCAGCAAACAGCTCTGGACACTGTCCCCAGCCTCAGGCTCAGGGACCCCCTCCCCCCCAGAAGCACCAGGCAGGGACCCTTCTCTGGTGCCCGTGGCCCTGGAGCCCCCTGCTGGTGCTTTGAGACACACCAGCTCCCGCAGGGCCATCTCTGGCTGCAACGAGGGCCTGGCCGGGCACGTGGGAGGGCTCAGCACAAGTGTCCTAACTGAGTACCAAATGCCTTTGCACTCAGATCCCTCCCAGTGGGCGTGACGCAGCTACTTCGCGGACAGGCAGCTTCTGAGGCTGCCAGGGACAGGCTGGACTTTCAGAAGAGGCCAAGGCGGTCATCTGGGTTTGTTTCTACCAGAATCCTAGCAGCACAGGCCCAAATCTCCTAGGACTCTAAGCAAGTGCGTGTAGACAGGCCGAAAGGCCCCCGGCATTACCTTATGAAAGTGGAAGCTACACGCAACACAACCGTGCATTGTTCATATTTGGGATTACCATCATAGAACACGTCGCGCACCACCGTGGACTCGGACGTGACGCAGGCGCCGGCCCGTGTGGTGGGGACTCCCAGGTGGAACATGGCTTCGCTGCATAGAAACTCCCGGATGCTTGACCGTAGGACCTTGCGACCGTCGGCCTGTCTGAAACCAAACACAGAGTTCACTACGTGGGCCGGTCAGGAGGTCACCCAACACCAGGATTCCGGGCAGCACATGGAAAGGAGGGAACGCGTGTAACGTGAGCAGCTTGCACGTCCCTGAAAACCGCCCGTCCCAGGTGACATCAGGTGCCTTGTGAGCCTCCAACACCGCCCAGTTCCAGCAACCTCACAGCCCAGCAGGTTGTCGGCACAGCCTCTGGTAAAAATGGGCCTGAACACACGCAGCAGCCCGTCTTCCTGCCCAGAACGAGGGTTCCGCAGCAGAAGCCAGGACTGTGTGACTGCACAGTGGGGACAAAGGGCCTGGGGCAGCCCTGCCCCATGGGACACAACAGCCTTTGCACCAGGATGGGTGCCCCGGTACGGGCCAGCTGAGGAATGAGCTCCTCTGTGCCTGCCGGGGCCCCCACACCCACAGTGGGAGGAGGCAGGGCAGAGAAGCCAGCTGCCCGCCCCGCAAAACCCGCCCGAGGCTCCGACAGCGCTGGCCTCAGGCCACTCAGCCACTTCTGACCCCCAGGTCTCGCATTCCCTTCCCCACAGGTCTTCGGGTCCCCGGCCTCGGCCTCATGTCCTGCAGAACTGCCGAGGCCAGGGAATCGGACAGGCATGGGGAAGGGGATGTGAGATCTGAGGGCCAGATGACTGCCCCCTTTTTCTTCAATTATTTTCACTGTGGTAAAATACACATAAAATAAATTTACCATCTTAAGCCACTTTTTTTGTTTTTTAAAGACAGGGTCTCACTCTGTCACTTGGCCTGGAGTGCAGTGGCACAAACCTGGCTCACTGCAGCACCACCCTCTCGCCTCAGCCTGCCAAGCAGATGGGACTACAGGCAATGCCGCCAAGCTCTGCTAATTCTTGTCTTACTTTTTGTAAAGACGGGGTTTATGTTGCCCACGCTAGTCTTGAACTCCTGGGCTCAAGCGATCCTCTCACCTTGGCCTCCCAAAAGTGCTAGGATTACAGGCATGAGCCACTGCGCCCGGCCCATCTTAGCCATTTATAAGTGTACAGATCAGTGCTATTAAATACGTTCATAATGTTGCACAACCATCACCCCCATCCATGTCCAGAAATCTGTCTTGTGAAACTGAAACTTTGTCCCCATCGAACACTGGCTCCCGATTCCTCTACTCCCTCCAGCCCCTGGGACCCAGAAACTGAAACTTTGTCCCCATCGAACACTGGCTCCCGATTCCTCTACTCCCTCCAGCCCCTGGGACCCACCATTCTACTTTGTCTCTATGAATGTGGCTCTCTAGGTACCTCATGTAAGTGGGATCACCCAGGATTTGTCTCTCTGTGACCAGCTTATTTCACTGCACCACGTCCTCCAGGTTCATCCGTGTTGTAGCATATCAGCATCTTCTTTCTTAAGGATGAATAATATTCCACTGTATGTACACATCACATTTAATCCATTCACCTGCTGATAGACACTTGTTCTGCCTTTTGGCCATGAATATCGGTATACAAATCTTGAGATCCTGCTCTTGGGGATATACCCAGAAGCAGAACTGCTGAATCATGTGGTGATTTAATTATTTGAGGAACTTCCACACTGTTTTCCACAGCAACTCTATCATTTTACATTCCCACCAACAGTGCAGAAGGGTTCCAATTTCTCCACAGCCGCAACACTTTTTAACTTACGATTTTTTTTTTTTTTTGAGACAGGGTCTCACTCTGTCACCCAGGGACAGTGGCGTGATCTCGGCTCACTGCAACCTCCGCCTCCTGGGTTCAAGTGATTCTCCTGCCTCAGCCTCCCAGGTAGCTGGGATCACAGGCACGCTCCACCATGCCCGGCTAATTTTTGTATTTTTTGTAGAGCTGGGGTTTCACCATGTTGGCCAGGCTGGTCTCAAACTCCTGACCTCAAATGATCCGCCCACCTCAGCCTCCCAAAGTGCTGGGATTACAGGCGTGAGCCACTGTGCCCGACCAACCTTTTATTTTTCCGAGACAGTCTTGCCCTGTCGCCCAGGCTGAAGTGCAGTGGTGTGATCTTGGCTCACTGCAAGCTCCACCTCCCGGGTTCAAGCAATTCTGCCTCAGCCTCCTGAGTAGCTGGGATTACAGGCACCCACCACCACGCCCAGGTCAACCTTTTTTTAAATAACTGCCATCCCAATGGGTATGAGGTGCTGTCCCACTGTAGTTTTGGTTTGCATTTCCCTAATGATTGATGACGTTGAGCGTCTTCTCATGTTATAAACTCTTCACGTGCTTATTGGCCACATCTTTGAAGAAATGTCTATTCAAATACTTGTCCATTTTTGAATTTTTTTTTCCTGTTGCTGAGTTTTGAGAGTTCTCTGTATATTCTGGATCTTAATTACTTATCAGATATATGAATTGCAAATGTTTCCTCCCATTCTGTGGGCTGCATTTTTACTGTTAATACTGTATTTTTATGCCTAATTTTTAAAGTGTTCATGAAGTCTTGTTTGCCTGTTTCTTTAGTTGCCTGTGCCTTTTGTGTCACAGCCAAGAACGCTGCCAAATCCAATGTCATGAGGCATTTTCCCTATTTTCTCTAGGAGTTTTAGCTCTTATGTTTAGGTCTTTGGTCCACTCTTAACTTCGTTCATGGTGTAGTTAAGGACCCAGCTTCATTCTTTTGCATGAGGATCCAGTTTTCCCAGCACCATTTGTTGAAAAGTCTTTCTCCATTGAATGGTCTCAGCACACTTGTTGAAAATTTGCTGACCATATATGTGAAGGTTTATTTCTAGGCTCTTTATTCCATCCCACTGGTCTATGTCTATCCTTATGCCAATGCCATACTGTTTTGCTGACTGCGGCTTTGTAGTAAGTTTTGAAATCAGGAAGCATGAGTCCTCCAACTTTCTTCAAGATTGTTTTGTCCATTCAGGGTCCCTTGAGATTCCATATGAATTGTATTACTTTTTGAGACAGGGTCTCACTCTGTCATCCAGGCTGGAGTGCAATGGGATAATCACAACTCACTGCAGCCTTGAATCCTGGGCTCAAGTGATTCTTCCACCTCAGTCTCCTGAGTAGCTGCAATTAGAAGCACACGCCACCATGCCCAGCTAATAAAAAAAAATATTTTTTTGAAGAGACAGGGTCTTGCTGTTTCCCAGGCTGGTCTCCAACTCCTGGCCTTAAGCAATCCTCCTGCCTTGGCCTCCCAAAGTGCTGGGATTACAGGAGTGAGCCACTGCACCTGACCCCATGTGAATTTTAGAATGGGTTTTTCTATTTTTGCAAAAACTGTCATTGGTATTTTGATAAGGACTATACTGAATCTCTTCAAAGAGTACCGTTGTCTTTCTAATATTAAGTTATCCAACCCACGAACAAGGGATGTTTCCATTTATTTATGTTTTCTTTATTTTCTTCATGTTTTTCAGTTTTCACTGTTCAAGTCTCTTCCTTCTCACAGCCACTTCAGACGTTAGCCTCAATCTTGGAGAACTGGTGAGGCCAGGGACCCCAGGACACGTGTGGGGATGTCAGGCAGGGCCTGAGTAAAGGTCAAAGGACTCCTTAATTTTTAGGAGAAAATATATTCTAGCAGCTCTCAGGTCTGAAAGCAGTGAGTTAATACTCAAGTCTTCAAACATAAAAAGTGTCTTCCAGCGACAGATTACTCTCATAAAAAAAATTGTCTTTTTAACTTTAAAATATCACCAAAAATGAAAACATAAAGTTTAAGATGATCGCCAAAAAGAAAAACAAAAATTAAAAAAAAAAAATGCTCACAGGACAAGCAGGCCCCAGGCTGAGCAGCATTTCCACCACGTTCCAAGGGTCAGAAACGCTCCAGTGGGCGGCCGGTGCTGTCAACTCTAAGCAGGTCGCTGGGGGTGGGGAGGGAGAGCCAGAGCCAGGTTGCCCTCAGACACAGAACAGAACGGATTTGGAGACGGGGGAGTGAGGAAGACCCTCAGTCTGAGGAGCTTGCTTGGGAGATGGAGCCCCGGGGAAGGGATGCTGAGGGACCGAGGGGCATTTCAGGTGCTGGAGGGGGAGGTGATGAGAGCACAGGGAGGGGCCGGATGAGATGCGGGTTTAGCATTTCTCTGAACATAAAATGTACACTTTCCTAGTCA
Organism: Homo sapiens; assembly: GCF_000001405.40. NCBI lineage: Eukaryota > Metazoa > Chordata > Mammalia > Primates > Hominidae > Homo > Homo sapiens. The sequence goes on along the minus strand of NC_000022.11, from coordinate 50,202,208 downwards.
TTCACAAAAGCAGTAAAGAATATGGAGTAAGTACATTGTTTAGTAGAAAAGAGCAGAACAGACCCAAGCGCTGTCTATACACAGGAGGCAGGTGGCGCGTGCACGGCTCCCCGGTGGGCCTGGCGGCATCTGGACCCAGATCCTGCCTTATTAGACCACCTGTGTGCCCCCCCACAGAAATCTAAACGATGCCCACCTCACTTCGGGGTTAAAAAGGGCTGCCCGCAGGGAAGTCAGGGCCAGGCCTCCGTGAAGTCAGTCGCAGAGCGAGGCTGCTGGACGAAGCGGCCCGCCCCACGAGCGATCGGAGGAAGGCTGGGGACCTGCGGGGTTAGGGTTAGGGTTAGCCTAACCTCTCATCCCGGCTCCCGCCCCTGGGTTTGGAGCCCCAGCGAACGTCGGTAAACATGAGCGGCGTCCCTGGTGGAGCTGACTCCAAGGTCCTCGGCGGGTTGATAAGCACAGGGCGCGGGCGGCTGCCAGCACCGCGCTCCCGCGGGTGCAGGGGAGGCCCCACTTGGCAGTAGCCGCCGGACGCCCCCAACACCGCGCCGGGCGGAGGGAAGGGGCGCCCCGGCGGGGAGGACCCACCCGCGCCCCTCGCCCGCCCCGGCCCACCTGGAGAAGGGCGTGGGCCCGGCGCCCTTGAGCTGCAGCTCCCAGCGCTCGCCGGTCGCCGTGCACACCTCGCCCAGGTACATGGCGGCGCCGTCGCCCAGCTGCCCGGCGAACTGGCCGAATTGGTGGCCGCAGTAGCAGTGCGCGGCGGGCTCGGCGCCCGGCAGGAGCGCGTTGCCGCTGAAGAACAGCGCGGCCTCGGCCTCGGCCTCGCGCGCGGGCGGCGCGCCCAGGCCCAGCAACGCCAGCGCGGGCTCTGACAGCGCCACGAGGCGCGGCTGCCGCAGCGGGGTGGGCTGCACGCGGGTGAAGCAGGCCCCGGGCACGGGCCGCGGCGCGGACGGGGCGCCCTCGGGACCGGGCGGCGGCGCCTCCACGGGCAGGGCGCGCAGGGCGCGGTTGTCGAAGCGCAGCCCCGCCAGCCAGCGAGGCGCGGGCTCCATGGCGGCGCCCGACAACGTAGAGCGGGGCGCCGGCGACGGGGAACAGCGACCGAGGGGCAAGAGTCGGGCAGCCGCGAGCGAAGCCCCGAGCGCTGCCCTGTATACGGCCATCCGCGGCCCCGCTCCCGCCGGAAGCCAGCCTGCCCCGCCCGGAAGCCCCGCCCCGCGCGTCCCGCAACCCAATCGCCAGTGGGCGAGAGTGGGGCGGGTGGGGGGAGGGGTCGCGGTGTCTGGCCGGGCTCTAATTGGCTGCCTCGTCCGTCTATCCGCATCTCCCGGCCGGAGGGTCGGAGGCGTCCGGGGTGGCTGTCGGCGTCACGGGGCGCGCGCTGATGCGAACGGGGTGACAGATGGGAACGCCTCCGAGACCGCCAGCGACGACCCCGCTCGGGCAGCCCCGGATTTCCTCGGCTGCACCGGCGCCGGCAGCGGGGACCGAGGCCCGCGTCCGTTCGGGTCGGGCCGGGGCTTAGCCCCGCGCCCCACGGGCGGCCGGGACCCCACCCGGACCCCGCCGCGGTTCTGGGCCGCCGGAGCCTCGCGCCGCCTCTCGGGGACCTTGTCCCCTGGCCTCCGGCCTCTCGGGCCCCTCGCCTGCCGTCTAGGAGGGAAGGGGCCTTGGATCTGTGCCCCGCCCATGGAACAGCGCCCGGGCTCGGAGAGGCCCCGCGAGGCCGCAGGCGCAGACCCTCCCGGAGGGCTGGGCGGGCACCGGGGTCTTCGGCTGGCTTGAGGGACCCGACCCCTGGGGGAGGAATTTGGGGTCTGTGTGTCCGAATGAACGCGGGGGTTCAGATGAGTCTGTGGTGCCCCCGCTTTCCATCTCCTCCGGCCCCGGCCCCAGAGGACTGTCTGAGAGGCCGGTGGCCGCGGATCCTGGACGCGCCTCCCTCCTGCCTGTGGTTTCCCTTTATTCCGGCAGCGGCGCGAGCCCACCCTTCACATACAGGAGCTACATCCAGAAGCTTCTCCTGGGGCCACAGCGTGGGCTTCCGAGACTCTGCGTGACCCCAGCTCTGCCCCTTTGGGGCTGCGGGTGAAGCCCTCAGGACCCTCCGCGTGCGTTGGGCAGGTAACTGGATGAGGGATAATGTGGTGAGGTCCCCGTGCCCAACCCTCCTCTGCAGCCCACAGCAACCGTTCCCTCTTCAGCAGCCCCCTCCCCCCGGCCGCTCTGGGCGCCCGTTCCCAGCATCCTCCTTGGCAGGTGTTACCCCTCCCCATTCCCCAGGCCCTGGGCCCTCCTGATCTGTCTCCTCGACCCCCTGGGGCCCCAGTCTGGCTCAGTCTGGTCCACACTCTGGAATCTGGTGGGACTGGGTATGGAGGGTCTTGAGTGTCAGCAGGCCACCTGCGTCCCACCTGGTGGGTGAGAAGGGTCCCACAGGTCAGCATGGAGGGACCCGACTCTGTCTCTTCTGCTGGAAACCAGGCAGGTTCCTTCCCCCAGGGCCCCGGCAGGGCCACGAGTACCCGCTGCACTGGAGCACGGGGGAAGAGGCAGGGATCCTTCATTACCTGAACCCCATGTTCACACGTCACAAAACAGGAGTTTCCAAAATTAGAATTTATTTCAGTTTCTAAGGAATGAATCCCCGAGTGTGGCAGGAAGGACACAGCCGGCTCCTGACGCACACCTGATTTGATTCAACACCGAGTCGGCACAGACACAACCAGAGATGGCCTGGGTCCAGGCTGGGGCTGCACGGGCTGTGTCCTGGACAGCCAGGAGGGAGGCCCCGCACACAGACGGCCGCCGGGCAGGGGGCCTGAGCGGGACAGGCCTGGCCACAGCCCATGTCCTTGGCCTTCCACATAGGTGCACACATTGTCTGCCCAGAGAGGGCCAAGATGCCCCAGGCACCCCTTCGCTCCGGGGGCTCAGGACACAGGCTCCCAGCTGAGGCCACGCCTGGACCCAGAGCTGATGTTTGGCTGCACGCGAGCCCACTCGGGACAGACCCAAGAACACGAATTCTCTCCCTTTGGATTTAAGGCTGGTGTTTTTTGACATTTACTTCAGTTTTTCTCTCTGAAATTAAAATTACCTGAGTAAAAGATTTTAAGACATTAAAAAAGCCAAAAACACAGAATCCCTGCAGGCAGACGGTGCCAGGGAGGTGGCGGCCAGGGCCAGGATGCCAGGGGCACGGTGGGGTCGGCTGGAGCTCCAGGGCTGGGCCTTTCCCAGTCTCGCCTGCCCTGGAGCCCCCAGGAGCCGCCCCTGGGCCGACGCTCCTGTGGCCGGAGCACAGGAAGGCACAGTGAGGTAGGGACAGTGGCCATTGTCCCCCGCCTGCCACCAGGGCTGAGAGGGCAGCGCACGCCTCGGCCCCTCCTATAAGCCCCTGCCCCCTCGGAGCTGGGTGTCTTGTCCAGAAGCTGGGGAACGGCCCCTGCAGTGTGGGAGGGGAGGGGCTGCCGGGAGGCCTGAGCTCAGACAGTTAAATAATCCTTTATTTGGGTGGGCTGGGGGAGGGGTGACTGGCCCAGGAGGGCAGGCGAGGCCGGGCCCAGACCCCCATGGGGGGTGGCAGGGGCCTCGGGCGGGCTAGGATGCACCTGGCACCCAGAAGTGCCGCGGGGGCACTGGCTCCTCAGGGGCCCGAGCGGGCGGGGAGCAGTCTCCTACTTGTGCCGGGCCTCGGTCACCCTCTGCAGGCAGTACTGCGCGGCGGGCAGCGACAGGACCAGGCTCGCGGTGCGGCGGCCCATCCAGTACAGGCTGTAGCCCAGCAGGCCGAAGAAGGCGGCCTTCACGGCCAACCGAGACACTCTGCCGGAGACGGACGGCGGGGGCACGCTGTGGGAGGGAGGGGGCGCTGGGCCTGGCTGGGGGTGGGCTCCCCATACCCCAGCCCCCATGCCTGGGTCACTGCCGCATGTGGTTGGCCTCCAGGGCGCTCAGCCTCCACCTGGGGGCTTGTGGGGTGGGGCTTGCAGGGAGGGGCGGGCACTCACGTCATGATCTCCTGGATGTTGAGGTCGGTGCTCCAGTTCTTCTCGATGCCAGGCACGTGGCCCATGCCCACGACGCCCACGACCACGGAGGGGACGCACTTCCTGGGCTCGGCTGTGGGGAAGGACAAGGGGTCAGTACCTGCTCGGGCCTCAGCCTCACAGGGGGTCCCACGCCTGCGGGCGGCCGTCACCGTCAGAGGCCCGAGGCAGCTCGAGGCGCCGCGCGGCCTGGCGCAGCATGTAGGTTAGGTAGACGTCGCGCTCCGAGACGATGGTGCGGTGCAGGTCTGGGAACTCGCCAATCATCTCGGCCATCATCTGCTCCAGTAGGTCCTTCTGCTTGCAGCGTTCCACGTCATCCTTGCTGTGGAGAGGGATGGCTGCAGCCCCGCAGGGATGGGCAACGGGCTGGGGGGGTGGGGCTGGCACTGTGGACACCGGGCAGGGACCACAGCACGTTTGTTTGGGATTTGTGGCGGAAGGAAAGGGCAGGGAAGGCCTTGAGTGAGGATTGGCTGCGCTTGGACCTGCACAGGAGGGCCTGGAGCCTCCCACAGACCACCCTGCAGGCCGGCCAGGGTCCCGGGGGCAGCCCTACCTGATGGGGTCTGACAGGAAGCACAGGCCCCAAGCCAGCCTGACCTTCTGCCAGAAGGAGAGCGCTGCGATGGCCCTCTTGAAGGTGACGGGGATGGGTCGGTCACCCAGGTGGAACTTGCAGAAAGGCACCTTGCTGGCCTGGAGCAGAGGCTGGGTGTTGGGGAGCAGTGGGAACCCCGGACCACCCCTGTGAGCCACATCCCTGTGGCCACCCCCTACCTCACCCTGTGCCCACCTCCTTGAAGGCCTCCCTGAACTCGCCACCTGGGGCCATGCCCAGCTGCTCGGTGATGTGTGCAGACACCTTCAGCAGCAGCATCTGCATCAGCCCCGACATGAGCCCGTTCTGCAGAGAGAGGGAGCAGGCATCAGCTGGAGGGGCGGGTGCGGGGGTGCGCTGGGGGAATGGCAGAACTGGGATGGCAGGCAGCACCAGCGCAGAGCCCTGCCCCAGCCCAGTGCTGTGTCCTTGGCCCCCTCCCCGACAGGTGCAGGACCACCCTAGCGTGCAGAGGGTCAGACCAGAGCAGGGAGTTCTGTCCCAACAGGCACTTCTCAAAGGTAGCTCCCTTCAGAAAAGACCTTCACGGGCCGGGTGCAGTGGCGCACGCCTGTCATCCCAGCACTTTGGGAGGCTGAGGCAGGCGGATCACGAGGTCAGGAGTTCTCTCTCAGACCAGCCTGGCCAACATGGCGAAACCCCATCTCTACTAAAAATATAAAAATTAGCCGGGTGTGCTGGCGGGTGCCTGTAATCCCAGCTACTCGGGAGGCTGAGGCAGGAGAATCACTTGAACCCCGGAGGCAGAGGTTGCAGTGAGCCGAGATCACCAGCCTGGGTGACAGAGTGAGACTGCTCTGTCTCAAAAAAAAAAAAAGAAGAAGAAAAGGCCTTTATGAGGCAGTCTCGTTCTGCGAAGGGGCCGCCTTGAGCTGGCACAGACGCTGGGTGCTGGGCAGGCAGGCTGGAGAAAGGGCCTCACCACTCACACCTGCCTGCTGAGGTCAGCACAGCACTGCTGGTGCGGACACCAGGCCACCCCCATCTTCAGCAGCTACAGCCCGAGGCCTATTGCCCCTGTCTCACCGGCCGGCTGGCACCACGGGGGTGTCCACGTGTGAAGGAGATGATGCCCACAGAAGGGCAGCAAAGCCCCGGGGGCCACACAGCGCCGGGCAATCGCTCACACCTGCACGCGCCCAGGGACGGTCTGGGCCTGAGCCATGAGCCCTGGGAATGTCCCGCCTGATGGAGTGCCCGTGTTTCCCCGGGGCCCAGGCCACCCTGGGGAGCCCAGGCTAACTTAGGATGAGACATTCACGAGGCCTTGGTCCACTGGGACCCACTCCACCTCTGGAGGGGCTGGGGTCTGAGCTCAGACGTGCCTGTGACCAACCCCAGTAGAAACCTAGACACCAGGGCACAGCGAGTGTCCCCCGGGAGGGGACAGGTGAAGCGGACACCTGGTGTCTCCCAGACCCTGCCCCACGCCCCCTTCCCTCTGTGACACCGCAGCAGTGAGCAGCACGGCACTGCCGAATTCTATGCCCCTTCGAGATCACTGGGCCCCAGGCTCTGGTGGGGAGGCTGCCCAGTGCTGGGCCCTGGCTGGACCGGGGACTGCCCTTTAGAAGACGGCCCACAGAGGTCTTCTTTGGTGACTTGCCTCATCTGGAGAAATTAAAAAATGAAAGGCAGGCGCCAAACGTTTAGGGACATTTCTATAAGATCTCATTATAATTGTTTCCTTTGAACAGGGGGAAGGCAAACTGACCAGGGCTGGGGTCAGGCGTGCTGGGCCCCCTTTGAAAACACAAAGCCTGGCCGGGCGCGGTGGCTCATGCCTGTATTCCCAGCACTTTGGGAGGCTGAGGTGGGTGGATTGCCTGAGCTCAGGAGTTTGAGATGAACCTGGGCAACATGGTGAAACCCCGTCTCTACTAAAAATACAAAAAATTAGCCAGGTGTGGTGGCAGGCACCTGTAATCCCAGCTACTCAGGAGGCTGAGGCGGGAGCATCACTAGAACCCAGGAGGCGAAGGTTGCAGTGAGCCAAGATCGCACCACTGCACTCCAGCCTGGGCAACAGAGCGAGACTCTGTCTCAAAAAAAAAAAACAAAAACCGAAAACACAAAGAGCAATGAGAAAGTCCTGCCTCTCCGGTCACTGCAAGGCTGGAGAAGTGGGGACAGGAGGAGCCCTGAGCCCCACCCACTTTGGGCCTGGGTGTGGTACCGGGGGGGCCAACCTTGCACTGAGACCTGACCCATCCCCAGCAACTGCTCAGCAACCCAGTCCTCGGGTGACCAGCCCCTGCCTCAGCTTGGAGAGCCACCCATTTCCTCCTCCCTTGCCTGAAACCGGGTAATGGAGCCTCTTTCATTTCTCCTGGCCCAGGGGAGGTCCCTAACCCGGCAATCCCCAGGGCAGGCCAGGCACAGCCACACTGACTGGGGGCATGGGCTGTGAGAGGAACCTGGGCAACAGGCAAACAGGTGGCTTTGACCCCGACCCTGACCCTGACCCTTGCCCGCGGCTGCGCACCTGCCTCACGGCCTGCTGCAGCTTCTCCAGGCTGAGCTCCTGGGCCTCCCGCAGCAGCGTGCTCTCGTCCATCTTCAGCATGGACACACGATATTGGCAGAGCTCCACGACCACCACGTCAGGCTGCACCTCCCGGATGGTCTGCAACAGCCACAGGTCACACCTCGAGAACACAGCCGCTCCCTGCCCCTCAGCACAGCTGACGCCAGCACCAGGGGCCCCATCCCAGGAGCAGCCAGCCTTGGCGTCACCCCAGGGCTAGCTAACCCCGCTGCTGCAGTGACAGCTCAATTCTCTAAGCGACGAGAGAGGAAGCTGTGAGGCTTGTTCACTTGTTAAGTGGGAAAACGCACAAGGCCGTCACGGCTCCCAGGCAGGAAGCCCACCTTGCCACTCCCAGGGACCACAGTGTTGAAGCAGGAGGCCTGCGGTGCGCACACACGGGCACACGGGCCCTGCCGGGAGGTCCCTGAGTGCAGGACACAGGAGCTTACACCAACCCGTGTCCGGGATGTGGCGGGTGGCGGCGCTCACCTTCACAACGTCCCTCTTGCTGTCGTCGCTGAAGTGGGCTGTCCCCACCACGTACACCCTGCTCCCGTCCTCAGCCACCAACTGGGTCACAGTGCGCGGCAGGTTGGGCCGCTGACGCCGCCGCTTCAGCTTCATCTCCAGGAGCAGGTTGAAGGCGTCCACGTCGGCTGCAACAGCAGCACAGGCCGTTGTGGTGCCGGGCCCACCCCAAGGACGCCGCCGGGCCCGCTGGCAGCCTGGGCTCTAGAACCCTCCTGGGTTCTGAGAACTGAACAGGTGCAGAGCACAAGACTCCTGACGAGCGTCACACTCCACAGGCTTTGCCTGCCCAGTGATGGGAACACCGGCTACCACCTCTGTGAGCTGCACGGCTTCGAGAAGCCAGGGCCTCAGGAGTCCTGTGCCCCATACACCCCATGAGGGCGACCTTGGGGGTTGCTGTGGATGAGGTTCGGTGTGGGGGACAGTGGGGGCAGGTGCCGCAGGGGGCTCAGCTAGGGGAGGGGCTCTGAGGCGAAATGGGCCCCCCCACCCCACTCAGGAGGGACAGGCTGAGGCCACAGCAAGGAGGGACTCCCGTGCCGCTCACACTGCTTGTGCTCACGAGCCCCCCATGCCCAGGGGCCTGCCTGTGCTGCTTGCAGCCCCTCCAAGAGGCTCCACTGCCAGGCAGGGCCCAGGAGCAGCTGCTGTTGGGTGGCACCAGGCCTAGCAGCACCTACCTCAGGTCTCGGCCAGGGCCCCTGCTCACCACAAGCTCCAAGCCCCTGGCAGTGGTTGGCTGCCTCCCCCTCCTCCCTGACTCAACAGCCCAACACCGGGGAACGTGCCAGGACCCTGAGGGACACGTACACAGGTTCTGGGGGTCTCCAGAAAGCACCCTGGGCACCGGCTCTGAAGCCTCTGACGGCACAACAGGTTCCACGTTGGCCTGCAGGTGGAAAGGAGAGTTCAAGTCAGGGTCCATGCACCCCAGAAAGCCAGGGCTCCGTGGCAACTCCACGGACCACGTACCCTGGAAAGGGACCCGTGGCCGCTGTGTGGACCACACACCCTGAAAAACGAGGGCCCGTGACCGCTCCACGGACCACGTACCCGGGAAAGGGACCCGTGGCCGCTCTGTGTACCACACACCCTGAAAAGCAGGGCCTCCGTAGAGCCTAGGCCCCACACTGTCAGTACCCCTCCTGCTTGGCCATCACTGGCACGGCTGCCATCAAGCTGGGCAGACAGGGCCACCAGGCCACCTCAGCCCAGCGCCCCTCTCCCTCGGAGGTGCCTCCTGCCTGACCCTGGAGAACCCTGTGAAGATCACCTTTGCAGAACAACAGCCAGGGACCGACCCCGAGAGCCCACAAAGCGGGGAAGCCCCCCGCCCCTGTCTCTGTGCAGCCAGCCCAGCCTCCACCTCACCTCGTGCGGTGGCTGCTGCTCCTCCCCGTCCATGGCTGGGCGGCGGCTTCCTGCACCTGTGGGGAGCCTGAGGAGAGGCATGAGAGGCGGGGTTTCCACCTGGAGCCCCAGACCTGGCTCAGGACTCACTGCGTAGTGCCCTGTCAGTCTAGAACCATCTGTTGGGTGGGCCTGGGGGCTCCTTCCCCCATATCCCCAAATGCCTCCTGCCCATCAAAGGCTGCTGAGGTCCAGGGTCGGTTCAGGTCAGGCCCGGGTGGGGAAAGGCCAGCAGGTCCCCAGACACCCCAGCATAAACCAAACGCAGACGGGCCCAGGGCGGGTTGCTGGTGCACAGGCCTCACTCAGAACAGGGCCAGAGCTGCCCAACCCTCACTGCGGCACGGCGGGCACACATAGGAAGGCAGCCCTGGGGTCCACACATGATCTCAGGACACAGCAACGCAGCTGCTGACACATGGCAAGGACCCCAGGGCCTTTGTACAAAAGCCACTTCCCCTTTCAGTAACTACAGCCTGGGCAACAACACCGGCACAGAGTCAGTACAGACGGAGGAATCCACAAAGCACACAAATCAACGTGTTTGGACCTAAGACCTTCTCTCCCACTTTAAGAGACAAACATGGTGTGGAAGGAACCACGGTAGAAACCCGGACAGGCTGGGGCAGCCACACGAGGGGGCTGCCCCGAGGCATCACAGCTCCCCACAGACTCTCAGAAACCAGGAGCTCAGGCCGGGGGCCCAGGAGCCTGAGGGAAGGAAGAAAACAGCCAGGCGCCTGCAGCACCAGAGGCACGCACCGGCCAAGACCCACAGAGCATCGGCGAGACCTGCGCGGAGCCCCTCGAGGCGGGGCCAGGGACCAGCAGGCTGTCCTGAGACTGGCCACAGGCCCTGCTGCACCATGTGGCTCTTCCTGAATGTTCTCAGCCACGGAATGCCAGGAGTGACTGTTTACCAAGTTAATGGCTCATGCATGTCCTGGCGGATGGATGTGTCACCAGGCAGAATCATTAAAATATCCCAAACAGGCCAGGCGCGGTGGCTCACACCTGTAATCCCAGCACTTTGGGGGGCCAAGGTGGATGGACTGCCTGAGCTCAGGAGTTCGAGACCAGCCTGGCCAACATAGACCATCCTGGTGAAACCCCATCTCTACCAAAAATACACAAATTAGCCAGGCGTGGTGGTGCACACCCGTAATCCCAGCTACTGGGGAGGCTGAGGCAGGAGAATCACTTTGAACCCGAGAGGCTGAGGTTGCAGTGAGCCGAGATCCTGTCACTGCACTCCAACCTGGGTGACAGAGGGAGACTCTGTCTCAAGAAAAAAACAAAAGTAAAAAATAAAAATGAGCCGTTGGAAACCATTCTGAGCTGTCTAGTCGTGCAAGGTATTGTGGTTTTGTCTTGAAGCGTCTGCGTCAGTCAGACACGAGCATCTGGCGAGGAAACGACGGGGCTTGTAGGATGTGCTTCAGAGGGGCCACTGCCGGGTTCTGCACTGATGCCTGCGTGCATCTGGGGTCATTTTCATGTCACTACTGCTGCCCACTTCTCAGAACTCATAAGAAAAAGGAACAATGAGCAATAAGACGCTATGTCAGGTTCCTTTCCTCTGCAAACCCTGTTGGCACACAGCCACAGCAGGCACAGACCTCGGCCCCAGCCAGGACTCACAGACCCAGCTGGGTCCTGGCCACCCACATCCAAGTTAAGATGCCTCCAAGCTTGGGTGTCCTAACCTGTGAACAGGAAGGAGCTCTCTGTGCAGTGTCTAGGAGGGCAGCTCAGGGGCTGGGGGAGCAGGGACGGCTCTGAGCAGGGGAAGAGGCCTGTCTCAGTGCAACCAGAGGCCCCATCTGAAGCTGGCCGAGAAGAGGGCAGCCCACCCTGCCCTCTTCTTGGACAGCCGGGACTTCTGGGAGAGGAACTGGCCTGGCTTGGGGTGGGTGGTGCAATGGGGCCATGGTCGGGGGAGGTCAGCTGAGACTAAGGAGACAGCTGATAAACACCAGGCTCATGTCCCCGGGGGCCTTGAGCCTCTGCAGAGGGCAAGGGGGGCCCGCTCCACAGGCAGGCTCCCCTATGGGGCCTCACAGCCTTGGCAGGGGGTCCCACTCCTTGCCACCTGGGCTTGAGTCTGGACCCAACCCTGGCCTGGGCGTCTTAGCGGTTGGCACATCCAGGAAGTGCAGCTGGCACCGGTCACAGCAGGACCAGGCCCCGGACCCTTGGGCCGCCTCCTTCCCCTTTTGTAGGTGAAAGCTCCACGATGCAACCCGACCGGAACCCACCGGAAGCTGTTGTGAGCAGCCGCCAGGCCAGCCAGCCCAGACAAGCACCCGGTCCGGGAGACGGCCGCCTCCCTGGGTCTAGCTACACACACAAGCCAGAACTCTTAGGAGCAGCGCAAGACTGCCGGGGCGCACGGGGGAAACTCACACACGGAAGTCCGGACCATTAGAGCAGCGCAAGGCTGCCGAGGCACACCGGGGAAACTCCTTAAAGAAACTCCTGTGCAGCCGGGCGGGAGGCTGCGTCGGCCCAGCCAACAGGAGGCGCCCACGTCGCCACAGCCCTTCCCCCATGGGTGTGGCAGCCCCAGGTCTGCGGTCAGCCCCCACCCTCCACCCAGCCTGGCCAGACCCGCCTCTGAGGCCGGCCTAGGGTACGCCTGTGGCCATGGACAGGGCAGGGTCTCGGTGCAGCAGCAGGCGCTGGTCCTGACCCCAGTCGTGCCATGGGGTGGGCGTGCACAGGTCTCCTGTCAGGGAGGGCAGAGAAGCTTTCCTGGGCCGGCTGCCAAGCCTTGAGCAGGACGATGTCAGCGCCACCAGAGGCAGTGCCAGCCCCCAGCCCTGGCCCCTGCAGCCTCTCAGCAGAGGCGTGCTGCCCGCAGGGAGCCAGGCGGGAAGGTCACTGAGGACCCCCCAGCACCTAAAGCCCGTGATTCTGGGGGACGTCTCTGACAGTCACTCTTACAGTCTCAACACTCTCTTTCCCTCCTCGCCAAGGCCCCTGGAGAGCTCTAGGGTGTGATTTCAGGTTACCAGCCCTCCTCCCTCTAGTCTGCTCCCAGGCAGCTGTGCTCTCAGACATTTATGGCTGGGCCCAGAGCCTCTCCCAGCTGCCTGGCGGTGAGCAAAAGGCCCTGGCCCAAAAGCCACAGATGCTGAGCCTGGACTCTGAAGTGTCTTCAGAGACAATGTCTGAAGAACCCCCACCTGGTTCCCAGCCCCACAACCTCTGGGTCCCAGCAGAGCATCACCTGGGGTCCGGCCAGCACACACTGCAGCCACCCCCTCTGGGTCCCAGCAGAGCATCACCTGGGGTCCGGCCAGCACACACTGCAGCCACCCCCTCTGGGTCCCAGCAGAGCATCACCTGGGGTCCGGCCAGCGCACGCTGCAGCCACCCCCTTTCTACCTGTCCTTTTCAGATACGCTCAGGCCCATCAGCAGAGACCAGCAGACCCTGGCTGCCCCTCCGGGGGGACAGACATCTCTCCTTCCCAAATCCCCAGTGCTGGCACTGCCCCAGGGAACCTCGCAGTGGCTTCTGGCCTTGTTACCTGCAAGGCCAACCCGCTGGGAAGCGGTGCAGCCTGGCAGGAAGCCAGACGCTTGTATCAGACCAGCTGTGCTTCACTCTCCCTGCCCCGCACGGACGTCCACCGAGCAGGACTGGGGTGGGTGCTGAACACGATTTGTGGGACATGCCTCCTGAGCATGGGTAGCCGGCAGACAGGGTCCTCAGATCTCAGACCCCAGTGCTACCCTGGGCAGGATGCTCTGGGCAGGAGCCGCCGTTTAAGGCGGGAACCTGCCTCCAGGGCCAGCATCCCACCTGCCCCACACAGGAGGCCCTCTCTGGGCTGCAAGCACAAGCCACATTCAGATGCTGCTTTAGCGGTCAGCCTCGGCCTCGAGCTTCTCTGCCGCAGCACAGTCTGTCCCGAAGGCAGAGAACGGGGTGGAGACCCACAGGGCAAGAAAAGACTTAGCAGCCCGATTTCAGGAGACCCTAGACACTGCCTCTGAAGACACTTGTTCTCCAAGCACTGTCCCTCATCTGTAAAAAGGGATATCTGGCTTTGGAAACCATGATCCTCTGTGCAGACGAAGCCTCTGAGAATTCCCAACAGCCCCAGGAGGACATCTGTTGTGCGCAAAAGCCCATCCGTTAGGGCTCTGCCTGAGGTGTGCGGCCCTAGGACACAAAATCAGAGCGGCATCTACAGTCCTTTGGCGTCAGAGACGGCTGTCTGCATCCGAAATGTCCCGCAGGGCTTCTGTCCCAGGACCTGACATCCAGTGGGAGCCTCAGACAGCGCATCCCACCTGCCTGCTCAGGTCCCACTGCTACAGACTGAACTGTGTCCCCCAAAACCCACAGGTTAGAGCCCTAACTCCCACTATGAAGGTATTAGAAGGCAGGGCCTCCAGGAGGTGATCAGGTTCGGATGAGGTCATGAGTGCATAGCCCCCATGACGGGGTTAGTACTCCTGGAAGAGACGCCACGCAGCTCTTGCTCCCCCGGGTAAGGACGCCGCGGGGGCCCGTCTACAAGCCAGGAGGCTGCATGGCAACCAGGGACCAGCACCTTTGATCTGGGATGTCCGGCCCCTAGAACTCTGAGAAAATAAATTTCTGTTAAGTTTTTTCCCAGCACCAGTGAGGCATGGTGGGAGGAGCCTACTCGCTCACAGCCCCAGCTACTCAGGAGAGGCTGAGGTAGGAGAATTGTCTGAGGTCTGGAGTTTAAGACCAGTCTGGGCAACTTAGCGAGACCTCATTTTTTTTTTATTTGAGACGGAGTGTCACTCTGTCGCCCAGGCTGGAGTGCGGTGGCGTGATCTTGGCTCACTGCAACCTCCCCCACCCTGAGGTCCAAGCGATTCTCCTGCCTCAGCCTCCCGAGTAGCTGGGATTACAGGCGTGCGCCACCACCCCCAGCTAATTTTTGTATTTTTAGTAGAGATGGGGTTTCACCATCTTGGCCAGGCTGGTGTTGAACTCCTGACCTTGTGATCCACCTGCCTCGGCCTCCCAAAGTGCTGGGGTTACAGGTGTGAGCCACTGCGCCAGGCCAAGACCTCATTTTTGTTTTTGAGACAGAGTCACACTCTGTTGCCCACGCTGGAGTGCAGTGGCATGATCTCGGCTCACTGCAAGCTCTGCCTCCCGGGTTCACGCCATTCTCCTGCCTCAGCCTCCCGAGTAGCTGGGACTACAGGCGCCTGCCACTACACCCAGCTAATTTTTTGTATTTTTTAGTAGAGACGGGGTTTCACCGTGTTAGCCAGGAAGGTCTCCATCTCCTGACCTCGTGATCTGCCCGCCTCGGCCTCCCAAAGTGCTGGGATTACAGGCGTGAACCACCACACCCAGCCCAGCCTGCTGTTTTTTAAAGTTTCCTGGTCTGTGATGCTTTGTTACAGCAGCTAGAGCTAAGACACCCATCTTATCCCCTTCACCCCACTAGAAACTGCCTCCCAGACTGCAGCCTAGCTTCCTAGTGCAGACCAAAAACTGGCTAGCACCAAATGCAGTTACCAGAAAAACCCCCATCTCTCAACCAACCCACTAGACCGGCTCAGAAAGCCCAGGTTCCAAACTGGTCAGACCTGGGGGTTGCAGAAATGACAAACTTGGAGGGACCAGGGTGTGGCCCAGAGCTTTGACCTCCCCTGCTTCCTGTTTCTGATGCCTGGCACCTTTGGCCACAGGAAACCCCTCCCGGCTTTGGCGGGACCGCTTCACGCAGGTGTGGCAGAGCTGGGAGACGGGAAACACACCTGAGCCAGAGCCCGAGGCCTCCTTGCCAGCACACCTGGCAGCCCCCAACCTCCCAGGACCTGGTCACAGTCAATGCAGAGCCCCCACACTGACCACCATGCAGGGGGCCCCACAGGCTCCTGCCACCCACCCACCCTGCCAGGCCCCCTCCTCGGACCCCACAGCATCAGGGCCTCCGGCGAGGCTGGCCAGCATCCCCACCAGTCACACTGCAAGGGCGGCGGCAGCAAGCGGGGAGCAGAGACACACAGCGCAGTGAGCCTGGCGGCCTGCACGGCCTCTTCAGGGACCTGAAAGCTAGGAGGCTTCCATCTGGAGGCTACCGAGGCTGCGGGAGTCCCCGCAGGGAGCTTAGCACCTCCACAAGTTCCTGGTTGTTTCTGGGACGCTAGTGCCCAGACAGCTCCCACTCCATCTTTCTTGTAAGAGTTTTGACAAAGACACACGGCAGCTTCATGATAGCTCAGTTAAAAAGACCTTTTAAGTTTGGGCTGCGCACAGCGGGGGACGATCTGGCGTCCACTTCGCCCATATGGGAACCCCGCTCTGCTCCAATTGAAGGGCAAAGGCACCTACAGAAGAGCGAAGCCCCAGGTTTCAGCGGGGCCGGAGGGGACAACGGGGGTCCGGGGCCTCCCGCTCGGCCTCCCCCAGCACCCCCAGAGACCCGCAGGCCTGGGCCGCCTTCCTCCACTCTCACCTCGGCCGGCTCCACCGCAGGCGGCAGGCGGGGGTGGCTGGGGCCCTCCCGACCCGCGAGGACCCTGGGACTCGAGGTCCGACCCGCGCCTTCCCGCGAGGCCGCCGCTGACCCTCCCCGCCCCAGCCCTGGGGGGCTCCGCTCCTCGGCAGCGCCGCTCCCGGCAGCGGTGGCAGGGGACGCGCGGGGCCTGCTCCCGCCCCAAACCTGACCCGGGCCTGACCCCCACGACCTGCTCCCCCGGCTCCAAAACCTGACCCGGGCCTGGCCCCCCCAACGACCTGCCACCCCGGCCCCCAAACCTGACCCGGGCCCGGCCCCCAACGACCCTGGTCTACCAGCCCCAAACCCTGAATCTGACCCTGGCCTGACCCCCACGACCTGCTCCCCCGGCCCCAAAACCTGAACCTGATCCGGGCCTGACCCCCACGACCTGCTACCCCGGCCCCAAAACCTGACCCGGGCCTGACCCCCCCCGCCCCCGGCCCCCACCCCCCGACTCGGGCTCGCTCCCCCCGCCCCCCACAGTCACCCCGCGGCCCTGACCCGGGCCCGCCCCCCGCTCGGTGCTGGGCCCCGTCCTCACGCACGCGCCGTCCGCGCCGCGCGGCGTACCGAGGCGAGGCAGCGGCGCTCCTCAGCCGGCCTCCATGCGGCGCGGGCCCTCAACGGACGGGGCGGGCTGGGGCCGCGGGGCGGGGCGGGGCGGACGGGCCGAGGGCGCCGGCGGCCGCGTGGCATGCCGGGAAGTGTAGTCCCACGCGCCTCCTGCTTGGCCCCGGCCCGCAACTTCGGACTACACTTCCCAGGGGGTAGCGCGCGGGGCCCCCGCCCCCCCCCCCCCCCCCGGCGCTCCCGGGTCCTAAGGAACATCGGCGCGCACTCAGGAGGGAGGGTTCGAGTCCCGCCGCGGTCACGGCCTTGCGAGGCGCGCCCACGTTCTCTGGTCGCAGCTCCCAAGCTGTGAAATGGGGACAATGCTCGCACGGCGTCCACAGGATGGTTTTCAGTCGAATGATATTGAAATGTAACTGTTCTGTGAGCCGTCAGTCCCGCACGAAAGGGACAGCCGATAGTGGGACGCGAGGAGCCGAGAACACGGGATCAGGGAACGCGCTGCCATGGCCTCGGCCTGGCCCCCTTCCCTCTGGGGATCGGCCTAGTCCGTCCTCCGGGGGTCGGCCCAGAGCGGTCCCCGACCCGGGACTCATGCCTCAGCGGGACCTCGGCCTTGCCGCAGGTTGGGGCACCCCGGGAAGGTCGGGCCCCAGGGGCCCCGCGGCCAGCCTAGCGGACGGAGAACCGGGACCAGGTGGGAGTCTTAGGGCGGGCCGACCCCCGGCCTCACGGACCCGGACGCTCAGTCACTTCCGATCGTCCGGAGGCCTCCAGGGGGACCCGGCTGGCCGCAGCCACGCCGACGCTAGACTCTCGCTGTGCGTGTTCGGCCCCGAGGGCAGGGGGAGACGGCCAGGCCCCACCCGCCGCGCCCGTCCTGCCCGGGCGCCCGGCCCCCTCGCTGTACCCAGCCTCTACCGGGGCGGCCGGGACCCGGCGGCCAAGTTGCTGCGCGCTGCGGGCACCGGCGCGGACGGGGGCCCGGGCGCTTCGCCGCCGCATGCAGACGACTCGCTGCCCGCAAGCTGCTGCGCCGTCCGCCTGCCCCGCTCTCCTGCAATGGTCCGGCCGCGCATCCCGGGCCCACGACTTCCTTCCTCCTCCACGACCCCGGGTTCTTGGCTGACCTGGCGCTGGCGCTGGGCTTAGTGCAGGCGTGGGCCTGGCAATGGTTTGCCTGCGGGCTGCATGCGCGGACCCCACAGCCAGCTCCCCGAAGCTCTGCGCCCACCTCTACGGCCCTGCCCCAGCCAAAGGATCAGGTTCTTGGAGCGGGGCCTGCCCTGGGGCCAGGACTCCAGTCACCGGGGGAGGGCTGCTGTGTCTTCCTGCCAGGCACTGATGAGTTAGTTGGGGAAAGGGGCCAGGTGGGGCCAGCTGGGGAACCATTTAGAAGAGGGAGGAGGGCGCACCTCTCTACTCGAGTGCCCTAGGACTAGCTCCTCTCTGGAGCCACGGGGAGGACCTCAGTGAGGGCTGCCCCACGCAGGAACCTTCAGCGAGCCTGGAAGGCTGACCCAGCAGGCCTGGGGTTGGGGGAGTCCAACGCAGCGCCCAGGCTTGGTCTGGGTCTGCCTGAGGCCGTCCACCAGGACTCCGTGCTGGGGAGCCTGCTTCCTTCCAGGCTCCAGGAAGGGAGGCCCCGGCCCCAGCCCCAGGTTCTGAGGAGCTGCCCCGGCTCGGGTGGCCTGCAGGGGTCCCCTCAGGTCCCTGGTCCTGAGTCTGCAGGTGGTCCTCCCGGGGTGGGGCGGATGGGTGAAAATGCCTGTCCACACGGCAGCAGGCTGGGCTGGCTGCCCACTGAGCATTCTTACACAAGAGGCCCCGCCCCCTCCTACAGCTTCCTGGTCCCCAAATGGCCAGGCCTGGCCTTAGAGAGGCCTCTGTCCTCCTTGGTGAAGGACACTCACTTTGGGCCCTAGGGCCTCTGGTTCACATCCTCTCCATTGATTCTCATTGTTCGCTGCCTTTGTGGTCATTCTGCCTTTCCGACCATCTCGGCCACATCCTCACAGGAGGGCAGCGGGTGGCAGTCGCCCCGGCTCCACCTCACCCATTTCTCAGTGCTGGGCTGGTGTGGAGGGAAGATCCCTGGCCTGGGGGCTGGAGGCCTGGGTTCTCAGTCTTGGCCATCTGGGATGGGTGCAAGGTCCTCCTGGAGCCCCTCCTTCTCCATGAGAGGGACGGTTCTATCCACCTGCCAGGCCTGCTTATGCTCAGGGAGGGGGAGGGGCAGGAGGGGGCACTATTTCAAACCAACGCTGGCCCCCGGGCTGCAGAACGACCCTCTGACTCACCTGGGCAAGGTGGCCAGTTGGGGAGGGGAGAGTGTCCGAGATCCCAGCCCCCGGTGGGCAGCAGACAGTGGAGAAGCAGAACTGCCCTCCGATCCGGCTGGGGTCCCCTGCAGGGCTGCACTAGGCTGTGAGGGGCGAGAAGCAGAAAAGGGGGAGATTGAGTCCTCAGGGAGCGTGCTGGGGAAACTGAGGCAGGACCTCAGCCGCAGGCCCTGGGCCACCACCCACATCTCAGGCTGGGCTTGTCTTCTAAAGTTCTGCTCCCAAGCCTGCTTTTCTCTGGGCAGGCTCTGTCCCTTCTGCCGTGGGGGGCAGGCGGGGTTGCCTTGGGAAGAGGGTCAGGTGGAGGTGGAGGACGTGCACCTGGGGTGCCAGAGCTTTTGAGGCCCTGACGCCGGGGGGCTGGCCATGTGGATGCCCTGTTCCTGGAGCAGCCAGAGGAGGGTTTCTGGAGGTGCCCTGGGGGGAGTGAGGAGGAGTCCTAGGGAGGGTGGGGGCTCTCAGGAACAGAAACAAACTGTGTGAAGCCATTTGTGCTGGGAGGGACCGTCTTGGTCCCCGGCTGGCTTTGTCCTCAAGGGGTGGACCTTGAGGAAGGGCCAAGTCCCATTCGGAGCAGAGTGACAGATCCCACAGAAGCAGGCGTTGGGGCAAGGGGAGGGAGGGAGCCCTATGGGGGAAGGCGGTTGGGGCCGGTTCAGCCCTGACCCAGTGCCAAGGGTGAGCGCCACCCTTTCAGGCCTCTGCCCGCCTGCCTCTAGGAACGTGGCACAGCTGGCAAGGACACAGCCAGAGGAACAGGTCTGGGGATAAGGTGGTGATGTTACCTGGGAGAGGTGGGAGCCAGCGTCTCACTGTAGGACGGACACCAGCTCCCCAGCACGGGCCGCGCAGAGGGAGGGCCAGCTCCAGCACAGGGCAGGGTGCTCACTTGAGGCATGAACCTCTTTCCAGACAGGAGTTGGTTTCATACCTCCTGCCAGGCTGAGGCGCACAGGCGGGGGATGGGCAGTGTGGCTGCTGCCCATGGCCCTGGTCACATTGAAGTCTCCAGGTGGCTCCACCTGAGGCCTCCTGTGTCCCCCGGCTCAGCTCAAGCCCCACCTCGGCCTAGACGTTTTCTGGGCAGCGACAGCTCCTCTCACAAGCTGGGAGGCAGGGCCTGCGGGACTCAGCACCACGCAGACCGGCTGCCCCCAAGGACTACTGGACGTCTCCCTACCTGAGCCGAGCCATGCGGGATGCCGGGTGGCTGCTGGGGCAGGGAGGACAGGTGCAGGTGGGCGGGGTGCATGTGTGAGGGTGAGGAGGGTCCCCAGCCCCAGCTGGCGAGCAGCAAGGACGCCCATGGCAAACGCTACCTCTGGAGGCCGCCATCCCTCGGGTCTCCTCAGCTGCCATGTCCTGCCCACCCTCACCACTGAGCTGGTCTGTGGGTGCAGCACCAAGGTGATGCTGTCAAGGCCCAGGGCTCAGCCCTCCCTGCACAACCAGGCTGGCCTGGGCCGGGATCTGTGACACCGGGTCCCTCTCCTGGACGTGGGAATGCTGGGCACATGGGCATGCAGGCTGGGGAGGTGTCCTGACTTAGGTGAGCGTGAAGAACTGCTACTTTCTTTTTTTTTTTTTTGAGACGGAGTCTCGCTGTCGCCCATGCTGCTGGAGTAGAGTGGTGTGATCTCGGCTCACTGCAACCTCCGCCTTCTGGGTTCCAGCGATTCTCCTGCCTCAGCCTCCTGAGTAGCTGGGATTACAGGTGCGCGCCACCACGCCCAGCTAATTTTTGTATTTTTAGTAGAGACGGTGTCACCATGTTGGCCAGGCTGGTCTCAAACTCCTGACTTCATGATCTGCCCACCTTGGCCTCCCAAAGTGCTGGGATTACAGGTGTGAGCCACCGCGCCCGGCCGAACTGTGCCTTTTATTTTCTGCTTTGTTGCTTTGACCTCTGAGGCCTTGCTGGCCCTGGTGAGACTGCCTCTCCTAGGGCCCACCGATTTGTCAGCAAACAACTTCCTGTGCAAGCTCCTGAGTCCAGGGCCCACACCCCCTCCAGGCCTCCTCTGTGGGCTCTCACAGCCTAGGCCCTGTCCCCCTGCTCTTGTCACCCTGGGCTATGTACCCGACAGCCAGGGACAGCCCCTGCCCAGCACCCACCAGGGTGTCCACTCTGGAGTCCCGAGCCTGTGGCCCCACCCTGCCCATCCTTTGGTGGAACCACAGTGAAGGCTCTGCCCATGCTTCCCCCCACTGCCTGTGTCTGCGACGACCCCAGTGCCCTCCCGCGTGGCCCTGGGTGGCACGGGGTGCCCCTCCTTTGGGGATCTGAGTAGATTTTAAATTTTTTTTAGAGACAGGGTCTCGCGGTGTCGCCCAGGCTGGAGTGCAGTCGTGCAATCACAGCTCACTGCAGCCTCGAATCCCGTCCTCAAGCGATCCTCCCACCTCAGCCTCCCAAAGCACTGGGATGACAGGCGTACGCCCTGGCGCCTGGCCCAGCTCTTTTAATGGCAAGAGGCTTCGCCAGCCCAGAAGAGTATAAAAACCTCCGTTTTAACGTGGAGGGCGGGAGGCACCCTCCAGCTTGTGTCCCTGTGTGTCTCACGCCAGGCCCTGGCTGTGGGGGCCACACCCTGGATAGACCCTTCCTCTTGACTCCTGGGAACCTGGGGAGCCCAGGCCTGCCCGCTCAGGACTGCTCCAGGAGGGGCCTGGCGATGGGGCTCCCAGGAAGCCCAGGCCAGGTGGCAGGTGGGCCCGCTCTGATCTCAGCCGAGCCCACCCTTGCAATTAGTGGCCTACACCCCCAACCCCACTCCAGCCCCCATGGGGTTCTGGCCCAGCTGCCCAGCCACCTGTCTTCAAGGAGCCTCTGTTCAGACTCTCAGGGTCACCTGCCGGGGTCTACAGGGCATGTGGTTCCATGGTGCACCCACGGGACCAGCCTTGTTCCATGGAGTCCTGGGCCCAGCAAAGGCACCTGCTCAGGATCTCTGTGTTGTTTTGAGCATCCCAGACCACACTGAGGGCGCCTCCTCCAGGAAGCCTTCCTGGATCCCGCCAGCTCTCTGTTCTCCTAGAGGGTGCCTCACACTCCCCCTCCTCGCTCCCCTGCAGGAGCAGGAAGACTAAGGGGGTCGTGCATTCGTCTCCCAAGCCTGTGTGCCCCAGGGCTTCAGGCCACAGCTGAATCGCCTCCGTGCCCACAGCCTGAGTCCAGGGCATGTCCTGCTCCAAGTATGACACTCACTGTGGGTGCAGAGGGGCCCCTTGTCACGCTTCTGAAGGCAGCCCCTGCCCCACGTCCTGCAGCACCCCCACGCATGGTGCCGAGTCAGGGGACGGGCGTGGAGGGAGGCGAAGTCCCCGGCGGAGCACAGGTGATTATCAGAATAATATTTATTGATATGCTCGGTGCTACCTTGTTAATTCTGCATGACATGGTCTCCATGGCTGAGGTATTTGGGGTGGGACCAGCCGGGTGCCGGCCGGGGCTCCCACAGGAAGCCATGTGGCCTCAGCCGCGGCGGGGGGCCCGGGTGGGGGACGTGGTTATTGCGTTGGGCCCCTTCACTCCTCATACATGGGCCACGCGCTGGCGTGCACTCACGCACTCGCCCGCCTGCTCACACTCACACACTCCCACTCAAGCTGGCACCACACCCTCTGTGCACACGCACACACGTGCACACTCGTACATACACACCCGCTCGCTCACGCTCACCTCTGCTCATGCCCGTTCACACACACACCATCCTGCTTTAAACCCATCCTGTCTCCTGATGATAAATATGCTTGTTCGGTACAGCAGTCTTAGTAAAATAAAATGTCTGTCAGGCGACAAGGAGAAAGTGCACGTTGACCTTTGACCCGAGGGTGGACCTCGGTCCCTCCCACCCGAGGGCATCAGGTCCCTGCAGGGGGTGACCCCTGAGCATGTGACCCCATGGGCGTGGCCACCCCACTGGTGGGACTGGCCCCACCTTCCTCTTCCCTGGCTCTGGGCTGGGGGAGCTGGGCTGGGGGAGTTGGGCTGTCTCGCCACAGCCCGGGGCCAGGACGAAACGGACTAAAAAAATAAACTCTTCACCTCAGGGCCCCCACCCACGGCTGGGCACCTGATGCAGGAGCATGGGAAGCGGGCTTCAGCCTTCCTGGCCACCGGCTCCACTGGGCCACCTTTCCCCACCCCAGCCAGTGCCTGGCGATGCCGTCCGGGCGGGTTCCCCTGTCGAGCACGTGGGGGCGAAGGCCCCAGGCATGCGGACAGAGGTTGGGGATGCGCGCAGTGCGGGCGAAGCACAGGCCACGTCCACGCAGGGCTGGTGTCCACCGGGAGGCTGGCCAGGCCACACGACACAGGCAGAGGGGCTCTCGGCGGCCTGGACGGTGCCATCCCTCAAAACTCCACAGTACTCACGACCGTTCTCGGCTCGTCGAAGGTGGCGATGAGGATCTGCTGTGGGGCAGGGATGGCGATGAGGTCCCCCACGTCCTGCGGCAGGCGGGGGCCCCCGTCCTCCTCCTCCCGGGCCTCGTACAGCGTGTTGATGTGCAGCAGCGGGTGTGTGGCGTTTCGGCTCAGGATGGTGAGGGGCTCCGCCTTGCCCAGGCTGGCTGGTGTCAGAGGGGCCACAGCAGGGGCGGCGGGAGGTGAGCGGACGTGGAACGGGCCCCCCGAGGGAAGCCCTGCCCGGGCTGGCTCTGTGGGGTACGGGATTTCCTTCTCGGGGAGCGGAGCATCTGCAAACAGCCAAGAGCACAGACATCTCACACCATCCTCCGCTGCGCCGCCCCCAGCGCCCACCCAGTGCAGGCTGGCGGGGGAGCAGGGCTCACGGCTCTGAAGCGCCCTGGAGACGCTGGGCCTGGACGCCCCTGCACACAGCAGTTGGCCTGGGAACACCCCCCGCCCCACTGTCCCGGAGCCGCAGTGCCGTCGGTGGAATTTCCTCACCCGAGGAACTTGGCTGCACCACGCACGCGGAGCTCTAGGAAGCTGACCAGGAGCACGTCGCTTCCAGCCTGCATCTTCCCCACCTGCCTCCCGGGGGGGTCTCCAGGGCCCTGCCTGGCCTGAGGCTCACCTTGACAGTAAGTCCGTTTGATGGAGCCGGTTCAAACCTCGGCCTCCT
Source organism: Homo sapiens (assembly GCF_000001405.40). Taxonomy (NCBI): domain Eukaryota; kingdom Metazoa; phylum Chordata; class Mammalia; order Primates; family Hominidae; genus Homo; species Homo sapiens. The sequence goes on along the minus strand of NC_000022.11, from coordinate 50,178,541 downwards.
CCCTTCCCCCTTTGAGGGGGCCTCAAGCCAGGCCCCCTCCCTTCCCTAGCGCCCTGGCCAGGCTCCCGTGGGCCGCTGTGGCTGTGGGCGCCTCTCCCACCCCCAGTCCCCCGTCCCCTCTCTCCGGCCCTGCCCCTACCTTTGATGGGCGCCGGGGCCAGGCCTAGCCCACAGTCCTCCGCCTGGGACAGGAAGCCCCCCTCCTGGCTCCGGGAGGCGGGCAGGGCGGCGGGCACCGCCTCGGCCTTGGCCTTCTTGGTGCCGAGGATGTAGGGGTGCACGTCCAGGGAGAAGTGGCGCGCGTGCTTCTTGTCAGGGGCGGGCGGCGGGGCGGGGGCAGGGGCGGGGCCGGGGCCCGGGTCGCCCCCTCCGCCCTTGTAGTGGTGGGCGGAGCGGTCCAGCAGCGGCGCGATCAGCGTGTCCGTGGCCGTCTTCCTGCGCGCGGGCTTCGGCTTCTCCGCCTTGCTGTTCTCCACGCGCATGATGGCCAGCGGCTCCTTGAAGGGCTGCGGAAGCGGGTTGCTGGTGGGGATCCACTTCATCTTCTTGCGCGGCCGCTTGACCACGGGCGGCTCGGCGGCGCCGTCGGGCTCGGCGGGGTTGGCGCTGGGGTCCACGGTCTGCACCCCCGAGTCGCGCACCGTGGGGGTGGCGTCGTGGTTGGACTGCGCCAGCGCCGCCAGCAGCTGCCGGACCACGTTGTCGTACATGAGGTCGCTCTCGTTGGTGATGAAGTCCAGCCGGTTGAGCGACTTGATGTGGTCGCGGTTCTCGTTGCAGAACATGGCCAGGATGTTGATGTCGCAGAACTGCGAGCGGCGCCACTGCCGGCGCGTCTTGATGCCCACCTTGTGCAGCTTGTCGAAGATGAAGTTGCTCTTGCGGAAGATGAAGAGGTGGATGAGGTTGACGAGGATGATGAGGTTCATGACGCACAGCAGCACGATGTCCACGCCCGCGATGATGCGCTGCAGTTGCACGGACGGGAGCTTGCAGCTCACGCGCACCGCGGGCCCCGCACCTGCCGCCCCGTCCGGGGACGCGCCCAGCGCGCAGGTGAACTCGTTCTGCTTCTGCGTGGCGTAGTAGGTGCACAGGTAGGAGATGGGCACGGCGCTCAGCAGCAGGATCAGCACGTGCCGCGCCAGGTACAGCTTGGCCAGGAAGTTGCTGCGGCCGCGGCGCTCCAGGTACTTCTCGAACAGGTTCTGCTCCGGGCTCTTCTCCTTCTCCGCGTTCTCGATGATCTCGCGCTTCTCGCGCTCCGTGATGCCCGGGCCCTTGGACTGGATCTGCTTCTCGATCTTGGGCGCGCGGCCCTCGGCCGCCCGGTGGTAACAGTTGTCGATCTCCTGCAGCAGGAAGTTGAGCTCGGAGGTGAGGCGCGTGGAGGCCAGGAACTCCCAGCCCAGCGCGGGCACGTACATGATGGCGGCGAAGGCCAGCAGCGCGTAGGGCAGGAACTTGTGCTCAAACAGCGACGGCCACAGGCTGGCGTCCACGCCGGGCAGCGCGTCCCGCAGCTCCGTCCAGCAGTAGCCGCGGGCGTACAGCGCCTGGTCGCGCGTGAAGTTGTGCGGGGTGTAACAGTAAATGGGTTCCTCTGGGGGCAAAGAGGAGACACGGGCTGGGGCGGGGAGGCGCACGGGCTGGGCTGAAGAAACCGGGCTGGACCTGACCGCGTCCCTGCCGAACCCCTCCCAGGAGCCTCTCCAGCCTCCTCCCACACAGCACCTGCGGTTGCCCAGATGAACCCCACCCCCTCCCCCCACCACGGTGGTGTGGGGGTCCCGCCCTGACTACCCCCACGAGGTCAGCTGCGGGGCACCTGCAGGTGGAAGCCATGACCGCCTGCGAAACCACCTGAGCCATGCGCCTCTCCAAATGTCACAAAGCCCTGTGTGCACAAGGGGAAACCAAATCCCAGAGAGGGCCAAGGCAGGCCAGGACTCCCAGCCAGGGTCCTTCTTCTATCCACACACAGCCGGACCCAAACCAGGTCCCAGCCACAGGCCGTGTACAGCCCGGGCTCCCCTGGGAGGAAGGCGGTTGGCTCAGGTGCTGCTAGCTGGCAGGGTGGTTTCCACAGCACCGGGAAGGCAGGGTGGGCTCTGCCCACCCTTGAGGGTGAGGGGCGCCTCCCTAAGACCCACTGTTCTGGGGACTGGCCAGCCTGGGGACACCAGACACCAGGTGGGGCTGGTTGGGGATGTCACCAGCTGGACTGCGGTATCTGCCGCTAAAATTGAAAAGAGGGAGTCCCTTGAACTGCAGGCAAATGGTCGTTACTGAACTCTGTGTTTTCCCTCAAGAGTCTGTCTCTGCCTGCAGGTGACAATGACACGAACGGCAGTGAAAGTGTTCAGGACATTCGCGCCTTGGCCCAGTGTGGGGTCTGAGCGGCTGGGATCTTGCTAACGTTTCCCAGGAAGGCTCAGAGCCTGGGGGCCTCCAGCCACCGTGCAGTCTCTTCAGGCTGAGCCCTTCACACAGCACAGGCGCGGAGGCCCACACCAGCCTCAGCCTTGTCTCCCAGCCCCAAAGAGCAGCCCCAGGGCAGGGCCCACATCAGCACAATCCCCTCCCCACAGACCAGAAGCAACAGGGACAGGCCTGTCCGTCTGTGCCGAGGCCTGAATTAGGGACGGAAAGCGAGGCGGATTAGAGACTCTGTCCACTCTGGGAAGAGCAGCATTCACTGTTGATGCCCCACAGGGGCCCAGGGGCTGGGCACCTCCAGCCCTGAACCCGGCTCAGCAACGAGCCCCTCAGACCCCACACGGAGCTCCCGGCTGCCATCATCACCACTGAGGCACATCTACCAGTCCAGACAGCCTGCTCAGGGAGGGTTCCCATGAGTCATCAGATCCCCCTGAGGGTCCTGGGGACTCTGGAGGGTTTGGGAGGGAGCCTGGGAAGAGGCAGGAAAAGCTGGGACCTGAGGCCCGAGTCCTCGGTGGGGACATCGAGCTGGAGATGAGCTGGGCTCAGAGAAGAGCAAACCGGACAAGGCAAAGGAATCCACTCTCTTGGTTGAGAAAATGGCATATTTTATTTACTTATGTTTTGTCCTCACAGCCAATCCCAGGAGCCAGAGAAGAGCGTCCACCCTGGGGAAGAGAACAGGGACAGGTTTGTGTCCCGTCCTGAGCTGGGCCCATCCCTGGCAGCCACCCTTGCTGGGCATGTGTGGCCAACATGGGTGGGGAGAGGCCCCAGAACCCTGGACCCAGACTCCAGTAGGGCCGCAGGGAGATGGGAAGGAGGGCTCCTTGGCTCTGGGGCAGGGGGCGGCCTGGCCTCCTCCAAGGTGGATGAAAGCAGGGGCCCCACACCGAGCCACGTGTCTGGCGAGCTGCCCCCACTGTGCGGAGCCCCACTTGGACCCGAACTCCTCATGCCTGTCACTGTCTCCCTGCCGGATGGCGGCAGCAAGGGGAAGCCAAGTCCTGCTTGCCACTCCGACCTCAGTTTCCTCATCTGCTCCACCAAGGATACTGCCTTGACTCACTGCAGGTGACCGGCCCGGCCCTTTGGGGGCCCCAAGGCATGTCCAGCAAGGCTTCCCTCCTCCCTGGACCCGCTGCACCTGCAGGGTACAGGGTGCTCCTGGCAGCCTCAGCAGGTCCTGACGGACTCAAAGCTGTGCTGGCAGCCGGGCCTTTCCCGGTGGATGCTGCCACAGCTTCTAGCAGGGGCTGCCAGGGCCGGGGGTGCTGGCCTGACTCGGGGTGGGGCAGCAGAGAGGGGCTGCTGAGCCCAAATCCACGGGCCCATCCCACACGCAGCGACTGCTACGGGTCCTCTGTCCGAGGCCCTCCTCTGGGACTTCCCAGGGACAGTGGGACCCTGCCTGGGCCAGTGCAGGTGTCCAAACGGAAGGCAGGAAGGCCTGGCCCATCCAACAGGGCAGACAGAGCCGCCGCCAGGGGCCCGTTTCTTGGAAGACATTGCTGTGTGGATCCTGGCCATGCCAGCTATGCCCCGAGAGGACACTGGCTTCCCAGCCAAGGAGCCTGTCCACACCCAGCCCTCAGAGCCCCAGTGACAATATCAGAGTTGGCAGCCAGGGGCCTGGTGCTGCTTGGAGCACCTCTGAGCGGGTGTCTGAATACACCCCAACACGGCCCATATTCCCATATTCAGAATGCCGTCCCCAGGACCCGAGGCTAAAGCCCAGCCCCCCCGGCCCTCCCCCAGTCCTGCCCTTCTTCGGTTCTGCCATCCCCAAGCTCATCTCCAGCCCACCCCTGCGATCTGGCCTGCACATGGCCCCAAGGTGCCCCCCAAGGGTGAAGCTGGGTCCCTCCCAACAGCCCTTTCCACCCCTGTCCTCCCACCTGGGGAGTGGGGACACCTCTCCAGGACACCCCTGGCTCTGCGCAGCCTCCTCCTGCCTGCTGGCCAAACCCTGTCTGGTCACCCCAGACCACTGCCACATCCTGGAAGCCCTCAGCCGAGGCCAGGCCCTGGCCCTTCCCCGACTCCCCTGGCCTTACAGACCTCCACATGGGGTCTGCAGTGAGCAGAATCATGGCCCCCAAAGATGCCACATCCCAACCCCGGAGCCTGTGGCGGTGTCACGTTTCCCGGTTCACGAGGACTTTGCAGACATGCCTAGGCTGGGGGTCTTGGTGGGCAGCAATTGCAGGGTTCTTCTAAGAGGGTCAGAGTCAGGGAGGAGATGTGAGGACAGAAGTGGGGCTGGGAGAGAGAACGCCACGCAGCCGGCTCTGAGGACGCAGGAAGGGCTGCAAGGCCAGGAATGTGGAGGCCTCTGGAGGCCGGAGAAGGCAGAAAGTGGGTTCCCCCTTGGAGCCAGCCCTGCTGACACCTTCGTTTTAGCCCCATGAGACTCGCATCTGGCTTCTGACTTGTAGGTTTGTTCCAGCAGCCACAGGAAGCTAATCCTGGCGGTGGCTGCGCACCTGCTACATTCTCCACTCTCTGCAGGCTGAGGGGGGCCGAGACCCTTCCCCAGCCCACCTTGGAGACCCTGGGACTTGGCCCCCAACCTTCGAGGGTACTGCATCCTGAGACAGCAGCTGGCCACACGGGCCCTCAGGCCCAACCCTGCCCTGCGGCATCAGGGGCTGCGCTCGGCCCTCCAAGGATGATGAAGCCAAAAAGAGGAACCAGCCCATAGGCTCCTGGGAGGGTGCTCGGGGGCAGAGCGCTCGCTTCCTTTCCGCTTTAAAGAAGAAAGTTGGGCCGGGTGCGGTGGCTCATGCCTGTAATCCCAGCAATTTGGGAGGCCGAGGCGGGCGGATCACCTGAGATCAGGAGATCGAGACCAGCCTGGCCAACATGGCAAAACCCCGTCTCTACTAAAAATACAAAAAATGGGTCAGGCACGGTGGCTCAACGCCTGTAATCCCAGCACTTTGGGAGGCCAAGGTGGGCGGATCACGAGGTCAGGAGATCGAGACCATCCTGGCCAACATGGCAAAACCCCGTCTCTACTAAAAATACAAAAAATTAGCCGGGCATGGTGGCGGGCGCCTGTAGTCCCAGCTACTTGGGAGGCTGAGGCAGGAGAATGGTGTGAACCCAGGAGGCGAAGCTTGCAGTGAGCAGAGATCGCGCCACTATACTCCAGCCTGGGTGACAGAGCGAGACTCTGTCTCAAAAAAAAAAAAAAAAAAATGAGCCAGGCGTGGTGGCGGGTGCCTGTAGTCCCAGCTACTTGGGAAGCTGAAGCAGGAGAATCGCTTGAACCCGGGAGGCAAAGGTCGCAGTGAGCCGACATCGCACCACTGCACTCCAGCCTGGGTGACAGAGCGAGACTTTGTCTCAAAAAATAAAAATAAAAAAAGCGGGGGGGTGGTGAAGAAGAGAAAAGGGCACAGTGGCTCACGCCTGTAGTCCCAGCACTTTGGGAAGCTGAGATGGGAGGATCACTTGAGCCCAGGAGTTTGAGACCAGCCTGGGGAACATGGCACAAAAATTAGCTGGGTGTGGTGTGGGATGCCTGTGGTCCCTGCTACTGGGGGCTCGGGGCTGAGGCAGGAAGAACACCTGAGCCCGAGAGGTGGAGGTTGCAGATCGCACCACCGCACTCCAGCCTGGGCGACATACCAAGACTCTGTCTCAAAAAAAAAGGAAATTTGGACACAGACAGGGAGGGAAGAAGCCCATGAGAAGACAGAGGCAGAGACTGGTGGCACGGCCACGAGCCAAGGCGCCCAAGGATTGCCGGCAGCACCAGAGGCTGAAGAGGCTGGAATGTCCCTTTCCTAGAGCTGTGGGAGGGAGCAGGGCCCTGCCGACACCTCGATTTTGGACTTTTGGCCTCCGGAACCATGAGAGATAAATGTCTGCTGTTTGAAACTGCCTAGTTTGCGGTACTTGGTTGCTACAAACACAGAGAACACACGTGGTGTCTGGACATGCTGGGCCTGCCCCAAGGCCCCACCGCACGCCTGGGCTCCCTGCTCTGCAGAGTGTGCTGTGTGCCCACCCCAGGGGTCCTCTAATCCCCGGGGTCTGGCCTCCAGTGTCGAAGAGGAGACCAGCAGAGGCCTCCTCCACCCCTGGGTGGGATCAGACAGCCTGGCCAATGTCCACCCTCAGGCCTGGTGTCTCCAGGCCACGGGGACTCCTTAAGGCAAGGCATCTGGGAGATTTGGGAAGCGCCAGTGCTGAGGCAGGGTCTGCTGAGGTTTGGAGGCTGCAGAAGAGAGGGCCCCAGGGTCCCAACACCCCTCCCCGCTGCAGACTAGTACCTCTGGGCCACACAGGCCAGGAGACCCTGATCCCCCTTGCCTTGGCCCAGACCCCAGGGGAGGAAGTTCTCGGCTCCACCTGTCTCGCCCCACTCCTTGGGGAGGGCAGAGGCACCAGGACCCCACCCCGCAGAGGCTCACAGGCAGGCTGGCTGCTCTGTCCATCTTCCTGCCTCGCCTGGGTGGCTTCAAGTGCCCCCACAGGTCCTGATCTAACCAGCGCGGGTCCCTGCCCTGGTCCAGCCCCCATCTCCCTGCAGGAGCTCCAGGCTCCCTGCTCTGACACGTGGCCCTGCCCCATGCTAGCCCCCCTGCTTCAAACCTTCGGAGGCCCCCAGTGCACCCGGAGAGGCCTCGCCCTGCCTGAGGGGTGGAGGGCCTGGGCCTCTCAGAGACTCTCTCTGCCCTCCTTCCACCCAAGTCCAGCCTGGGAACCCTGCCCGGCAGCTCCACCAGCCCCTGTAATCAGCTCTCTGCTGTCAACACCCATCCCGGCCTTTCCTGGTCCCCACCTGGCCACCCTGCATCCCCTCAGGCGCTGCTTGTGACATTCTCCAAACCAGACCCCGTGTCTCATGACATTTGGGACCCCTGGGTCCAGACAGGCCTAGTCCCACCCGCGGCCATGGGCGGACGAATGGAAGGAAGAACAACAATAAAATAGAGACGAGGGGTCTGTGCGACCAGCGACACCTGCTAGGATGGGGGCGGCTGTGGAAGGTGCCTGGGACGCCGCGGACGCAGCCAGGCCACGGTGGGCGCGGCTGGACGGAGCCGCCGGGGACGCGGGAAGCGCCAGCTCCCGGACACCTGCGGACGCCCCCTCTGCCCGCGCCCCGCGCCCCGGCCGCCGGCCTCACCTGCGAAGTTCTTGGTGAAGACCAGGGTGACCAGCAGGATGGGCACCAGCACGGTGCCGATGGTGACCACCCGGTCGAACGGCAGCTCCAGCTTCAGCTGCAGAAGCAGCGCGGCCAGCGCGCCCGCCTTGTCGTCCTGCGCGCCCGGCAGGATCAGCTCCCGCAGCTTCTCTCCCGCCAGCAGCGCGGTCGCCATGTCCGCCGACTGCTCCAGGAGGTGGTGCATGGGGGGCGGGGGGCGCGGCCCGGCGGGGGGCGCGGGCGGGGCGGGGGGCGCGGGGCGGGGCCCGGCGAGGGGGGCGCGGGCGGGAGGGGACGCGCGGCGCGGGGGCGGGGATCGGGGAGCGTGGGGGCGCGGGACGGGGACGGGGCCGCGGGCCGCGGGAGAGGGTGGCAGGGGACGCCGGGACCGAGCGGGGGGCTCCGGGGGATGGGAGTAGCCGGAGGCGCGCGGCGGGTGCGGGGCTGGCCGGGCGCGGAGCCCGCAGCGGGGTTTGGGGGGCGCTCCGCCGCCGCCCCCGGGGTCAGGGGGCGGGCGGGCCGGGCCGGGGCGGCGGCGGGGGGCACCGGAGCCGCCCGCCTCCGCCGCAGCCCGGCCCCCGCCCTGGCGCGTGCCTCCGGCGGGGGCGGCGGCGGGATCCCGGCCCGGAGCGCGGGCGGCGGCTGCTGTCCCTGCCTGGGGCCGGCGGCCCCGCTCCCGCCGCGGGGAGGGGGCTGTTTACCTGCGGCGACTCCGCGGCGTGGCTCCGCCCCACCCCGCCCCCCGCCACGCAGATGCGGCGCGGGCGATGACTTTGCAGAAAATATTGAAATGAAATGAAAGGACATGAATGAGTAATGACCGGTCCCTCTTCCTGGGAACGCGGGGTGGCTGGCGGGGGGCTGCCCCGGCCCGCGGGAGGGTGGGCAGGGGTGGGGGCGGCCCTGCGGGGCTCCGGGCTGGGGCGGGGGCGCCGCTCGGTGGCGACGTGAGGACTGGGCGCGCGCTGGGGCTGCCCCCGTCGCATCGCAGGGCCCTTCGCCCAGCCCAGGGCGCAGAGGGGGCTTCCTCGCCTGGGCCCCCCACCTGCCCCGGCCGCGCCCCGCTGTGGGTCCGGAGGTTCCCGCGCTCCTGGGGTGCTGCGGCCACTGGCGGGGAAGCCGGCGCTCTCTTCTCTGGGCTCGGGCGCCAGTGCGCGGGCAATGAGGGCATCTCCCCGCCCCACACCCTCCACTGCAGCCCCGGCCCCACCCGACCCCCCCACCCAGTACCCCCAGTCCCGCCGCCGTGAGTGACCCCATCACCCCCGCTCCTGCAGCCCGCACCTCCTTCCCCCACGCCCCATCCCGTCCCCTGTTCCACAGACGTTCCCGGGGCCTGTGCCAGCTCAGGGGGTCCCCGCCGCCTCCCTGACCTTCATTCCCTCCGCTCCCCACAGCCCCGCCCTCCGTCCTGTTCTCCCTCGGGGAGCCGGGGGTCTGGCTTCAGACGCGGGCGCATCCCGCGTGGTCCCTGCCTCTTCGAGGCAGCCGTTTTCCCTCGTGCAGGTCCCCTTCCCACTATACCAGGACGAACGTGCACGATCTTTCATATAAAAGATTTAGTGTGATTGGAGTTTTAAGTTCATTCAATAATTCATTCCAAAAATGTATTTTGAGCCCGTGTTCACAGGCCCGGCCACTGCTGTGAGCAAACCAGGAGGTCCCCCTGCCTCCCTGGGCTGCGTAGGGGATGTGTCTGCTTTGAGCTTTCACGCCGTCTGCGTTTTTAAAGATCCTTGCATGTTTTCTGAGGGATGCCAGCCCCTGACTTCCAGCAAACTTCATCCTGAGGCAGGCAGTTCAGCTACATCCAATCCCAGCACCCAACCACCCAGTCACCCCAGATAAACCCAGTCACCCCAAATAACCCAGGCACCTCCAGATAAATCAGCCCTGGCAGATAACCCAGTCACCCTGACAACCCAGGCACCCCAGATAAACCAACTCACCCCCCGATAACAGTCACCCCTACCAGATAACCCAGTCACTGCCAGATAAACCAGTCACCTCCCAAATAACCCAGTCACCTCTCACATAACCTATTCACCCCAGATAACCCAGTCACTGCCAGATAAACCAATCACCCCAAATAACCCAGGCACCCCTCACATAATCTATTCACCCCAGATAACCCAGTCACTGCCAGATAAACCAGTCACCTCCCAAATAACCCGGGCACCCCTCACATAACCTATTCACCCCAGATAACCCAGTCACTGCCAGATAAACCAATCACCCCAAATAACCCGGGCACCCCTCACATAATCTATTCACCCCAGATAACCCAGTCACTGCCAGATAAACCAGTCACCTCCCAAATAACCCGGTCACCTCTCACATAACCTATTCACCCGATAACTCAGTCACTGCCAGATAAACCAGTCACCTCCCAAATAACCCAGTCACCTCTCACATAACCTATTCACCCCAGATAACCCAGTCACTGCCAGATAAACCAGTCACCTCCCAAATAACCCAGTCACCTCTCACATAACCTATTCAACCCAGATAACCCAGTCACTGCCAGATAAACCAGTCACCTCCCAAATAACCCAGTCACCTCTCACATAACCTTTCACCCCAGATAACCCAGTCACTGCCAGATAAACAATCACCCCAAATAACCCGGGCACCCCTCACATAACCTATTCACCCCAGATAACCCAGTCACTGCCAGATAAACCAATCACCCCAAATAACCCGGGCACCCCTCACATAACCTATTCACCCCAGATAACCCAGTCACTGCCAGATAAACCAGTCACCCCAAATAACCCAGTCACCTCTCACATAACCTATTCACCCGATAACTCAGTCACCCCCAGATAACTCAGTCATCCCAGATAAAATCATCATCCCCAAATAACCAAGTCACCCTTCAGGTAACCAGATAAACCAGTCATCTCCTAGATAACCGAGGCACCCCTCAGATAACCCATCCCGTATAACCCAGTCACCCCCAGATAACCATCACCCCAGAGAACCCAGCCACCCCTCACATAACCAAGTCACCCCCCCTCCCCGACAACTCAGTCACTCCCAGATAACCCAGTGCAGTGAGTTCCAGCCCCTCCGAGCGACCCGAGTGTGGCTGCTGGGTGGCTGCCTTTGTTTTCCAGATGCACTTTCTGCTTTCGCATGGGTGCCTCTCCATGCTTTCCAGAAGTGCTCGGCCAGTCCATGCTCTCACCATCCCTGTCTTCTTTCCAGCTCTCAGCCCTATCCACCTTCTAGTATCTGCCATTCTCGGGGGGAAGGGGGGGCGGGTGTAGCTTCCAGGTGCTTTGAGTTTATCTCTAGCGGTTTGTGTGCACGCTCTCTTCAAACCCTGAGCACTGCATCACTGGTCAGAGCTCACTGTAACCCTGAACTCCTGGGCTCAAGCAATCCCCCCACCTTGACCCCCCAAGTAGCTGGCATTATAGATGCACGCCACCATGCCCAGCTTTTTAAAATTGTTACTATTATTATTATTTTTTTGAGACAGAGTCTTGCTCTGTTGCCCAGGCTGGAGTGCAGTGGCGCGATCTCGGCTCACTGCAAGCTCCACCCCCCGGGTTCACACAATTCTCCTGCCTCAGCCTCCCAAGTAGCTGGGACTACAGGCACCTGCCACCACGCCCAGCTAATTTTTTGTATTTTGTTTTTAGTAGAGACGGGGTTTCACCGTGTTAGCCAGGATGGTCTCGATCTCCTGACCTCATGATCTGCCCACCTCAGCCTCCCAAAGTGCTGGGATTACAGGCATGAGCCACCACACCCAGCAATTTTTACTATTATCTTTTGAGACAAGGTCTCACTCTGTTGCCCAACCTGGAGTGCAGCGGTGGGATCTTGGCTTACTGCATCCTCCATCTCCTGGGCTCAAGGGATCCTCCCACCTCAGCCTCCTGAGTAGCTGGGACTGCAGACATGCACCACCACACCTGGCTAATTTTTTTGAGAGATGGGGTTTCGCCATGTTGCCTAGGTTGGTCTCGAATTCCTGGGCTCAAGTGATCCTCCTGCCTCAGCCTCCCAAAGTGTTGGGATTACAGGCATAAGCCACTGCACCTGGCCTTAAAATTTTTTTATCTGTAGAAACGGGGTCTCACTATATTGCCCAGGATGGTCTCAAACTCCTGATCCCCCCACCCCCACCCAACCCAGCCTTGGCCTCCCACAGTGCTGGGATTGCAGGCATGGGATTACAGGTGTGAGCCACGCTGGGACTGCAGGCATGAGCCATGCTGGGATTGCAGGCGTGAGCCACGCTGGGATTGCAGGCGTGAGCCACGCTGGGATTGCAGGCGTGAGCCACGCTGGGATTGCAGGTGTGAGCCACGCTGGGATTGCAGGCTTGAGCCACGCTGGGATTGGAGACGTGGGCCACGCTGGGATTGGAGACGTGGGCCACGCTGGGATTGGAGACGTGGGCCACGCTGGGACTGGAGACGTGGGCCACGCTGGGATTGCAGGCTTGAGCCACGCTGGGACTGGAGATGTGGGCCACGCTGGGACTGCAGGCGTGGGCCACGCTGGGACTGCAGGCGTGGGCCACGCTGGGACTGCAGGCGTGAGCCACGCTGGGATTGCAGGCGTGGGCCACGCTGGGATTGCAGGCTTGAGCCACGCTGGGATTGCAGGCTTGAGCCACGCTGGGATCGGAGACGTGGGCCACGCTGGGATTGGAGATGTGGGCCACGCTGGGATTGCAGGCTTGAGCCACGCTGGGATTGGAGACGTGGGCCACGCTGGGATTGCAGGCTTGAGCCACGCTGGGATTGCAGGCGTGGGCCACGCTGGGATTGCAGGCTTGAGCCACGCTGGGATTGGAGACGTGGGCCACGCTGGGATTGCAGGCTTGAGCCACGCTGGGATTGGAGACGTGGGCCACGCTGGGATTGCAGGCTTGAGCCACGCTGGGATTGCAGGCGTGAGCCACGCTGGGATTGCAGGCGTGGGCCACGCTGGGATTGCAGGCTTGAGCCACGCTGGGATTGGAGACGTGGGCCATGCTGGGATTGCAGGAGCCATGCTGGGATTGCAGGCGTGGGCCACGCTGGGATTGCAGGCTTGGGCCACGCTGGGACTGGAGACGTGGACCATGCTGGGATTGCAGGCGTGAGCCACGCTGGGACTGCAGGCTTGGGCCACTGCACCTACTGCATTTGTTTTGCATGTTACGCCCCTGCCTGGGGCAGCATCTGGGCCACAGCACCTTTTCAGTGAACAACGATGGTTATGAGTGGGTGTGATCTTGCCTGCCTGTTGAGCACCACTGGCCAGTCACTGTCTCGCAGAGGAAGCGGTGGGAGCTTGACAAGAAGAACGCCTGTGGCAGAGCCAGGGCCTGGACTCAAAACTCGGCAACTTGGCTGCCATCCTCATTCCCGGTGAGTGGAACGGTGAGCAAAGGTCCATGATGACACCCTGGCCGCCCAGCCTGTTACCCTCCTCAGGAGGATGTGTGGCAGGAGTGAAGGGTCCACCCCTGCGGTCTTCACACTCCAGTGGCCCAGACTGGAGGACAGTCTTCCCAAATCCCGTATTATGGGAGCAGCTGCTTCTTTCTCTTGGTGATACATTAACATGAGATTTCAACACATGGAAGGATCTTGAAGACGATGCGTGCTGTGCAAAGCTTGTATTCCCATCTCTCTCTTTAAGCGAACAAGCTTTCTGAGCTTCTATATCCATGAAGATGAAAAACAGGAAAAAAAACTGACAACCTGTCTCATTTCCGCCCTAAGTAATATCTTCCCATGATGACATTAACTATTTGCAAATAAGCCCCATACGGATAATAATGCATTTCTGGCCAGGTGTGGTGGCTCACGCCTATAATCCCAGCACTTTGGGAGGCTGAGGTGGGCAGATCACTTGAGGTCAGGAGTTCAAGACCAGCCTGGCCAACATGATGAAACCACGTCTCGACTAAAAATACAAAAATTAGCCAGGCATGGTGGCATATGCCTGTAATCCCAGCTACTCAGGAGGCTGAGGCAGGGGAATCGCTTGAATCCAGGAGGCGGAGGTTGCAGTGAGCCAAGATTGCACCACTGCCCTCCAGCCTGGGCGACAGAATGAAACTCCATCTCAAAAAAAAAAAAGCATTTCTAGCTCAATTTTATTTTTGTTTATTATGAAAATTGGAAATGTATGCGTATCATTTTGATTGGGTATTTATAATAATCGTAAGAATAACAATCGGCCAGATTGTTCCCATGTTAAGCCTCAGTGCTTGTATTTTGTCAGGGTGCGCTGAGACTGGTGTTTGGTAGGGACAGGCCAGACCATGCCACAGTAATAGACGTCAACAACAGCCCAGGTTGTTTGGCCCCACACACTGCTCACAGGGAGACTGGGGGCTCTGTCCCGCCATCCTCAGCCTGACACGTGGCGGCCCTCGCCCCCGGTGTCCGGTGGGGAGTGGGGGGTGAGCTGCCCTCTGCCTTCAGAGCCTTCGCATCAGCGATGTCACTGGCTTTACACACCTGTGGTGGTGAGGGAGGTGGGGGTGAAATCCCGTTCTGTGCCCAGGAGAGGAACAGAAAATATTTGTGATGCCCACACCTTTCAAACCTAACACATTTTGCATTAGGATACAAATATGGGGGGGAGTGGAATAGAAATATGAGTTCAAGGAAAAGAAGAAATAAACTTTCTAGCTGTGAAAGAACAGCTTGCTGGTGTCCTCTAAGTGGATGATGGTATCAAACTGTAATGGCATTTTTTGTTGCACTGGATACACTGAAAAGGAAAATGGCAAGATTTGGGCCGGGCGTGGTGGCTCATGCCTGTAACCCCAGCACTTTGGGAGGCCGAGGCAGGTGGATCACCAGGTCAGGAGATGGAGACCATCCTGGCTAACACGGTGAAACCCCGTCTCTACTAAAAATACAAAAAATTAGCCGGGCGTTGTGGCAGGCGCCTGTAGTCCCAGCTACTCGGGAGGCTGAGGCAGGAGAATGGTGTGAACCCGGGAGGTGGAGCTTGCAGTGAGCCGAGATCGCACCACTGCACTCCAGCCTGGGCGACAGAGCAAGACTCTGTCTCAAAAAAAAAAAAAATAAATAAAAAAAAAAATAAAATAAAATAAAAATAAATGAAATGGCAAGATTTATAATAAGCTGTGACTTACATCATAAGCACGTTTAAAATGTGAAGAAGAAAAATCTTAGATAACCAAAAAAACGAGGGAAGAGATGCACTCCCTTAAGGTTTCATTTAGGGGACTCCAAGCACCAAAGTTTAAGACCTCTGTGTAGCAGCCTGGCCAACATAGCAAGACCGTCTCTACAAATAATAATAAACAAATTAGCCAGCTGTGGTGGCACACGCCTGTGATCTCAACTACTTGGGAGGTTGAGGTGGGTGGAACACTTGAGCCCAGGAAATCGAGACCAACCTGGGCAACATGGCGAAACCCTGTCTCTACAGAAAATTAGCCAGGTGTGATGGCGTACACCTGTAGTGTCAGCTATTTGGGAGGCTGAGGTGGGAGGATCACCTGAGGCTGGGAGGTTGAGGACGCAGTGAGCCATGATTGTGCCACTGCACTCCAGCCTGGGCAACAGAGCAAGACCCTGTCTTAAAAAAAGCCCCAAATCCTGTGCAGACGACACCTGCCTGCAGGCCCCACTTGCCTTTGCTTCCCTTGCCTTGCTTTGCAGGGATTCATGGCTGGCTGAGCAGTGCTGCCTTCCCTGTAGCCTGGGCCCCTCCAGGGCAGCCTCCTCACTGACCTCCTTCTCTTCCCCTCCCTCCCTGTCACCTGACAGCCTCCCTGCCACTCTTGCACCAGCAAACAGGTGCCCCGAGTCCTTTATAGAATGACCCCGCCTGGTCTCCTGCCACCCTGGGCACACGCCAGATCATTGCTGAGGTGTCCCCCAGCTGAGGACACCTGCCCAGCCTCAACACTGGCTCCCCACGTCTCTGCCCAAGAGCACTCCCTCAAGTGTGGACCCCACACCTGCTTCTTGCGTCTCTCCCACCTGCCAGGACATCCAGGTCACTGAGCCCAGAGAGGTGGCCTCTCAGTGTCAGGGCTGACCCCAATGATCCCCTCACCTGGGTCAGAAAAGTCCCCAGCCTCCGTGGGGGGCATCCCTTCGATTTGGGGTTGACAGGATGGAGAGGTCCTTGCCCTAGGACTTCTGCTCTGCAGAGAGAGTCCAGCAAACGCTGGCTGCAGGAGCACTGGGCACAGCGGCCTCCACGCATGGGGGCTCTGCCTGGGCCTCCACGCACCCCTTAGCACAGCAATGACAGCTCTGCCTGGAGAAACCCTTCAGTTCCTAAACACAACTCATGCAGAAGCCACAGCAGGTGATGCCGCATGCAGTCCTGGGCCCTGACATGACGCCGCCTGTCTGGAAAGTGCTTCCTCCTACATCAAGTACTCCCTGGAGTTGTGACCACAGATCTTAGCATCACCCACAAGTTTAGTAAACAGACATGATCCCTGGTGTCTTGAGACCTTCAGGAGACAGTGGTTTCTGCTTGCCAAGCAGACGCTACCTCTAAGTGGAGACACTGAGCATTTGTTTCCTGGGAGCAAGTCGTGGGGGAGGGGGTGGGGGAGGGTGCAGGGCAAGGCTCCCAAACTTTGAGGTGGGCCAAGCCTGCACCCTTCTAGTCGGCTGCTGGTCTGTGTCTCGCTGT
Organism: Homo sapiens; assembly: GCF_000001405.40. Taxonomy (NCBI): domain Eukaryota; kingdom Metazoa; phylum Chordata; class Mammalia; order Primates; family Hominidae; genus Homo; species Homo sapiens. The sequence goes on along the minus strand of NC_000022.11, from coordinate 50,162,286 downwards.
GGGGATGGGGGCATAGGCCAGGTAAGACCCCCCGTAAAGCGGTGTTGGCCTCCTCTGGGGCCCTGGGTGTATGCAGGCGGCATCTCCGAGCCTGGGGGTCCTGTGTTCCAGCCGGGCTGCTGTACTGAGACCCTGCACCAGGCTGAGGACAGTGCGGGGCTCACCCCAAGTGTTCTTCCTGCCACTGCTCTGCTCCTCCTGGCCTGAGGTGCGTTGCCCATCTCCACGTGTTTTATTTCTGGCCCAGAGATGTGTTCTAAGGACCCCTAAACTCAGTACCCCTAGGGTGCAGGCCTGCACCCAGGAACCCGCCCAGCTGCAAACTCCCAGAAGCACTGGGCCTAGGGCAGGCCTGAGTGCCACCCTCACAACCCTGGCCCCATGTAGAGCCTCAGGCCCTGTGGGCTCTGCATGCCTGGTCCATGGCCCTGGCGCTCTGCTGAGTGGAGCTGGCAGCCTTGCCTGGAGCCTGACACACGGCTAGTTCAGGTGAAGTGGACAGCAAGCCATCTCCAAAAACTGCGCCAGCAGGGCTGAGAGGCCACATGAAACCCTGGTCACCACTGACACGGGCACACATCTCGAGGTGGAAAGGCTTCTGGGGGTCACTCGAGGGTTTATTTCAGGGTAGGCGGCAGTGACTGCCCTGTGGCAGGAACAGGCTGGCATATGCCAAAGTCAGGGCAGCAGCAGCTGCGTCCAACCTGGCAGCCCCACACCCACACACGACCCTGCCTGGCTGCGAGACAAGGGCAGGCCACAGGAGCCACGGAGCAGACTGTAACGGCAACGTGGCCAGGCTGAGCACATGGCCTCCCTGCTGTCAGCCACTGCAGATCAGCTGGGCTCCTGATGCTTCTCTGGTCCTGTGGATTCTGGCACCACTGGGTAGGAGGGGTCTGCCACCCCCTCGCCACAGCTGTAGACAGAGGAGAAGCGGATGGCCAGTGAGCCAGGCTCCCACAGCGGGCTGGGAGCTGCACTCTTTTCCCAATGTGGGTTTTACAAGGGGACTTAGTTTACCCTGTTAGCCTATGTGGGAAAGGTGACATGACCCCAAATGTCCAGGAAACAGTGGCTGCTGCAGCCCAGGATGAGGTGAGGACGGTGGCCGGCAGAGGGCTAAGGCTGCAGGTGGGTAAGTGGATGGGGGTGAGGGGAGCAGGGGAGGGCAGGCTAGAGCACGTTCTAGAGCCAGCCTGTCTTTGAGGAAGACAGCAGAAGCGCTCACTTTTGCAGAGACTGCAGTGCAGGAGGTAAATCGCATCCCATGTAAACACCGTTTGTAATACTGTATTCCAGCAAAGCACCAAAACAGGGGTCCTGTTGGCAATAACAATTAGCCTGGTGTGAGAGCAAGTGAAGGCCCCATGTCTCCTGGTGCCTCGTACGTCTCACCCCGAGTGACCCGGACCCTCCCTCCTTAAGTGATCACAGCCCACCCAGTGCCTGAAAACTCACTCGAACGAGAACATGGGGGTTTCCCAGCACTATCAGCAAAGCTTTGGGTCTGGTGATTGCAACATTAAATCTTTTTGAGTTGGACAAGAAACCCAAAAAATATCGATCATCTTCAAATCTATCTTCATTTGACCGTACCTAAAAGCACACAGAGATGAATAAAAATGGCACTTGAAGTTTTTGGGGGGCATGAAGAGAAACTCTTGATATATAAAAACATTTAAAAATGTTAAATAGCAGAATGACCTCATTTTTGGTTCAAAAAGAAACAGGAGGCCGGGCGCGGTGGCTCACGCCTGTAATCCCAGCCTTTGGGAGGCCGAGGCGGGAGGATCACGAGGTCAGGAGATCGAGACCATCTTGGCTAACATGGTGAAACCCCGTCTCTACTAAAAATACAAAAAAAAAAAAATTAGCTGGGCGTGGTGGTGGGCGCCTGTAGTCCCAGCTACTCGAGAGGCTGAGGCAGGAGAATGGCGTGAACCCGGGAGGCAGAGCTTGCAGTGAGCCGAGATCGCGCCACTGCACTCCAGCCTGGGCGACAGAGCGACGCCATCTCAAAAAAAAAAAAAGAAAGAAAAAAAGAAACAGGAGGTGGGGGGAGGGGGAGAAGGGGGAGGAGGAAGGGCAGCAGAAAGGGGTGGGTCTCATCGGCACTCCATCTGCAGACAGGGAGCCCTCACGCTTGCGGCTGTCTGGATGGCGGGGTCTTAGGGGCTCTCCTGCGGGTACCTGCCCTCCCACTCTCTGCTCCTCAGCTGCCTGTTCTTCCAACTTCGTGTCCCTCCTTCTCCAAGGCATTCACCATGTCTTCCTGGGTCCCTTCTCTTTACTCTCCTGTGTCTTAGTCTTTGAGTATTGTTTTAAAAGACCTTCCCACAGCCACTGCTTACAATGGCTCCTGGACCTAGGGAGTCTCCGCCTGCAGCTGCTTCTCTGGGCTGGGAATCAGCCTCTGCCCCTTTAGATCTGAAGCCCCCAGAACCCCCAGGGCAGCAAGCACCTGACTGTCCATCCCCACGGAGAACAGGGATACCTACGGTCGAAATGATGATGACCAGATACTCTTGTCCTTGAAACTCCTCTACTGATCCAACCTTTATATCCATCAGATCAACATTACGCAAAAGAATTCTGATTTTCTCCACCTTGAGAACAGATTAAAAGAAAGACTAAAGATAACACTGTACAAATCCATTTCTTTTCTTTTCCTTTTTTTTTTTTGAGATGGAGTATTACTCTGTCACCCAGGCTGCAGTGCAGTGGCGTGATCTCGGCTCACTGCAACCTCTGCCTCCCGGGTTCAAGCAATTCTCCTGCCTCAGCCTCCTGAGCAGCTGGGATTATGGGTGCATGCCACCACACCCGGGTAATTTTTTGTATTTTTTAGTAGAGAGAGGGTTTCACCATATTGGCCAGGCTGGTCTTGAACTCCTGACCTTGTGATCCGCCTACCTCGGCCTCCCAAAGTGCTGGGATTACAGGCGTGAGCCACCACGCCCGACATGTACAAATCCATCTCTTTACACATCACAGCATAAACCAAATATTGGCCAAGGTGCAATATTGTTTTTTAATTCTTTATTGCTTTCTTCTAATCTGAATTGATTAGAACACAAATTGCAGTTTTAGTTAAACTGGGGACGGGGGACAATGCTTACTAGGAAAGCCAAGTTTCATGTGGAAAATCCTCCCTCCCCACAAGCACATATCAAGGATGGAGGAAATCCTTCAGGAGAAACGAGATGCATGTCTGATGCTTAGAGCTGAGGATGGCAGCTCTAAGCTGGATGTCTCAGCAGGATGGCACCTACAAGCTGAGGTTAAGACACCAGGACACTGGCTGTGTGATGTCTGGCAACTTACTTGTCTCCATAAGCCTTCGTAATCTCTGTACCTCTGGGAGAACTAAGCACTCACCTCTCGAGTCCCCGAGGTCAGAAAAAAGGAAACATAACATCTTTGACGGGCTCTGCGGTCAGCACACGCGCGGTACAGGTGATCTGTTACTGTGATGGCCTAGGGGACTCACCTTTTCTTCTGTATTTTGGGGGTTCTTTCCAAGTTCTGCTTGGTGGTGTGAACACCACAGGGACACATGCTTCATGAATGAAACCTGGTGTTCGGCATGGGAGGCACCTGTGTCCCCACCAGAGCTCCAGAGCCACTGTGAACGTGTGGAGATGCTTCCTGGGACCAGCCCCTGGGGCCTGGGGACGCTAACTCTCCTATAATCACATCACAGAGTCATACGAAATGAGAAGCGTCCCATTCAAATATACCCAAAGTGCCCCCTTTGAGAAACACTGGGTTAGAGCTGGGGGTTGGCAAATGTTTTCCCAAAGGGCCAAATATCAAGGGACATATAAATGTAACCATTTAGAAATGTAAAAACTGTTCGAGGCTCTGGCCGTAGAAAAGCTGGCAGCTGCCCGGAACTGGCCCATGGATGGCAGTTGGGTGACCTCTCATGTTGAACGACATTCAAGTGCGGTCCTGCCCCTTTAAAAACCTGCTGCTGCTCACAAGGAGCTTGTTCCTGCCTCTGTGGAGCTGCAGGAGCCAAGGAGCAGGGCTGCAGGGACCTCACAGAACCAGGCGTGCCTGGGCAGGGCGTACCTGCTTCCGGTAGGGCGTGATGACGCCAATGTCGCTGGCAGACACCTGACTGGAGATGCTGTGGGCCAGGAGGCAGCAGTAGCGCAGGACCTGGACGGCCTCGGCCGGGTTGAACCACGATGGGCTTTTTCCCTCCCGTGCCTCGCTGCCCTGGGTTGATGAGGAGAGAAAACCTACTTTACTTCATGAATATTCACCAGAAGGCTACAATCCAGGAGCTGAAGTCGGTGCTGGGAATACACACTGAATATGACAGAATAAATCCCTGCTCTCGTGCAGAACTTACATGTGAGCAGGGCAGATGGCATATGTTAAATGATGAAATGGCTCACAGTCATGCTAAACGCTACAGAGGAGGACGGGTCACAGGAGTCCGCCACTCAGGTCTGAGCCCCGGAGTGGAGGGCTGGCTGGTATTTCTGATCTTTTTTTTTTTTTTTTTTTTGATATTAGACCTTTGATATAGCTACTTCTCATCTTGAAAATACTCTTCCTTAGAAAACATTAATGAGATATACTGACATAAAAGACAGACATATAGATCAACAGGGTAGAACGGAGAACTTAGAAATAAACCCTCGAATATACGGCCAGATGACTTCTGACAAGGGTGCCAGGACAGTTTTTCAACCAACGCTGCTGGAAAAACTAGAGAGCCACACGGAAAGGATGAAGACGGACCCTCACCTGACACCACCTGGAAACAGAAACTCAAGGTGGATCGAAGATTTAAACCCAAGACCTAAATCCATAAAATTCTTGGAGGAAAACAGGGAAAAAGCCCCACGACATTAGGTTTGGCAATGACTTCTTGGATACGACACCAAAGCCACTGGCAATAACTAAAAGGGATATGCTGGACTACATCCAAATGGAAAATGTCTGGGCATCAACGGACGCAATCAACAACGTGAAAAGATAGTCTGCGGAGGGGGGAGAAAACCTTTGCAAATAGTATATAAGAAGTTAATATCCAAAACTACGAGGAAGTCTTAAATTCACTGACAAAAAGCGACCCAATTAAATATGGGCAAAGGACCTGAATTCTCCAAAGGAGACATACAAATGGCCAACAGGTACATGAAAAGCTGCTCAATGTCACAAATCATTAGGGAAATGCAAATCAAAACTACAGTGAGCTACACCTCACTCCCACTAAGATGGCTACTATAAAACAACCCAGAAAATAAGTGGTGGTGAGGATGTGGGGAAACTGGAACCCTGCGGCACTGTTGGTGGGGTGTGGAATGCTGCAGTTACTGTGGAAAGCAAGATGATGGTTTCTCAAAAAATTAAGACTAGAATTACCAACAATTCCACTTCCGGGTATGTACCCATGACGACTGAAAGCAGGGTCTCAAATAGATATCTGTACACCCGTTGTAGCAGCACTACTTACAATAGTCAAATGTCTGCAGCCCAAGTGTCCACTGATAGATGAACTGATACGCCAAGTATGGTGTATACACACAATACAATGCTACTCAGCCCCCAAAAGGGAGGAAATTCTGACACACACCACAACATGGATGAACCTTGAGGACATGATGCTCAGTGCAATAAGCCGGTCACAGAAGGACAAACACTCCATGATTAATTCCACTTGTATGAAGTACCTAGAACACCTGAATTCATACAGTCAGAAAGTAGAATGGTGGCTGCTAGGCACTGCAGGGAAGAAAGTTACTGTTTCATGGGTATAGAATTTTAATACTGCAAGATAAAAGTTCTGGAGACTGCAAAACAATGTGAATATACTTAACACTATTAAACTTTACACTTAAAAATGGAGTCCAGGCGTGGTGGCTCACGCCTGTAATCCCAGCACTTTGGGAGGCCGAGGTGGGCAGATCACTTGAGGTCAAGAGTTCGAGACCAGCCTGGCCAACATGGTGAAACCCCGTCTCTACTAAAAATACAAAAATTAGCTGGGCGTGGTGGGGCATGCCTGTAGTCCCAGCTGCTTGGGAGGCTGAGGCATAAGAACTGCTTGAACATGGGAGGCGGAGGTTGCAGTGAGCCAAGATCATGCCACTGTACTCCAGCCTGGGTGACAGAGTGAGACAACTGTCTAAAAAAAAAAAAAAGTTTTTAACATGACAAATTTTATATTATGTGTACATTTATTTATGAATGAATGAATGAATGAATGAATGAGACAGGGTTTCACTCTGTCGCCCAGACTAAAGTGCCAGGGCATGATCACAGTTCACTGCAACCTCAACCTCTCCAGGCTCAGGTGATCCTCCCACCTCAGCCTCCTGAGTAGCTGGGACCACAAGTGTGCACCACCATGACCGGATAATTTTTGTATTTTTTGTAGAGACAGGGTCTTGCTATGTTGTCCTGGCCGTTCTTGAACTCCTGGGCTCAAGCAATCTGCCTGCCTTGGCCTCCCACATCCGGCCCTAGAATTTAAAAAAGTGACCACCAGGCGGGGTGCGGTGGCTCACGCCTGTAATCCCAGTACTTTGGGAGGCCAAGGCGGGCAGATCATGACGTCAGGAGTTCGAGACCAGCTGGGCCAACATGGTGAAACCCCGTCTCTACTAAAAATACAAAAATTAGCCGGACGTGGTGGCAGGCACCTGTGGTCCCAGATCCTTGGGAGTCTGAAGCATGAGAATTGCTTGAAACTGGGAGGCAGAAGTTGCAGTGAGCCAAGATTGCACCACTGCACTCCAGCCAGGGTGACAGAACAAAACCCTGTCTCAAAACAAAACAGATAAACAAAAACCCCAAAAAGTCACCACCAGATAAAGCAGTAAAAATACGAAAATTAGTTGGACGTGGTGGCAGGCGCCTGTAGTCCCAGCTACTTGGGAGGCTGAGGCACGAGAATCGCTTGAACCTGGAAGGCGGAGGTTGCAGTGAGCCGAGATGGCGCCACTGCACCCCAGCTGGGGTGAAAGAGCAAAACTCTGTCTCAAAAAAAAAAAAAAACCCACAAAACAACCCCCAAAAAAGTGACCACCAGATAAAGCAGTAAGAATTAATTTTGCTGTTGTTGTTAAACCATTAACTTACTCATTTATTGTAAATAATAAGTGACTGAAGAAACTTAAAAGATTAATGGGATGGAAACTTATAGCAGAAACTTCTAAACTGAGAAACAATTCAATGAATAGCAACCAATCAACTAGAAAAAATCAGGAAATAAAATGACTAAGAAAGATAAAGAAGAAATCATGTGAAATCACTATAGACTGGGCTGATTTATGTCACTAAAAGCAAACTGACTCCCAAAATGGATTAAATATAAAAACCTAGCTGCTCCTAAGAAATACAACAATAAAAAATGAAGAGGGCAAAGACATACCAGGTAAAAAGAAAAAAGTGGCAATGTTAATATTACGAGGTGGAATTTAAGACTAATACACATGACAGTATGGAAGGATATTACATAATGAGGAAGATAAAGCAGTGATAAATTATATGCATGAAACACAGCAGTTAAAATTCGTAAGACAAGAACGATCAGAAACCCAAGGATAATTTGATGAGGAGCACGACGAGAACGAGGGGCTTCATGACTCTTCTCCGCCATGGCCTACCAGGTGGACAGATCCTAGGCCAGGACACAGAGCTGCTGAGTGACAGCCTCCATGCATTTATTTATATTTATTTATATAGTTTTTAGAGTCAGGGTCTCACTCTGTCGCCTGGGCTGGGGTACAGTGGTGCAATCATAGCTCACTGCAGCCTCAATCTCCTGGGCTCAAGCAATCCTTCTGCCTCAGCCTCCCAAGTAGCCGGGACCAAAGGCACATGCCACCATGCTCAGCTAATTTAAAAAAAAAAAAATTTTTTTTTAAGAGATGGGAGTTTCACTATGTTGCCCAGGCTAATCTTGAACTCCTAGGCTCAAGCAATCCTCCTGCCTCAGCCTCCCAAAGTGCTGGGGTTACAGGTGAGCCCCTGTGCCTGGCCACTAATGTGTTTTCCTGATACCCAGGAAAGCTTCTGAGGATGGGCAGAGCTAGCAGGACAGATGGCGGGAGACCACTGCAGGGGAGGGACCTGCCTCAGAGTGCACCATGTCTGGAGGTGTCCAGCTCACTGCAGATTCTCCTTAGGACCCCTTCCTTTCCAAATGTGAGAACCTCACAGCCGCCATACACATATCCCATCCCACCACTTTGGACAGATCACAGACAGATTTTCTCCCTCAGGAACTTACGAAGAGCAACTGGGGGCCACTGCTGGGTAGGGCATGGAATGCAGAGGCCCCAAGGCAGCCAAATGGTGTAACCTGGACCCCTGTCCTCCGGGGCCCGTGGCATGGAAGGGGCACTGGCACCAGGGTTCCCCGTGTGGCCCGGGTGCAGCCCTCACTGCAGATACCTTGAATGCCCCTTCTTCTGGGGCAGGGGGTTAATGCAAAACTTGATTTCTGCTCTAACTAAACTCCTAATACAAACTATCTCATTTTAGCGAATGCTTGTAATTTTGCTTGGTCACTCAGCATCTAACTCTGTCCCTCTGCGAGGCCTTGGAGAGGGGGTGGTGGCCCGTCACTCCTCAGGCCCCAGGCGCACGGCTCGGGATCGCAGCTGCTGCCTTCCCTGCCGGGCTCTCTCCTGACAGCTCCAACCCTCGAGGGAAGCACCGGGAGGGAGGCGGTGGTGGCCTCTGGGAGCTTCCTGCGGCCCTGGGGCGTCCCCAGCCACATGGCCCTGCGAGCTTCCCCAGGCCCTCCAGAGCTCACTGGGCAGCTTCGCTTCTCTTGGAGCCCAGTGCTTGTCTGCTGTGACCACCTGAGAGTGGTGCCTGTGATGCCTCCTTGGTGCCAGGCACAACTCATCTGGCAGGAGAAGTCAGCATCCATCTTGGGGGGCACAAGCCCCCGATGGCTTTTCACTCTCTGGAGACCAGCAGAACATCTGCCCCGCCACAGGCAGGTGACAGAGCCTCACCTGGGAGGAAGGACCTCCTGCCATACTGTCCTTACCCGACACGGTCACCTACGGATTCAAGACACAACTCACCCGCACACCATGGAAGATGAGAGGGAAGCCTTTCTTAGGCAACTTCTCCCAGCCCAGCAAGGAGGTCACCACTGTGGGGTCCGCACAGACCTCGAGTTCCCTGTGGTAGAACAGCCGTGAGGGCAGCATCAGCAGGGCCTCGTGGGACCGGTAGTTCTTCACCAGCTTTGTGACCTGCGAGGAGATGGTGATGGGTCACAAGGGGAAGGTGGTACCCGGCACAGTTTCTGTCGAACGAAAAGCGGCTCTGCACAGCAAACGTGAGGCCTGCCTGACTTCCAAGCCTGACTCTGCTCCTGCGCCCCTGTGTGTCGCCTGCCCCCAGACCAAGCCCTTGGATGATGGTCAAGCCAAGGGTCCATCTGAATAGAAAATGGAAACATCAGGAAGAAAAGGGTGTGACGGCTGCCCTCTGTTCCTCTCCTGGGTCTGGGTGCCGCTGAGGGGCCTCTTAAAGGGCTCCTGCCACCTGGAACCCAGCAGCCGGGTGGAGGGCAGGTGGATGCCTCCCTCGTGTGCTGAGAGCTTCACCCTGGAAACAGCATCTTGTTGGCCCACACAGCCCTGCCTCCGCTTGGCCACAGGGAAGGAAGAGCTCCTGGGCCCCTGGGCCAGGAGAGCATAGACACTGTGACTCTGGGGGCCTGGCCAGCCCTGGGCGGGCCTGGCTGTGACTTCACTGATGCGGCTGAGGGTGACTGTGATATCACCAGTACATGGGACACCTTTACTGTCTGCCTCCAACTTGCTCGGGAAGCTCACTCAGGGCAGGTGCTCTTCCCCTGGTGCTGGTGTAAGCAGCCAGAGAGGGTCTCCAGCGACTACAGGAGTTCAACCAGTCAGAGCAATGCTCAGTCTTGACCCTGCTCATCACGTGACCCATGTATTGGCATGAGGACTCGCTGCGTCTGTGCCGCGGGGAGCCGTCCTCTCTATGCAATGCTGCACCCTCTGCCCTCCTGTCACTGACTGTCCCTCGGGGAGACACTGCTGGGGAGAACAAGCCTAGGGCTCTCCCTCCTTGGGATGAGTTAACAAAGCCCCTGTTGGTGAAAACCTGTGTTCCTGCAGTGCTGTCTGTTACTCGCCAGATGACACTGGCACGAGAACGCCATGATTGGCCCCGTGAGTCCTCCCGACTCTGTCAAGCCTAAATAGAATGTGTCCAGCCTCCAACGTGCTACTCCAAACTCCAAATGTGATCTAGAGTCACGGCACCTCTGCCTTAGCTGGACATGGGCAGCTGCTGGGGAAGAGAAAGGAAGCATGCAGCCTCCTGGGGTCACTGTGGCAGCCGCTCTGGTTGGAGGGTGCAGGACACTGCCCAGGCCCCACACAGGACAAGGCCTTCACCTCCCGTGCGGCAGGGTCTTTCTGTACCTGTGGCCCTGTGCTGTATGCACCTGCCCTGAAGGCTGTGTGGTGGGGACGGCAGCGTGCTGGTCTCTCCTGCTGCGGCCACGTCACCTGCACCCACACCTCCAGCAAAGCAGCTAGCGGGTACAGGCGCACAGCGGCACTGGAGGATGAGGCGAACCTCCGGGGGACAGCAGAGCTCTCAGGCGCCCTCTGGGCCCAGCAGCTGCTCACGGCCGGCCATCTTCCTGGGGGCAGTTTCATGGCCTCCTGGCACAGCCGGTCCTGTCTTGCGGGTAGTCCCTCATGAGGCCTTCCTTGGCCTGAAGACCCCCACCTGCTCCCTACCCTTGACAACCAAGAATGGGGTCCAGTCCTTTTCCCTGAAAGTCTGCCCATGGTAACTGCCCCTCATTTTCTATTGATGTTAATACTGGCAATGGGAATCAGATGGAGACTGTTTTTCTGTGGGCTACAGGGGCTTACAAACTGAGGCTACTTGGTTCACTGTTGAATGATGGGCCCTGGAGGCCCAAGCTCAGTGTGCTGGGGGCTCCAAAGATGCAAATCCCAAAGCCCATCCCTCAGAATTTGGTGCAAGGTTGGCTGAGAGCCCAGACCTGCACTTCAGTGGGACCTTGGGGTCAGAGACCACTGAGGAGACACTGCCTGCAGTCACTCTAGGGCAGGCTTTTTAAGTCACAAAAATTATTTCTTGCTTTTCTTAACGTTAACAGAGTAACACAGATTTTAACTTATTTTACTGAATCTGACCCCAGAGTCTCAGCCATCAGCACCAGGCTGCAGTTTCTGCTGACGGGGGAGGTGCTATGGTGGGTGCTCCCCTGCACTCTGCCCACGGATGGAGATGACTCAGGTGGACAGAAGAGTGAGCTGCTCGACTGCCCTGGAGCCTGTGTCTGCTTAGCTGGGGACCTGAACGCGCTGGAGTCTGTGACTCACCAACAGGGGATTATGTGCGCCACAAGCACCGAAAGCATTTTCGTCCCTCTGGTACGCGGGTCGAGACATCAGCCGTTCCAAAAAGGACACGTTCAGCCCATAGGCCATGGCGAGTCTGGACTTAATGACTGGGCCGAGCTGCATGGGGTCTCCTGCCAGCACGATCTGCACACAGAGGGCCCGTCTCAGCTCATGCAGGGAGGGTGCCGCTGCCACTCCTACGGGCTCAGGTGGGAATGGGGCTGTGCGCAGGATGGCCCCATGCTCACTCTTGCTGCAGGGGACGACGGGAGGGACTGGGAGACCAGGGAATGCCGACAGGGCTTGGAGCCGTCTCTCCCCGCTTCCCCCTGAAGTCCTGCCATCTGCCTCCCCGAAGTCCTGCCATCTGCCCGGCTTCTGCAGCCTGGTTTTCTCTCCTGCGAATCTCTCAAAGTGGTAAGAGCCCCAAGGATGCCGTCTATCTTCTGGAAGCTTCTGCATGGCTGGCCCTGGCCGCCATCCCACCTGCCCCTTGCCTCTTGCCCATGGTTGCCTTGACCTGGTCAGGCCGCCCTATGCCGCTGCTCTGCCTGGACCAGTCCCTGCTCCCTCCCTAGGCGTCACCTTCATGCTCCGCCCCACAGTGCCTGGTGACTGGGACAGACATCTAGGATGGGTGCCAAGGAGGACCCTGAAATGTCCAGTGCTGGACACTGGATGAGCTCGCCTGGATGAGCCACAGTGAGAGAACCAGGGAAGTTCAAGGTGATGCCCACGCCACCATCAGAAGCACTCGGGGAGGAAGCAGGTGGGAGCAGAGAACAGAGGATGCACAGAGCTGGAGGCCAGGGCAGCCTGAGGGGCAAGTGGGTCAGATGCAGGAGCACTGGCCCTGTCCGCCCCTCCAGGCACTGAACGGCCGGCTCACCCAGAGCAGGGACCACATTCCTGACTTTACCGCTGTATCCCCAACACCTAGAATGGCTCTTACCTCCGTTTTACAAGTAAATGAGTCAAGACATTCACTTCTAGTCCAAAAGGAATAAAGTACAATAGAGACCCATGGCCCCCAACACCTCGGGGTCCTTGGCACTTCCACCTGACCCCTGTACAGCTGTGACTGTTCCCGGCAGGATCGCAGCCTGCATCCCCTCAGGAGAACGGGGTGAGGAGGAAGCAGCACACACAGTAGTCGGGACTTACCTGGCCACTGATGTCCGACATCAGCCCCAGAGGAATGAGGCATTCCGGCTCACTTGCCTGCCCAGCCTCGTCCACAAACACGTGAGTGAAGTGCCCAACTCTAGAGCAAAGATGTTCTAAATGGTAATTTCTGCCGAATTGTTTTAGCAATTGATGCCTCTGACACACTGGCAAAGCCACGCTCAGCACCCCGGGGGCACAGCAGGGTTGCCCAGGGGTGTGCAGGAGCTGGGGGTCTGGGTGTCACCCGGCTGGAGGGAGGACAGGCCACAGGTGTCAGGAGATGCTAAGCCACATCAGCACCCAGTGCTTTGCACGCAGCGTCTGTATTTCTAGAGATGTGGAGGGAAGAAGGGGTGGGAGCGATGGGCAACACACGAGCGCCTCCTGGGGGCAGCTCACAGGAGAAGCGCCGCAGGCTCCTGGCCTGCTCTCCACCTGCGTCTCACTCCTGTCATTATCAAAATGCCCAGGCTCTAGTCCTGACTTCCCCTCTCTGAGCCTCCACCTCCCACGTGTCTCTCGGGAGGTGGCTGAGGTGAGAGCAGCTGAACTGGCCGCTGTAAAGCGCTGAGAACAGGCCTGGCCATGCAGGCGGCCACAGATGGCAGCCTCTCCTGCCATCCGCTCATTTCCTCCTGACTCATCCTTGTGAGCCACTCTCAGCTGGGCACTGCCTGGCCTGCATGCCAATAGGCTGAGGCCCTGGGAGCCACTTCCCAATCTGCGGCACCATTAAGAAAATGGGGTTGGTCGGGCGCAGTGGCTCACGCCTGTAATGCCAGCACTTTGGGAGGCCGAGATGGGTGGATCACGAGGTCAGGAGATCAAGACCATCCTGGCTAACACGGTGAAACCCCGTCTCTACTCAAAATACAAAAAAATTAGCCGGGTGTGGTGGCGGGCGCCTGTAGTCCCAGCTACTCGGGAAGCTGAGGCAGGAGAATGGCGTGAACCTGGGAGGCGGAGCTTGCAGTGAGCTGAGATCGCGCCACTGCACTCCAGCTTGGGTGACAGAGCAAGACTCCATCTCATAAAAAAAAAAAAAAAAGAAAAAAAGAAAATGCGGTCTCTAGAATGGCTCCCCACAATTCTGGCCCCTGCTGCAAACTCAGTGAGGTTCCCAGCTACAGAGCAGCCCTCCTGGCGGGTACCTGTCCGGCTCTTCCTTCTCCGTGTGACAAGGGAGGTAAGGGAGGTGCAGGAGCAGAGAGTCCACAGCGTTGCTGATGGACGGGGTGGGGATTTTGCGGGAAGGAGTCGTCAGGAGAAGCTGCGGAACTCTTGCATGGGAAGGCTGTGGGACTGAGCGGAGAGCAGGAGCTCGCTCGGCACATGATCTGTTTCTAGAGTGCAGAGGGGCCACCCCACCTGGGGCCATGAGCTGAGGAACAGGTGCCCCGGCTTCCCTGGCTCGCCCACCCCAGCAGCTTCTGCTCTGTGGTCAGGAGGCCTCAGTGGGGAAATGCTCTTGGGGCAGAAACATGTCCTGATGCCTGAGGAAGCAGGTATGGGGCAGAGAGAGTGTCCGGAGCCACGCCAACACTCAACAGGACGCACCTTGGGCCCGCACCGTCCTCACTGCCGAGCCCACGTTTACCCTTCTCACTGCTGATTCCAGGATCTCCCCTCTCCAACCCTAGATGCTGGGCAAATCCATCACCTCTGAGCCTCAGGTGTCCCACTGTGGGGTGAGACCCTGTGGTCAGACCTGTGCGGGGGCGGGCTCCTGCTTACAGCAGTGCTGGGCCCAACATGTCCTGCATCCACTCACGGTCAGCTGACACCTTTCACTTCAGGTATCAATGTGTAACTCTCAAGACACGGATTTCACAAGTGACACCGTGAACCCCTCCCAGTGAAAGATGTGGAAATCAGCAAACTGCCATTTCCCCATCTCATGTCCCTATTTCTGTTGAAAAAAATTAACATTATGTATCTTTCCTAGAATGTAAGTATTTAGGTTTCAATTCTGTATTAATTGCAGTTATTTAATGTCACTTTTGCCAGATGACATTGCTACTTCTTTGCCCTTTGAAGTGCCCCTCCCCACTCCAGCCGCCCCCAGTGGCCAACTAACGCTGTGGGGCCTCTGCAGCTGGGCTGCAGCACCCTCCCTGCTTCTGCACAGAGCGCCTCTGAGAGAGCGGCCTGCAGCACCCTCCCTGCTTCTGCACAGAGCGCCTCTGAGAGAGCGGCCTGCAGCACCCTCCCTGCTTCTGCACAGAGCGCCTCTGAGAGAGCGGCCTGCAGCACCCTCCCTGCTTCTGCACAGAGCGCCTCTGAGAGAGCGGCCTGCAGCACCCTCCCTGCTTCTGCACAGAGCGCCTCTGAGAGAGCGGCCTGCAGCACCCTCCCTGCTTCTGCACAGAGCGCCTCTGAGAGAGCGGCCTGCAGCACCCTCCCTGCTTCTGCACAGAGCGCCTCTGAGAGAGCGGCCTGCAGCACCCTCCCTGCTTCTGCACAGAGCGCCTCTGAGAGAGCGGCCTGCAGCACCCTCCCTGCTTCTGCACAGAGTGCCTCTGAGAGAGCGGCCTGCCCTGGCCGGCCACCTCCTCCCACTACCTGAACATCAGCTCCAGGGTGCAGGGTCCATGCAGTGCCCGCTCTGCCCCCAAAGAGCCCTCTGCACCCCAGTGAGGACTGGCTCTTCGGCTCTTGACCTTTGACTCATCAACACACATTAACAAAAAAAATCCCTGTCTTGTTCAGATCCGTGCTGTCCAATCCGGTAGCCACACACGGCTCTCGGGCACCGCACAGTGGCTAGTCTGAAACCTGACATGCTCTAAGTGTAAAATACATGGTGGATTTTGAAGACTTGAACCAAAAAAAATGTAAAGTGTCTCATCAATCACGTTCTACTAATCTCATGATGAAAGGACATCATGTATGTGAGAGAGTTAAACGCGCCGATGAAACCATCCGTGACACGCTGTGATAGGCGTGGCTGGCTGTGCCTTTGCTCCATGTGGAGCTGACGGACCACCTCCTGTGGTCACCCTCACGACCACCGTGACGCTGGACACTGTCCAGGGTGACCTGTCTCCAGGCTGTCAGGGAGGGTCACGACCACTGTGACGCTGGACACTGTTCAGAGCGACCTGTCTCCAGGCCGTCAGGGAGGGTGGGGCTTCCCTCAGAGGCCCTGGCTTCTCCCTCTCTCACCCTCAGCCTGTGCCCCCGACACTGTCTGGCTCTATGCACTGAGAGGGAGCTGCCTGCTGCCTCCCCGACCCCACCCCCCTGCACTGGGGTCTGAGAGTGCCTTGGTCCTCACTCAGCCTCCCTGGGCTCGAAGCTCTTCCTCCCAGCCCCCAGGGGAGGTCCTCCTATGACAGCCGGCACCCCACAATCCATCTCCTCCGCCTGTCTCCCCTGAAGAGCCCCCAGCGCCAGGGACACAAATGGCCCCCAGGGTCTGACCTTACAGAGCCCAGCCGTTTCCTAGGCAGCCTGCCTCCCCACGCCCACTCCAAGAGACTCACTCTCCTGCTCAGAAGCCCTTCACTGGCTTCCCGGCTCACCAGAGGTCGTCCAAAGGCCCCTCCACAGCCCGCCAGGCCTCCCCCTCACCACCCCTTTCAGGCCGTTCCTGCTCACGAGGCTCTGGCTCTACAGTCTCCTTTGGGGAGACCTCAGTGCTCCCCCACCGCGGGGCCTCTGCATGGGCCAGTCCATCTGCCTGCCCATCCCACTGCTGGCTCCTTCGAGTCCTTGGGGTCTCGGCTTCCCCAGCTCCATTCAGGCACGGCCCTCCCCAACCAGCCTTTCTCGCCCACAGCCCTGCCTCCCTCCCTGAGCACTGAGTCTCTGGGTCATCCGCCCCTCAGACAGAAGCTAGGAGAGGACTCCGACCTCTGCCCTGGGAGGCCCCATGCCGCGCTCCATGCCCGGGGCTCACCTCACTCCTATTTGGTAAAACAGCCCTGAGCTGCTGCATGTGGTGATGATTATCCGGAAGCGTGAGGCTTTCCAGATGTCTTCTCCGTCTCTGCAATACGGTTTGACGGCGTCAATAACTATCTGGGGGCAAGGAGGCGTAGAGTTAGTTTACTCCTCCAATTATTAAGCAGAATTCCAAAAGGGAACCTTGCCCTGGTACCACTTCTTAGTTACGTCTAAGTCATGATTTAAGGTTTTTTTCTCAAAATATCTCATACTTCCTTATCAATTCAGTCCATGTTTTATCAACTCTAGAGCCACAAATATAACACATAATCCTGCAGACCCTTCCCCAAAACAACTTTGTACATTTTCTATTCAGTTTGTTTGTTTGTTTATTTAGAGAGGGAGTCTTGCTCTTGCTCTGTCGCCCAGGCTGGAGTGCAATGGTGCAATCTCGGCTCACTGCAACCTCTGCCTCCCAGGTTCAAGTGATTCTCCTGCTTCGGCCTCCGGAGTAGCTGGGATTACAGGCGCATGCCACCACGCCCAGCTATTTTCAATGTCTTTTTTAAACGCAATATTTCAGGCTGGGCACAGTGGCTAAAGCCTGTAATCTCAACACTTTGGGAGGCAGAGGCGGGTGGATCACTTGAGATCAGGAGTTCGTGACCAGCCTGACCAACATGGTGAAACCCTGTCTCTACTAAAAATACAAAATTAGCTGGATGTGGTGGCACACACCTGTAATCCTAGGTACTTAGGAG
This sequence comes from Homo sapiens, assembly GCF_000001405.40. Classification (NCBI taxonomy): domain Eukaryota; kingdom Metazoa; phylum Chordata; class Mammalia; order Primates; family Hominidae; genus Homo; species Homo sapiens. Next base: position 50,145,062 of record NC_000022.11, on the reverse strand, counting down.
GCTGAGGCAGGAGAATTGCTTGAACCCGGGAGGCGGAGGTTGCAGTTAGCCAAGATCACACCACTGCACTCCAGCCTGGGCAACAAGAGCAAAAACTCTGTCTCAAACAAACAAAAAAATAAAAGCAATACTTCGCTCTATAACCAAACCAGCAACTTAAAGGAATACTTAAAACCAAACCAGGCCGGGCACGGTGGCTCACGCCTGTAATCCCAGCACTTTGGGAGGCCGAGGCGGGCAGATCATGAGGTCAGGAGATCGAGACCATCCTGGCTAACACGGTGAAACTCCGTCTCTACTAAAAATACAAAAAATTAGCCGGGCGCAGTGGCGGGTGCCTGTAGTCCCAGCTACTTGGGAGGCTGAGGCCAGAGAATGGTGTGAACCTGGGAGGCGGAGCTTGCAGTGAGCCGAGATCATGCCACTGCACTTCAGCCTGGGCGACACAGCGAGACTCCGTCTCAAAAAAAAAAAACAAAACAAAACAAAAAACACCAAACCAACAAAACAAAACTACTTAAAAAGTAACAAGACGTTTGGGGATTAAATAAAAGAGGAATGTGATAATTTTACAATGCTACGAATGCCCACAATAGGTGTGATAACTCACACAGAGTGAGAATGTGATGAAATAGTCAGCAATCAAGCTCCACCATTTAGCGGTGAGGGAGGGCCCATGGCAGAGCCATTTCTCAAACACAGCTTTCTGTGGCGCCTCTGTGCCCACCCTCCTACCCCTGCCCTCCCCTGTCCACTTGGCATTTCCTATGTTCCAGGGAGGGGTTCTGGTGCCCCCCACTGCTTGCACCAAGGGCTCACCTCCTCGAACCTGCAGGTGGCGTTCACCCGGACCATGGTGGCCGGCTGTAGCACCTTGCTCTCGTGCAGCCGCAGACACACGAGGTCAGCAGCACTGTTGGAGGGCGCACAGACTAAAATCCGACTGTCCGGCAAGGCAAAGTGTACCTTCATCAAAGACACACAAGAGACCAAGGCTCAACATCCACACCGCAAGGTGGAAACCAGGAGTCTAACCTCAACACACACATTCGGGTGCAGGGACTCAGCTGCATGGGCTCAGATGCCAGCCCCCAACACACTGAGACCTGGGCCACGACTCTGCCTCATCACACTGCTGCCAAAGCATGGGTTAGGTGGGAAGGTTCTCCGCACTCTCTAAGATTCTAAACCACCTTTCAGGGCAGAAACAGAGTCAGATTCATCTGCACACATCTGGCGTGTGGTACAATTGTGCGCTCAATACCTGTTTGCTAATTTGAATCCTGAATGACGCTAAATGTAGATGGTCTTCGGCTTATGATGGTTTGACTTAACGCTTTTTTGACTTTATGATGGTGTGAAGACCATCCCCAGTCAGTCTGCTCCTCACCTGACAAGGGATCATGCCTTGATGAACCTGAAACAGGCTTCCCAAATCCCATTACGATGGGTTATTGGGTTGTAACCCCATCAAAAGTTAAGAAGCATCTGTAGACAATAGTTTCATAAACTTAACTTCAATTACAAATGAAGATATCTAAAACTTCTGTGGAATGGTGGCTGTAGCTACTATAAGAGTAACTTCTTTTCTGCAGCAAAATGTCATGATTCAGATAAAATAGTTTACCAGGCTAAAAATGAGTTTCCTTCTAAACCTATGAAATAAGCTTTTAAATCCCTACATATCCACAAAAACAGACTTAACATTATGAAATAACTGGTATTTCTCAAGCTCTTTCCAACTGTCTGATTCTACAATCTAAACTCACACTTCCTGAAGACACAGACGACACATGAACAGCAGCACAGAGCCACAGCACCCGCGGCGCCGCTGTCCTTACCTGTAAAACAGCCTCTATTATTGTCACTGTCTTTCCAGTACCAGGAGGTCCAAAGAGAATATACGGGAGGGGACGGCAGTCACCACTCAGAATCCTTTTAACTGCTAACTTCTGATTTTCATTTAGCACTGGGTTGAAAAACTCCATCTTTCTTGCTTTAGGGGTCTGAATTTCATCTACTGTATTCAAAGTGAAGAAAGTTTCAGTTAGATGCAAACAGCTCTCAACAGCTGTGGACACGTCCTCACCTAGGTCAGGCGTCAGCACGTCTGTGCAAAGGCTAAATCAGAGTCACAGACAGGGAGTAGCTCTTCAGTGTGACCAGGGGTAAGATGCGCACAGGGCATTCCTCTTAATAATCTGTTTGCATTTTTTTTTTCTTTTTTGAGACAGGGTCTCGCTCTGTCACCCAGCTTGGAGTACAGTGGCACAATCTCAGCTCACTGTAACCTCCATCTCCTGAGCTCAAGCGATCCTCCCACGTCAGCCTCCCGGGTAGCTGGGACCACAGGCGCCCACCACCACACCTGGCTAATTTTTGTATTTTTTTTTTTTTATAGAGACAAGGTTTCGCCATGTTGTCCAGGTTGGTCTCGAACTCCTGAGCTCATATGATCTGCCCACCTTAGCTTCCCAAAAGTGTTAGGATGACAGGTGTGAGCCCTGCACTCAACCTGTCTGTGCTTTGTTAAAGAGGGTCAGGAGAACGAATGCAGCTGCTGAGAGGAAAATGACAGGCTGTCAACCGATTCTGCGGCTTTAGAGATCACACTCAAATATTAGAGACTGGATTAAAAAATGTCCACATCTGCAGAGTACCTGGAAAAAAACAACCCAGAATCTAAAAGTCTTCTTAAAGTATCTAAGCTAAAACACCAAGTCTCCAGTCAGGGTGGAGACGGCAGCCGCCTGTCACAGGCCACACGCCCCCTACTGTTCTTCCTTCTGCATGAGAGCCCACTCCTCAAAGTCCCCGTTTTCCAGGCGACAGTCTCAGAGTTGCTCTTCTCCTTGCCCCTCATGAGCACATACCCCAATCGCTCATCTCTGCAGTAAAGGGTGCCAGCACCGGCAGGTCCTTGTCACCAACACGCCTCTCCTCTGTTCCATGCTCAGCTTGGTCCGTCATTGTTTTCCTATTCTAGAAATTATCAGGCAGAAAAATGTTTTAAAAAAACAGCTGTGTTTACACTGGCTTGGTTGAAAGAGCAAACGTAAACATCTAGTGTTCTACTTAGTATATTTATTTAACAGCTCTTTGGATGGATCACAGGTCAGACCCTTTGAAAAATAAAGAAAAAACAAACGATCAGATAAAAAACTGCTAAAAAAGTTTGTGCTTTTTTCTTTAAACTTGCTTTTAGAAATAAACTAAAATTTGTGATGAAACCAAAGCACAGGACTAAATTTTATTTTATTAATATCATCTTCCCTTGGTACATCCTACCTGCTTTCCAGGCTGGACAGTGGGGGAACCTGCAGGGGACAGTCAAGGGTACAGCCCAGGGCTCTGGGTCTCACGGGCCTGGAGAGTGTGCAAAGTGCCAGTGCTGCCTGTTGACGTCAGGCAAGATCCTGCACCAGGCCGGGCACGGGGCTCACGCTTATCATCCCACCACTGTGGGAGGCCAAGACAGGTGGATCACTTGAGCCCAGGAGTTTAAGACTAGCCTGGGCAACATGGTGAAACCCTGTTTCTAGCAAAAATACAAAAAAAAAAAAAAAATTAGCCGGGCATGGTGGTGCTCACCTGTGGTCCCAGCTACTTGGCAGGCTGAGGTGGGAGGATCACTTGAGCCCAGGAGGCGGGGCTGCAGTGAGTGGAGATTGGGCGACCAACTCCAACCTGGGTGACAGAGACCCCCCAAACTCATAAAAAAAAAAAAGGCTGCACGCAGTGGCTCACGCCTATAATCCCAGCACTTTGGGAGGCTGAGGCGGGCAGATCACAAGGTCAAGAGATCGAGACCATCCTGGCCAACATGGTGAAACCCTGTCTTTACTAAAAATACAAAAATTAGCTGGCCGTGGTGCCACCAGCTACTCGGGAGGCTGAGGCAGGAGAATAGCTTGAACCCGGGAGGTGGAGGCTGCAGTGAGCCAAGATCGTGCCACTGCACTCCAGCCTGGCGACAGAGCGAGACTCTGTCTCAAAACAAAAAAAAAAAAGGATCCTACACAAGAATTGGTTTTCTGTGTGTTCCAATGTAAGTAGTATTTGTCCTGAACCAGTGGGATTTTCAATTTTTTTCATTATGATCTGTAATTCTTTGTTAAATAACTTCATTATTTTCATAGGATAGATTCTGGAATCTATAAAATCAAAAGTTCTGGGGCCAGGGGTAGTGGTTCACACCTATAATCTGAGCACTTCAGGAGGCTGAGGTGGAAGGACTGCTAGAGTCCAGGAGGTCAAGGTTGCAGTGAGCCATGATTGCGACACTACACTGCAGTTAGGAGGACAGAGGAAGACTCTGTCTCAAAAAAAAAAAGTTTCACGTTAAAAAATTTACACACATTGCTAAGTTTTAGTCTAAAACAGGCTTGTCCAACCAGCGGCCCATGGACTATATACAGCCTAGGATGGCTCTGAATGCAACCCAACACAAACTCGTAAACTTTTTAAAACACTATAAGATTTTTTTGTGATACATATTTTTTTCAGCTCATCAGCTATCATTAGTGTTAGTGAATTTTATGTGTGGCCCAAGACAATTCTTCTTGCAACGTGGCCTAGGGAAGCCAAAAGATTGGACACCCATGGTCTAGAAGGTTATGCCTATAACCTCCTCCCACAACCATTGTGTTTTGCAGAGTGTGACTGACATACAATAAGGTGCACATATTTAAAGTGTGTGACTTGACAAGTCTGACGTGCACATACCCATAAAACCATCAGCACAATCAAGATGACAAATAGACCTGTCAGTCCCCAGAGCCGCCTTGTGCCGCAGCCCCTCCAGTGGCACTGGCTGGCTCACATGCTCTCGAACTTCATACTTCATATAAATGCACACAGTGTGATTCATTGGAGAGCCACCTGTGTTGTTGCATGTCAACAGTTTGCTCCTTGTATTGCTGAGTCATGTTCCATTGTACGAACACAATGCAACTTGCTTATCCATTCACCTGCTCACGGACACTGGGTTGTTTCGTTTTTGGTGATTAAAAACCCAGCTGCTGTGAACTTTGTGTATGGGTCCTCACGTGGCCTTATGTCTTCATCTCTCTAGAGAGAAATGGCTGGGTTGTATGGCAGGTGCGCGTCCAGCTTCTTAAAAACACCTTTTGCACAGTGGTGTGCCACTCCCCATTCCCACAGCAGGGTACGTGCCAGCGGCCCCACGGGCTCACCAACGCGCAGATGGCCCAACTCAATTTCTGGCCATTCTAGCAGGTGTTCAGTGGTACCTCATTGTGGTTTAACTTGTGTTTCCCTAACAACTAATGATGTTGAACATCTTTCATGTGTTTATTACCATCTGTATGTATTCTCTGGTAAAGTGTTCAAGTGTTTGATCCATTATAAAAAATTGAGTTCTTAGGCAGTTTGTAGAGTACTTTCATATGTTTTCCGAATACAAGTTCTTGATCAGATGTGATTTGCAAATATTTTCTCTAGTCTGTCACTTTTCATTGTCTTACCAGTGTCTTTTTTTTTTCTTTGTTTTTTTTTGAGACAGAGTTTTTCTATGTTGCCCAGGCTAGCCTGGAACTCCTGGGCTCAAGAGATCCTCCAGCCTCAGTCTCCTGGGTCACTGGGACTAAAAGTGTATGCCATTGTACCTTACTGTCTAACAATGTCTTTTCAGCAGCAAAATATTTAATTTCACTGAAGTCCAATTTATCCATTTCTCTGTAAGTCATGCTCTTAGTGTCACATAAAAAAAAATCCTTGCCCAAACAGAGGACGTGCAGATGTTCTTCTATGCTGTTTCCTAGATGCATAGTTTTAGGCTTGACATTGCGGCTATAAACCGCAGAGTAAGTTAGTTTTTGTCTGCGCTGTGAGCTATGGACCCAGGTCCATGTTTTGCGCGTGCCCTGCATTTACAGACCACGTGAGGTAAAACAGGTAACTTGATAATATGGAATCTTCCGGCCCAAGAGATACTAATATCTCCCTCCATTGATTTACGTCTTTTGTTGCCCATCTTTTGTCAGATGTATCCCTAATGTTTAAAACATTTAGGTGCTACTTAAAAAAAAAAAAAAATTCAGGCCTGGCATGGTGGCTCACGCCTGTAATCCCAGCACTATGGGAGGCTGAGGTGGGCGGATCATGAGGTCAGGAGTTTGAGACCAGCCTGATCAACATGGTGAAACCTTGTCTCTACTAAAAATACAAAAATTAGCAGGGTGTGGTGGCACGCACCTATAATCCCAGCTACTCAGGAGGCCGAGGCAGGAGAACTGCTTGAATCTGGGAGGCGGAGGTTGCAGTGAGCCGAGATCCGCCACTGCACCTCGGCCTGGGCAACAGAGCGAGACTGTCTCAAAACAAACAAACAAAACACCAAAAAACAATTTCTGAGTGTTTACTGGAAATATATATACAACTTATTTTTCTACACTGATCTTGTATCTTGCAAAATCACTTATTAGTTCTAACAGCTTCATTTTAGATTCCATCAGATTTTTTTTCTTTTCTATTTTTTTTTTTTGAGACAGGGTTTCACTTCATCACTCAGGCTGGAGTGTAGTGGTACAATCACAGCTCACTGCAGCCTCAACCTCCCAGGCTCAAGGGATCCTCTTGCCTCAGCCTCCTGAGTAGCTGGGACTACAGGTGTGTGCCACCATGCCCAGCTAATTTTTAAACTTTTTAAAAATAGAGACAGGGTCTTGCATGTTGCCCAGGCTGTTCTCAGTGATTTTCCCATCTCAGCCTCCCAAAGTGCTGGAATTACCGGCACGAGTCACCACACCCGGCCTCCATCAGACTTTCTACAGGATGCGGATGCCTGTTCTTTCTGCTTCATTGCCTGTCTACAATGCACAATGCTGGGCAGAAATGCTGAGGAAACATGCCCTGATCCTGATCTTACAAGCAAAGAACATTCAGTTATCACTAAGTAGGTTTTTGTAGGTAAAAGAAATTTCCTTTTATTTCTAGTTTGCTGAATTTTGATCAGGAATGGATGCTGGATTTTGTCAGATGCTTTTTCCAAGTCTACTGCCATGATTATATGGTTTTTCCTTTTCAGTTTGTTAATATGGTATATTACACATTTATTTTTGGAATGTTAAGCCATTCCTGGGATGAACCCTCTTGGTCTCATATACATGTGTCATATACATAGATACATATATGTATACATATAAAAATATGTGTATATAAAATATGTGTGTATATATAAAAATATGTATATTTATATATGTATATATAAAATATGTATATTTATATATGTATATATATAAAATATGTATATTTATATATGTATATATATAAAATATGTATATTTATATATGTATATATATAAAATATATATATGTGTATATACATATGTATTTTTTGAGACAGAGTCTTGCTCTGTCGCCCAGGCTGGAGCGCAGTGGCATGATCTTGGCTCACTGCAATCTCCACCTCCTGGTTTCAAGCGATTCTCCTGCCTCAGCCTCCTGAGTAGCTAGGTCTACAGGCACATGCCACCACACCCAGCTAATTTTTTTTCTGGGATGGAGTCTTGCTGTATTCTATTGCCCACGCTGGAGTGCAGTGGCGCGATCTCGGCTCACTGCAGCCTCCGCCTCTGTTCCATGTTAGATAGTTTCTATTGCTCCGTCTTCAAGTTCACTAATTTTTCCTTCTGCATTGTCTAGTCTGCTGATAATTCTGTCCAATATATTTTTCATTCTAGGCATTGAATTTTTCATTCCTAGAAGATAAAATTGTCTTTTATATATCTTTCGTGTCTCCACTTAACCTGCTCATGTCTTCTACTTTCTTGAACACATGGAACATATTTATAACTGTTTTAATGTCCTTGTCTGCTAATTCCACCATGTTATTTCGGGGGGGTTGGTTCCAATTGACTAAATTTTCTCCTTTTGGGTTACGTTTTTCACTTTTTCATTTTGTAACCAGATGTCAGTGTCCATTTTATACCTTGCTGGGTGCTGGATAATTTTATATTCCTATAAATATTCTTAAACTTTGTTCTGGGATGTAATCCAATTATTTGGGAACAGCTTGCTTCTTTTGAGGCTATCATACTTTGTCAGTCTGGGCCGGAGCAGCCTTCAGTCAAAGGCTGGACTTTCTACGCTCCTGAGACAACACCCTCCCATGGATTCTACATGTGAATTACGAGGTTTTTCTTCTCTGGCTGTGGGCACAGCTATTTCTGGCACTGTGTCAACTTTTAAGGATTGTTCTTGCTCCTCCTTCCAGCTGGTTCTTTTCCAGGCCTGGGTATTTTACTCACATCATGCACTGATCAATGCTCAGCTGAAAACTCAAGAAGGAATCTCTGTAGGTGCCCAGCTGCTCTCTGTCCCCTGCCCTCTCCCCAGCACTCTACTCTGTCAGCTTTATCCCCCTTGTCCTCCCCACCCTTCCAAATGCTGTCTCTGTACTCAGGTCACTGCACTCCGCCTGGGCTCCCTCTTGGTGCTCTCTGGCCTAGACACTCTCGGAAGGCTGTGAGTTGGGAAAACCATGAGGTCACCTCATTTGTTTCCTCTCTCAGGAATCCCTGTCCTATGATAGCTGATGTTAATGTCTGAAATTGTTGTTCCATATAGTTTGTCTGATTTTTTATTGTTTCAGGAAGGAAGATAAATCTGGTCCCTGAAATTCTATCTTGGTTGACATATGAAATATTCTTGAGTTTATTTTCAATCTAGTTAATCCATAAGAAGATAAAGTTTCAGGTTTTAAAACCTACAGTCAATTAGGAATGTGCCCACCTAAATAGTAACACCTCCCTGATCTCACATGCCATCTGCACCACAGACTCTCCCCGAGAATCAGGCAGTAGAATGAACCAGTAATGAGGTGATGACGGAGAAGAAAAGCACTGTCCAAGGAAGACTCTTTTCTATTTGCAGAACAAAAAAGAGATCAACTATGAAATATGCCACAGATGACTTTCAAGGATAACCTCTTGCTGCTTCATTTGTCGTATTTTCCATGATTGTATAGGCATTCTAAACCTATCATTTTTGCATTTTGGGGGAGGAACTATAAAATGGTGAGCATTTTTGAGTATTAGATATAATTTAAAAATTCATGTTATACATTGAAAACATGCTCATAAAACCAAATTTGAATAGCACAAAATAAGTTGTAAGCTCCACCATGACACAGATGATTTTCTTGTTACTAGAAACATGAAGATAAATAAAACCACTTCTATTGTATTCACAAAAATATACTGAGAGCCCAGGACAATACCTGGCATGTAATAGGCACTATATTACTATTTATGGAGTGACTGGATTATAGAAGCTTTTTTTTTTTTTTTTTGAGATGGAGTCTCGCTCTATTGCCCAGGCTGGAGTGCAGTGGCGTGATCTCGGCTCACTGCAACCTCTGCCTCCTGGGTTCAAGTGATTCTCCTGCCTCAGCCTCCTGAGTAGCTGGGATTACAGGTGTACACCATCATGCCCGGCTAATTTTTGGATTTTTAGTAGAGATGGGGTTTCACCATCTTGGCCAGGCTGGTCTTGAACTCCTGATCTCATGATCTGCCCGCCTCGGCCTCCCAAAGTGCTGGGATTACAGGCGTGAGCCACTGCGACCGGCCTAGAAGTTTTTATAAAATATCTTTGCAACATTCACAAAGTTTGCAAATGTTAACAATTTGCGGGGTGTGTATCCTTCCAGACATTTTCCATGCATACACAATCACATAAATGTACCTAAGTGTACACATAAACCATATAATTTAAAAATAAAACTCTAAGGCCGGGTGTGGTGGCTCACGCCTGTAATTCCAGCACTTTGGGAGGCCGAGGAGGGTGGATCACAAGATCAGGAGATCGAGACCAGCCTGACCAATATGGTGAAACCCTGTTTCTACTAAAAATACAAAAATTAGCTGGGTGTGATGGCACATGCCTGTAGTCCTAGCTACTCTGGAGACTGAGACAGGAGAATCACTTGAATCTGGGAGGCAGAGGTTGCAGTGAGCCAAGATTGCACCACTGCACTCCAGCCTGGGTGACAGAGCGAGACTCTGTCTCAAAAAAAAAAGAAAGAAAAGAAAAAAGAAAAAGAAAAAACCCAACTCTAAGGTCATATAAACATCTGTACTTTGCTTCCCCTATTTAATATATTGTAGCCATCTTAGCCCTGCATCTTAGCCCTTGCATATAAACTTTACACTAAATCTATTTTTGAATATTTTAGTTCACTTTATTTTAACTGCAATTTTGAGTTATTTGTGAACCACACTGCTCTAATACTCCAGTCAACTAAGCGCTAATACTCCGAGAAGGAAACGCCCACCCCCTGTGTAGACAGTTACATCGCTGAGCCATCCCCTGTGTAGAGACAGTCACGCCGCTGAGCCACCCCCTATGTAAAGACAGCCACGTCGCTGAGCCATCCCCTGTGTAGAGAAAGCCACATTGCTGAGCACTACCTTTTTGCTGGTGGACTGTCCACTGCTTTTGGTGTCTTGTGCATGGTTCCAATTTCCCGTCACTTGTGGAGACTGTAAAATAATTTCTTCTGGAAACAACACTTTTAAAACAAAAAATGGTAAGAGCACGGGTATAACTAAAAAGCTAAAAAAATATTAATAGAGGTTGTTTATGGCTGACCCTAAAGCAATTAATATTCTATTCCCTTCCTTTCTTAACCTGCCTGTTATACTGTTTCTAAATTATAGCATTATTAGTACTGCATATTCTTCACAACAAAGCCCTTTATTTGCCCATCTGTAAAAATTCATAAATTACATTTATGAAGGGAAAAGCGAGCAAGATAAATTTATTTTCGGTTATTTAAGCATGCTATTATTAGTTATTCACTAAGTTGAAATAGTAAGAAAACACTAAAACTTGATAGAAAATTAAAAACATGAATATAACAAAAGTTTTACTTCTAATATTATGACTGAAGAGACTATTTTACACAAAATTTTACATGAAGCCTATAAAAATACTCTGTGAAGATGTAACACTATCATTCTATAAAAGTAATACCTTTTACACCTAAGTGGATGACGTGTTCAAGTGCAAAGTGACACCGTCTGCTTGTGGTCCTGCAGGAAAGAAAACCACATAAAATAACTAACCTTACATTCAGAAATATTAAGGCTGGCATAAGGTAATGAAAATTTTATGATACAATCTTTAAGTCAATATAAAAAAATCACAGCAACAATCCAACAATCAATGAAATAGAGAACAGAAAAACACTAGAGAGGACGGGCGCGGTGGCTCACGTGTGTAATCCCAGCACTTTGGGAGGCCGAGGTGGGTGGATCACCTGAGGTCAGGAGTTCGAGACCAGCCTGGCCAACATGATGAAACCCTGCCTCTACTAAAAATACAAAAATTAGCCAGGCATAGTGGTGGTGCACGCCTGTAATCCCAGCTACTCAGGAGGCTGAGGCATGAGAATCACTTGAACCTGGGAGGCAGAGGTTGCAGTAAGCTGAGATGGCACCACTGCACTCCAGCCTGGGTGACAGAGTGAGACTCTGTCTAAAAAAATTTTTGTAAAAACCACTAGAGAATACCAAAGAAGCCAAAAAAAAAAGCATGGGACAAAATCCCACACCCATTCTTTCTTTCTTTTTTTTTTTTTTTTTAGAGACTCTGCTCTGTTGCCTAGGCTGGAGTGCAGTGGCACAGTCAGAGCTCACTGAAGCCTCAAATTCCTGGGCCCATGTGATCCTCCCACCTCAGCCTCTCAAAGTGCTGGGATTACAGGTGTAAGCCACCACACTTGGCCCCATATCCATTCTTGATTAAAAACTCACTAAAATAAGAATCTATCTCCTCAACCTGATAGAGGGCCACTACGGAACCTACCACCCACGCTGTACTAACTCGCTCAGGACTGACAGCCCTGCCCCTAAGACCAGGGACAAAGCCAGTGCAGCACTTGCCACCACTTCTATTCCACACTGGCACACAAGTTCCAACCAGCGCAGGAAGGCAAGGAAAACAAATACACAGCATCCAAATAAGAGAAGAAGAAGTAAAACTGTCTTTGGTTTTTTTTTTTTCAGACGGAGGCTTGCTCTGTCGCCCAGGCTGGAATGAGTAGCGTGATCTCGGCTCACTGCAACCTCCGCCTCCTGGGTTCAAGCAATTCTCCTGCCTCAGCCTCCCAAGTAGCTGGGATTACAGGTGACCACTACCACGCCCGGCTGATTATTTGTATTTTTAGTAGAGATGGGGTTTCCCCATGTGGGCTAGACTGGTCTCAAACTCCTGACCTCAGGTGATCCGCCTGCCTTGGCCTCCCACAGTGCTGGGATTACAGGTGTGAACCACCACACCCAACCTAAAACTGTCATTCTTTGAATCAATGATTATATATGTAGAAAATTCTACAGACTCTAGGAGAAGCTACTGGAGCTATTCAGTTTAGGAGACTTGCAGGATACAAGGTAAACATACAAAAATCAATTGCTTTTTATAAATACTAGAAACAAGCAATTAGAAATTTAAGTTAAATTTACTGTTTATAACAGCCATTTAAAAATTTTAAATAGGTATAACTGACAAAAGATCTATAAGACCTATACACTGAAAAGTATAAAATATTGCTAAAAGAAATGAAAACAGATGCAAATAAATGGAGAGACATACCCTTTTCAAGGGCTGGAGGACTTATTATTATTAAGATTTCAATTCTCCAATTCTCCCTTAAACCGACCCATAGGTTCAATGTAATCCCAATCAAAATCCCAACAGGCTTTCTGTAGAGACTGACATGACCTAAAATCCATGTAAGAAGAAAGACCTGGAACAGCCAGACAACCTTGAAAAGGAACAAAGTTGGAGGCTTGATACTACCTGATTTTGAGACTTATCATAAAGGCACATATCATACACTAGGTTTGTGTTCCCCCCAGCTTCGTATGGTGAAACTTCATCCCCAATGTGATGTTACTGGGTATGAGGAGTTGAGGCCTTTGGCAAGTGATTAGGTCATGAGGGTGGGGCCTCATGAATGGAATTAGTGCCCTTACACAAGGGAGCACAGAGAGCTCTCCCATCCCTTCTGCTGCGTGAGGACACAGGGAAAAGACAGCCGCCTACGAACCAGGAAGCAGTCTCACCAGGACACTGAACCTGCTGGTGCCTTGACCTTGGGCTTCCTGACCTCCAGAGCATGAGAAATACATTTCTGTTGTTTATAAGCCACCCCATCTATGGTGCTATGCTAATGCAGCCTGAGTGTACTAAGACAGACAATAAGACCCTGTAATGTTGGTGTCAAGACAGACAAGTGTACAATGGAACACAACAGAGAGTCTTCAGAAACAGATCAACAAATATTTGGTCAACTGATTTTCTTTTTTTTTTTTTCACAAAGGTACAATAGTAATTCATTGGAGAAAGGGCAGTTTTTTCATCAAATAATGCTTGGACAACTGGATGTTCATTCCACCCTCCAATTTCCATTCATACCCCACAAACAATTTGCAAAGCTTAATGAGATAGATCATAATCCTAAATGTACAGGATAAAGCTGCCAAGTTTCTAAACAGGATAAAATCGTTGAGATCCAAATTAGTTACAGATTTCTGAGATGCATCATTAAAAGATCTGTGAAAGAAAACATTCATAAACTGGACTTCACCAAAATTAATAATTTCTGCATTTCAAAAGGCACTATAAAAACAATGAAAATACAAGCTGTAGTCTGAGGAAATATTTGCACAGACACGTATCTGATAAAGCACTGTACTGAAACTATACAAACATCTCTGCAAACTCAATCATGAGAAAACAATTTTTTAAAATGGGCCCAAAGACTTGAGGAAGGACTTCAACAAGTATTTTGTACAAATGGCAAAAAAGCACATAAAAAGATGTTCAGTGGCCGGGTGTGGTGGCCCACACCTGTAATCCCAGCACTTTGGGAGGCCAAGGTGGGCAGATCACAAGGTCAGGAGATTGAGACCATTCTGGCTAACACAGTGAAACCCCGTCTCACTAAAAATACAAAAAAAAAAAAAAAAAAATTAGCCGGGCGTGGTGGTGGGCACCTGTAGTCCCAGCTACTCGGGAGACTGAGGCAGGAGAATGGTGTGAACCTGGAAGGCAGAGCTTGCAGTGAGCCGAGATCGTGCCACTGCACTCCAGCCTGGGTAACAGAACGAGACTCCGTCTCAAAAAAAAGAAAAAAGAAAAGATGTTCAGCATCATTAGTCATTAGAAAAATACAAATTAAATCCACAACGAGATATCCCTTCACACTACAAGAATCAGCTCTGTTCCAGAGTCAAAGCAGGTCAAGGAGTCCAGGCCTGGACGTCGGCTGCAGTCTCTCTAGCTGCCATGATGGAGGCTGTGTGCCTTCTACCAGCGCTGCTGCTCCCTGTGGTCCCAGCCAACCCTCACACGTCATCATCCAACACAGCTGCCCCTTCCTTCCCATTCCTGGGTCTTCTCATGGCACTCACATGCTGGGGTCTCTCATCTTGCACAGCAAACAAAAAGTACCCCCCTCCTGGTCCTCCTGTATCTCTTTGGTCACCAATTTCTCTCGCTCTCTCTCCATCCTGCCCTCCCTGCTTTCATCGGCAAATGCCTTAAAAAGGAATCAACGACATTTCTCCATTCCCCCGTAGTCCATTCATTCATTCTCAATACATTCCAATCTGGCTGTAGCCCAAATACTGCCGATTTCTCAGACAGACATAAAAAGCACTAATATTAAAAAAAATTTGATAAATTTGACTATATTAAAACTAGCACCTTCTGTTAATAAAAAGACATATATATATAAAATTTATTTATTTATTTATTTTTTGAGACAGAGTCTCGCTCTGTCTCAGGCTGGAGTGCAGTAGTATGATCTCAGCTCACCGCAACCTCCGCCTCCTGGGTTCAAGCAATTCTCCTGCCTCAGCCTCCCAAGTAGCTGGGACTGCAGGCATGTGCCATCATGCCCACTAAGTTTTGTATTTTTAGTAGAGACAGTGTTTCCCCATGTTGGCCAGGCTGGTCTCGAACTCCTGACCTCAAGAGATCCACCTGCCTTGGCCTCCCAAAGTGTTAGGGATTACATCACACCCAGCCTCAAAAGATACTTTTTAAAAAGCTAAAAGATAAGGAAGAAATCTGGAGAAGATATGTACCTAAGAATAGTTTATCATAAGGAATACAGAAAGGACTCCCACAACAATGAAAATTGGATAAATTACTCAATAAAAAAGAGGGCAAAAGACGCAAGCAAGCATTTCATGGAAGAGGAACATTTTACGGCCCACGAACAAGAAGATTCTCAGCCTTGTAAATAAGTCAGAGAAAAGTAAATCAAGACCATCATGAGATGCATTACACACCTACCAGACTGGCACCAATTAGGAAGTCGAACAAAATCAGATTACAGAAAGGGCACCGATCAGCAGGCTGTTATACACATGGATACTGAAAGTCACTGATGCAACCACTTGTAAAGCTGGAAAAACCCCAAACCCAGCAATCCCATCCCTACATACACAGCAGCTCTAGGAACAGCAGCAAACAATCGTAACAGCAAACAATGAAGATGTCCATCAACAGAAAAACAGCGGGTATTCACACAACCGCAAACCAATGAACAGCAGTTACAACAACACGGAGACATCTCAGGAACACAATGTTTAGTGAAAATCTCGACTCCTAGGAACCAAATACAGCAAGTTACTCCTTTTCTAAAGTTCAAAAGAATTAAAACTGAAGAATACATTTTTTGTGCATGACTAGTTAATGGTTTTGTGGAGGAAGAAAAAGCCAGCTGGGTGCCAGGTCACAGCACCCCTCATCCGACAAGAAAACAAATAAAAGTAAGGAGCTGGTAGCTGACGGTGACAGTGAGGCATGAACCAAAGATCCGGTGCACATGAGATCTGGGAAAGAATACACATGCAAATGTATGCACCTTTATATCTCAAAAAATAGTTGATAATAAAGCTAGAAACACGGGGTATGCAAAAATGCTGTAGGAGCCCACTTCCATCCACAAGGCCTATACACGTCAACCACAGGCATGGTGGGGGCTCCTACGTCACTACTTAGATGTCAACAGACATACTCAAGAGAACACTGTCCAATTAAAGATAAAGAGACAAATTAACTGGGCATGGTGCCTCATACCTATACTCCCAAAACTTTGGGAGGCTGACGCAGGAGGATCGCTTGAGCCTAGGAGTTTATGACCAGCCTGGGACCCCATCTCTATTAAAAAAAAAAAAAGATGGCCGGGCGTGGTGACTCACGCCTGTAATCCCAGCACTTTGGGAGGCCAAGGCAAGCGTATCACAAGGTCAGGAGTTCAAGACCAGACTGGCCAATATGGTGAAACACTGCCTCTACTAAAAATACAAAAATTAGCCAGGCGTGGTGGCAGGCACCTGTAGTCCCAGCTACTTGGGAGGCCGAGGCAGGAGAATCGCTTGAACCTGGGAGGCGGAGGTTGCAGTGAGCCGAGATTGCGCCACTGAAATCCAGCCTGGGCAACAGAATGAGACCCAGTCTCAAAAAAAAAAAAAAAAAAAAAAGACATTTGAAAGAAGACTCACTAAAAGCATTACCTATTATATGTAAATTCCACATCCATAGGTTCAAAGTTATAGGCTTGTTCAAATTCTGGATTAATTTTAAGAGTTACATCTTCTTCATGAATCTAAAAAAGGAACAAACAATATACCTGATTTCTTGAAATAATGTGATATCTTTATCTAGCGACACATCATCAAAAATTCATTCTATAGCTCTGAGCTAAAATTTGATATCTGCAAAATTAGTTGAAAAGGATTAAATCATTACGCCATTCGATTATACAAACAAGAGGAAATGGATCACTACACACTCATACTTACTGAACTTCTATTCACTTGGCTGTAGCCTCTCCTAAGGCTCTGAGAATAGAGAATGTGTGGGAGGTCACTGACTCCATAGGACACAAACAAAACAACCACAAGGGTAGCCAAGTGTTACCTACTGTAAGGAAGCCTCGATAAGAAGGTCTGCTGGGTGCGGTGGCTCACACCTGTAATCCCAGCACTTTGGGAGGCCAAGGTGGGCGGATCACCTTGAGGTCAGGAGTTTGAGACCAGCCTGGCCAACGGGGCGAAACCATCTCCACTAAAAATAGAAAAAGGACCCAGGCGTGGTGCTGGGCACCTGTAATCCCAGCTACTTGGGAGGCTGAGGCAGGAGAATCTCTTGAACCTGGGAAGCGGAGGTTGCAGTGAGCCAAGATCGTACCACTGTACTCCAGGCTGGGTGACAGAGTGAGAATCCATCTCAAAAAAAAAAACAAAAAAAACAGTCATTACAAGACTTATCCTTTTAGTAGAAAAGCCCTCCAGCTAAAGCAAGATCCTGCATGATCAGTTCTGCATATTCTTTCCTAGACAGTATGGGTAGAAAAATAAGAAGGAAAGCCCTGATCTGAAAAGGAGCTCAAGCTCTTCTCCAGGTGACTCAGGCAACACCCTGGTAGGGTGAGTTTCCTGAGGGTCAGGGCTGACACCAGCAGAGAGTCGGGAAGCTACGCCCTGGGATGGCTTCCAGCTCCGGGAGGAAGGGAAGCAACAGTGGTACAGGGCCATGGGATTGTTTCCCCTGAGGATGAGGAAGACAGACCAAGTCCTGACTATACACAGGAGACATGCGTTAGTCTACTTGAGAACAGGTGCAGGTGGCATCCAAGAAAGCCTGAAAAGATGAAAATAATTTTTGGAGCTAAAAAGGATACGGAAGGTCATTTCAGATGCCAGGGTTTGATCAATGGCATGGAGGCCCGGCCATATGGCTCAGGAACCAGGGGTGGAGGCAGGCAGGTGCCTTCCTCCTGAGATCTCTGGCTCTGCTTCTTTGGAGGTTTTGGTATGCAAAGCTTCCTTTCTTGGCACAGCTGGTCTAGGAGGCTAAGATGGTCATTCGGCCATCTTGGGCTCCTCATGTCAACTTGGTCAACAGCAAAGGTGGGTAATGGAGAGCTGGCGAGGTCATGTCACTCGTGTCTCACATCTCAGTCCACAGGCGATGGCCTAATTCATTACAAAATCTCTGAAATCCTGCCAAGATGTTGTCTTCTGGGAAATATCCCACTCTGTGAAATCAGCCACAGCATGGACCCTGCATGAAGGTGTAGCGCAGAGTGACTGTGGCATCAAAGGTCGGAAGCTGCCTCTTCTCCAGATCCTTATCAGGCTCTTCTAGTTCTCTCAGCCCTTCTTCCTTCTGACAGTAAAGGCTCTGGCATTCTCCCTTCAAGTTTTCTACATTAAGTAATGTGTGGCTTCATCTTCTCTGATGCACAGATAGAGCACCTCCCTTCTCATGCAGATCCCAGTATCACTCCCAGTGCTATGACCAGTACATGACCAGTAAAGTCCAGCCCAAGAGTCACAGACCACCCCATGCAGAACCATCTGGAGCACCAGGATCTACTCAAAGCCAAAAAAACCACCTTCACGCAAACATCAGAGCTGCAAACTCATAGGTGTATTTTTCCTTTCAAGGCCTCCACTCTGCGAGCTCTTCTGGAATACATTCAGAATGCCCAAATACAACTCAACGCAAACCTCATGACTTACATATAACCTAAAAGATAAATATGTTTTACATGGTTGAAAATTATAGTATTAAGTTTCCTTTATGCATCAAAAATTATTTAAAGATTCACTGTATCTTGACATTTTCCAAAATAGCCAATGCATATGGGAGCATCTCCCCAAGAGCCGTGGGGAGAACGTTACCTTTCCAACCGGTCAGAAGGGTGTGTCTAACACAAACTCATTAAGAGAGAGTGCTCTCACCTCAGTCACGTAGCTGATGTATTCGATGGCATGTCCATTGTACTCTTGAGTTTTTAAAATCAGTTTATCACCTAGTTAAAAAATATATTACCATGTTTAAAGCTAACACAAAATCACAAATTTCTGTGCTGTCCTATAAAATCCAACACTGAGGAGGTTCAATAAAACGTTACTGGGGTCAGGCTGGGTGCAGTGGCTCATGCCTGTAATCCCAGCACTTTGAGAGGCCGAGGCGGGCGGATCACAAGGTCAGGGGATCGAGACCATCCTGGCTAACACGGCGAAACCTCATCTCTACTAAAAATACAAAAAAAAAAATCAGCCGGGTGTGGTGGCGGGCGCCTGTAGTTCCAGCTACTCGGGAGGCTAAGGCAGGAGAACGGCGTGAACCCGGGAGGCAGAGGTTGCAATGAGCTGAGATTGCGCCACTGCACTCCAGCCTGGGCGACACAGCGAGACTCCACCTCAAAAAACAAACAAACAAACAAACAAAAACATTACTGGGGTCAACTGCTTACAACTAATGAAATACAACAAAGAAACATGCTTGATGTACATCGGTTGCTGATTTTTAGTGAAATTCTAACCCAAAAGAAAGAAAATGCGATAATGTGACTGTCATATTGCCAGTTAAAGAGTATCTTCTCTCAAGTATGGTTTCTCTGCTAGTCCACCCAGGGAAGCATATGAGTAACAAACACACCTGCGTAGAGAGAAGGCCTCCCTTCGGCCAACCCTGGGACCTCCAGAACCAGCAGATCCCCATTCCTTCTTAAGATGATCCCGCTCATGTTATACTCTTTCAGTTCCATTTCTGCATAAATCTCCTCAAGCCACAGCAAAGTCGAAAACTTCTCCTTGTAATTTGACATGTTCAGAAGCTGGAAAACACCCAAATGTTATAAAGTCAGCAACAGCTCAGCAGCACTCTGGAAAGTAGCAGCTCCGGAGCAGGAAAGTTCCAACAGCTCCAGTTCAGCAGATGGCCCCCCAGGTGGGGCGATCCTCGCCGGAGTCTGCAGGTGCCTCAGTAAGTTCCCCGGCCTTCAGCACGAGGGCCATGGGGCTCCAGCACACTCCCTGGCCTTTGGCATGAGGCAGTGGGGCTCCAGCTGGCGGTGTCCCTCCCTGCACTGCCCACTCCTGTCCACCCTCCCTGCTCTTTTTCAGGTTGTCCACGTTAATTCTGGGAAGGCAGAATTTGGCTTCCACAGACATCTGTGAAAAAAGGACAAACTTCCAGGTCTGGCCAAGGTGGACTAACAAGGACCAGATTTACCCTTCTACCTGAAAAAAACTTAAAGAGACAGAGAAATAAGAAACGATGGTGTTTAAACAATGAACATCACGTAGCAAAGGATTGTGATCCCAAGACTGGGGAAACAATCCATGGGGGCCCCATGACTGATCCACCTGTGCCTGAACAGAGCTCCTAGGCCCCAGCACAGAGGACCCAGGGATGCTGCATGGTTTCTAAGGAGAGGAGCTCTGATCTGTGGGGCTGAGCGCTGGGAAGAGCAAGCAGCACAGAGTGGTCTGGAGAGGGTCAGGGGACCCACTCAGGACCATCAGCTCAGCACTAAGGAATGCATGAGACACCATCCTGCAAAACCCATTGAGGGGCCAGACCAGGGCCTCAGCATGAGGTGGGGGAAAACTCACAGCAGCCTGCCCGGAATTGGAAAGTGGGAGGGCAGAAAGTGCGTCTGAACACATGGTGGCTGAAAATTTCCAAATCTGAAGAAAACTCAAGGCCGCATATTCAAGAATCCCAATGAACCCCAAGCACAAGAACAGGAAGAAAAGAATCTCTACCACCACACATCGTAAACCAAATCTATTAATATCAGTGATAAAAGAGAGAATCTTAAAAGCAGCTAAGAAAAAACAACGTTATGTGCAAAAGAGCAAAGATAAGAATTAAAGCAAAAGAACCCCATAAGAAAAACTAAAAAATACTTAGGAGATGAATAAAAACAAAAACACAATACAGCAAGACTTATGGGAGCAGCACAAGCAGTGCTGAGGGAATTTGTGACTATGAGCACTGATTCCCATGAGCACTGCAAGGAATTAGACAAAGGAGAACAAACTAAACCCAAAGATAGCAGAAGGAAGGAAATAAAGATTAGAGGAGAGATGAACAAAAGAGAGAACTGAAAAACAATACAGAAAACCAGGAAAACAAAAAGTTGGTTCTCCAAAAAGATCAACAAAATTGACAGACTTTTAGTAGATTAACTAGAAAAAAGGGAAAGACAAATTACTAAAATAAGATAGGAAAGTGGGAACATTACTACAGAATCTACGGAAATAAAAAGGATTATAAGAGTATGAGCAATCGTATACCAATACCCAGATGAAATGGACAAATTCCTAGAAACACAAAACCTACCAAGACTAAACCATGAAGAAAGAAAATCTGAATAGACCAATTACTACTAAGGAGGTTAAAGCAGTAATAAATATTCTGAAAAGGAAAACCCCAGGACCTGATGGCTCCATAGCTAAATTCTACCAAACATTTGAAGACTAACTAATACCAATCTTTCTCAAACTTTTCCAAAAAATTCAAGAGGAGGGAATACTCTCTGACTTATTCTTATGAGGCCAGCATTACCCTGATCCCAAAGCCAGACAGAGACACTTCAGGAAAAGAAAACTACAGACCAATATGAACACTGATGAAAAAATCCTCAACACGATACTAGCACACAAAATTCAGCAGCATATGAAAAGGATTAGCTGGGTGTGGTGGCTCATTCCTGTAGTCCCAGTTACTTGGGAGACTGAGGTGGGAGGATTGCTTGAGCCCAGGAGCTCGAGGCTGCAGTGAGCAGTGACTGAGCCATTGCACTCCAGCCTGGGCAACACAGTGAGACCCTGTCTCAAAAAACATATATAAAATAAAAGGATTACATGCTATGATCAAGTGGAATTTATTCCTGGAATGCAAGGATAGTTCAACATTTGAAAATCAATTACTGTAGCAACACACATTAACAGAAGGAAAAAAAATCATATGATCATCTCAATACAGAAAAAGCAATTGAATTTTTTTTTTTTTTTTTTTTTTGAGACATGAGTTTCCCTCTGTCACCAAGGCTGGAGCGCAATGGTGCGATCTCAGCTCACCGCAACCTCTGCCTCTTGGGCTCAAGCGCCTCCCAGGTAGCTGGGATTACAGGTGCATGCCATCACACCCAGCTAGCATCTGACAAAATTTAACACCCTTTCATGATAACGTTTAACAAACTAGGAAGAGAAGAAAATCAGGCTGGGTGTGGTGGCTCACACCCATACTTGCCTGTAATTCCAACACTTTGGGAGGCCAAGGCGGGAGGATTGTAAGACCCTGTCTCTATGATATACAAAAGTTAGCCGGGCATGGTGGTGTGCCGCTGCAGTCACAGCTGTGAGCTGTGATTGCGCCACTGCACTCCAGCCTGGGCGACAGGAGAGCCTGTCTCAAAAATAAATAAATAAATAAATAAATAAAAAAGAGAAAAAGGAAAAGAAGAAAAAGAAAGAAAGAAAGAAAGAAAGAAAACCATCACCTCAAAATGATGAAAGTCATATATGAAAAACCCACTGTTAACATCATACTCAATGGTGAAAGATTGAAAGCTTTTCCCATAAGATCAGGAACTTCCAAGGGAAGGATGCCTGCTTTCACCACTGCTATTCATCATGGTACTAGAAGTTCTAGCCAGAGCAATTAGGCAAGAAAAGGAAATGAAAGGCATCTAAATTGGAAAGGAAGAAATAAAATTATCTGTTTGCAGATGGCATGCATAATTTTATATGTAGAAAACTCTAAAAGATTCCACAAAAAACTGTTAGAATAAATAAATTCAGCAAAGTAGCAGGGTACAAAATCAAAGGACAAAAATTATCTTCATTTCTAAACAACACTGAAGAATCTGAAAAGGCAGCTATGAGAGCAATGTATTTACAACAGCAGCAAAAATAATAAAATACTTACAAATTAATTTAACCAAAGAAGTGAAAAACATATACAGAGAAAATGACAAAACACTGCTGTAAGAAATTAAAGAAGACATAAATAAATGTTAACACATTCCATGTTCATAGCCTGGAGGATTCAATATTGTTAAAATGTCCATACTAACCAACGCAATCTACAGATTCAATGCAATTCCCATCAAAATTCCAATGACAGGCCGGGTGCAGTGGCTCACACCTGTAATCCCAAGCACTTTGGGAGGCTGAGGCGGGAGGAATACTTGAGGCCAGGAGTTTGAGACCAGCCTGGGCAATGTAGTGAGACCTCGTCTCTGGGGAAAAAAAATTCCAATGCTATATTTTGCAGAAATAGAAAAATGCATCTTAAAATTCGTATAAAAGATCTTGAAAAGCAAAATAAATTCTGCCAAAGAACAACAAAGCTGGAGGACTCAAATTTCCTGATTTCAAAACTTACTACAAAGCTGCAGCATCAAAACATCAAGTCGGTGGCCTGTGGAAGGAACTGAGGAGCACCCTCCAAGCCCAGCAGACCTGGGTCCCCAGGGAGGAGCTGAGGAGCACCTCTCCATCCTAGCAGACCCAGGTCCAGCTTTTTCTGCCACCTCGATGAACCATTCAGGCATTTGCCTACAAACTCAAAGTGACTGGGGGACAGAGGACTGCGCTCGCGACTCATGGCAACCTCCCTGCCCAGGATCTGTGAGTAAAACACATCTGAACTTGTTTCTATCACGGCAGTGGATTGAATTTGCACCTTCCATCCTAAGAACCCAGCACTGCCCAGGCCGGGTTTTCCCTGGCATTGGGGAACATAAGTTTGGGCTCCCAGTGCCAGATGATCAGGCAGGCATAACCTGGATACAGGTCAGACGAGAGCCACTGGGGCGTCTGCCAGAATAAGTTTCCTGCGTGAGGAACCCCGGTCATGGGGCATCAGCTGTCCTCCTGGTAAAACAAGGACATTTTTTTAAACAAGGAGGTGTATTTGGAAAGGATCCCCTGAAGGGCGCATGGTGAACACCTAGGTCCCATTCCCTTCATTCTCCTTAGGACAGGGCTGCCAGCTGCTCTGGCACTGGAACTCCAGTTTAGCTGGGGACTCTCAGAACACCTCAAACCCCTACAGAAAAAAACCCTCCTGGACAAAGGGCAATGTTCTCCCCTCAAACTGCCAAATTTATAGACTTTTCTTCCTTCTTGAACTTTTCTTCTCCACCTACCCCACTCAGAACGTGCTCCTCTGTCTCCCATGTGGGTGGGGACCTGGGCTCTCCTCCCCTGGACCCTTGCCCTGCTGGCTCTGTCAGGATGATGGTAAAAGGCTAGAACACTTCTTGCTCATAACAAAGGCCTCCTAGTCTAGCGAGAGAGGCCAGGCTGATGGCAGAGGTATCCCTCAGTTCTTCTGCTCCAGACCCCAAAGGCCCTGTGCGTGACCCCCAGTGAGGCTGTGGGATGCCAGCCCCTGGTGTACAGCAGGTCTGGCAGCGTGAGTGCTATGGTGCCTCATCCCTCACGGCCAGGCAGTGACCCTCGTTATCCCAGCTACCTGTGAAGAAAACAAGCCAGATGAAGGTCTGAACCTGAGAAGGAACCTCCTGGCTTTGTCAGAAAACAAGAGCATTAGAAGATGCCAACACCCCACAGGCCATGAGACACTTCCTACCTCTGCAAGTAATGGCTGGAAAGTCAGGATGTCAATTTTTTGTTCCACACATTTTCTAAGTCTATCTGGGATTGGATATTGGGGAAGAAAACTTGGAAGTTGTCGTCTTGAGTTCCTTAAAAAATTAAGTTCACAAGTTAAAAATAAGTCTTTATCACCAGGTATCACTAGACATTCTTACCTAAACATCCTTTCCTATTTTAGGAAGACCAAAGTCCATCCATTTCCTGAGAAGAACTGATATATGAATAGCTGGTCTAAGGCAGTGGTTTGAAGCTTTCGTTTTAGCTCTGGGATCCTTTCCTCAAACAGTTCCCACAAGTGCTCTACTATTTGTAAACAGGTAAGTGTAGCTGCACAGGCTGTGGGAAAACAGGGCTGGAACCCCCAGAATCTCCTGGAACCAGGAGTTTGGAAACAGCTGTTTTTAACATTCTATGAGCTAAGCTCTTCCTACTATATTTGACATCAGGACTCCACCTGGGCCTATCCCTGCAAAGCACACATTAGGAAAAGGCTGCTCTGTCTGGGTCCTGCCTTCGATTTGTTTTTGTTTTGTTTCCCAGCCTGTGGTTTCTCTGGGGAAATTCAGTTTGTTCAGGATGAAGAACATCGCTGCTCTGGAGCCAAGCCCAATGCGGCAACAGAAACAATGGGAAAGGGACAGACAGGAGAGGAGAAGCCAGGAGAGAACAGGGAAACGAAAAGTCAGAGTGAGGTCGATAAAACTCAACTCAGCAAATAAGGATGTTGGTTGGACCTTTATCCCTCATTCCCTCCCAGCTCTCCATTTCAGTGCAGTCTCACCCAAGAGAGAAGCCCACATTGCTCTCCGTATTCCATTCACTGTCATCTCAATTTGGGTTCCACTGGCTCAGCCCTCAACAGGAGAAACGGGGTGAAGACATTCCCCATGGTTTGTGCTGAGGGTTATGTCAGCGCTCACATGCGAGGTGTATTTGGAAAGCATTGATTACTAACACGAACAAGGTAAAGGGAAACCAGGATGATCACTACAGGCTTAGGTCAACAGCCTGAACAGCTAACAGAACCATGTGGCCTCAACAGACACGCTGGATTAACAAAATGTGGTTCCTACCATGATGGGTGGCTAGAAACTTGGCTGGGAGTGTGCTGGCCTACAAAGCCCCCCAGAACAGATCTGCTAAGTGAACACTCTGCTCTAGCTAAGAGCCAAAGTTGCCTGGCACTGGGGGTCCTAGCAGGAAGTGCAGGACCTGTGACAGGCGGCCACGGATGGACAGCTCTGGAAGCAGGCACCCGCCAATGCCCGCGTGGGCAGGTCCAGACACCTGGTGCTCCAGGTGTGCTCGAGCCAACCCGGGTCAGGCACTCTGGGTCACTAACCTGAGTGGCAGGAAACTGATGTCCTTGTTTTAGATACGCTCCCACACAATATGTTAATATTCACGGGGAAGTAACTGACCAGGGGGTTAAAATCCTTGTGGCTGTTGCTCTGTGTATTTCACTCTTTCTGTTAAGCCAAATGATAACTAGAAAGCTGCTTGGTGTGTCACTAGATGAGAACCAGGGATCCTCCAAGGCTCCTGTCATTAAAACTCGATCCTCGGGGACTCTGCTCTGCCTGGCAGCCGAGGGACTTTCCTGCTCCTTTTCTGGGTTACATCCCTACAGCCCCTTGATGTTGAAACTGTGCCCCAAAGAGTTAAAGAAACCGATGACTAACAGAAATTCTTGAGCCTGCAGGATGGGTGATAAGAAACAACTCCAGCGCTGAGTCTCCCCCTGCTTATGACATCAAAGGACTGGCTGAGATCAGCTGGAACCAAGATGGACAACTGGAGTTTGTGCAGAGCTTACTGACGTCACAGCCTGGATTCCCACCGTGTTTCATGCGAACTCCCTCCGAACTGGCACATGTGACCCATGAGGTAGCATGAAGGGGTAACTATGCACACCCAAGGCCTTTCCAGACCTCCCTTTTCCTTCCACCAACCACCTATTAATCCCAGATTCTACCCACTAAACGTTTTCTGACAAAATTACTGCCTTAAAGCCAGCACAGAGAGACACATTTGAGCTTGACTCCTGTCTCCTTGGGGGTTGGTTTTCAATACAAAGCTTTTCTTTTCTCAGAAACCCACTGTCGTAGCAATGGCCCCTAGTGCATCAGGCAGTGAGCCCCTTTTTCTCAATAATAATATGCCCAGGGATCATGACTGCTTATTCGCTTACTGAGTGATTGCTTTGTGCCAGAAAACTGCACATTTTACATGTCTGACCTCATTCAATCTTCAAACCACACGAGGCAGGGACTATCATTTTACCAATGAGAACAAGGCTCAGAGTGGTTAAGAAACTTGCCCAAGGTCACACAGCTTCTTGGTGGTGGTGCTGTGATTCAAACAATGGTCTAACCTTAAAAGGTAAACAACCACATGATATTCTTCCCTGGTAACAGGTTTTCCCTTTAGTCTGCAACTAAGTAGAAGTCCATAATCCCTCATCTTGAACTGTAACTGGGGCAACACGTGATTTGAAATTCAGAATCTTTCAGTATTAGAAAAGTGACCCACCTCACCCTCAGGGAGGTCTGGGGTAGTAGCAGAGCTCAAACCCATCAGTTATTATAGCCGATGGAGGAAAAGTCACATCACACGGGACTAAGTCATTACACTTTAAAAAGCCTGCTATTCAGGGCTTTTTCGTTTTATAACTACAGAAGAGAACACGTGGATGTGAAGTGCTTTCCTGAGACTACCCTCCAGTTAAAATCTGGGTGGTCCCTATGTTCCCCAGCCACAAGTCCCAGATCACACACTGCTTCTCCTAACTCCATTCTTAAGTGGTACCACATCTTCAAACAGGCTTCAGGTGACCCCACAATCCTGTTGCCCCCAGTGCGAATGACACGGGGATGCCGTGCACTACACACCATGGCCTCGTCAGGACGGGAGAGGTGGCAGGAGCTGGGTGAGGCCAGCCTGCTCTGAGAGCCACCTTGGAACTGCCAGAGCAGAGTGGGGCTTGGGGGAGTGAAGGCCGTCTTCCTTGGGCTTCACGCTGCTGCTGGGCAGCTGCAGAGACAGAACTTGACCTTCAGAGCTCCGTGGAAATGCACTCCATCCCCCAAATACAATCATGGAAAGAGGCTTGAACCCCAGCTTCATCCCCTTTATACCTCCCCAGCCAGGTGGTAGCCACCGCTTGCCAGTGCACGTCCGCTTTTCCTTCACAGATAAAACTGCCAGACCAAGAGCCACACTCATTTCAGTTATGGTACCTTTTCTGTGCGGTCACAACAACTGTAGTTTTTGCGGATGTTAACGCTTGTGAACTTTTAAGCTTTTTCCAAGAAAATGGTTCGCGCGCAGCAATTAGTGACTCCTCCCCACTGATAACATTTACTTCAAGGTATCGCCCAATTAGGAAATCGGAAAAACAGAGCAAAAGGAGCTCCTTGCAGCGGCCAGGATTTCTTGAAAAAAACAAAATGAAATTTAGTTTTAGTCATAAATAAGATAGGCAGTCAACACAATTTTCCTTTGTACATACAAGAAAAGTGACAGAGTTAAGACTCATCTTTAGTCTTCAATAATTCTTTTTACAGAGAAAAAAGAGATCTTCTAAAATAAGCTATGTAATTAATATTTTCTCAAGATAAAATTAAGCACCTACAGGCCCGGTGCGGTGGCTCAGGCCTGTAATCCCAGCACTTTGGAAGACTGAGGCGGGCAGATCGCTTGAGCCCAGGAGTTTGAGACCAGCCTGGGCAATATAGGATGAACCTGTCTCTGCAAAAAATACACAAATTAGCCGGACATGGAGGCGTGTGCCTGTGGTTCCAGCTACTCGGGAGGCTGAGGTGGGAGCCTAGGGAGGTGGAGGCTGCAGTGAGCTGTGATCATGCCTCTGCACTCCAGCCTGGGCAACAGAGTGAGACCCTGTCTCAAAAAAAAAAAAAAAAAAAAAAAGTAAGCATCTACAATAGTCTTTTTTGTAATCCTAACACATATAAGAGTAGGAAAAAATTTTGATATTCCCAATTTTAAGTCAGAATTTTATGACATGACCAAAAATAGGTACTATATCTAATGTGCTTTCTGCCCAGTCCTCGCTGTGGCTCTAACTGGGGCTACATCATCCACACTACACTTTGTGCCCCCCTATGGCTTTTTTTTTTTTTTTGAGACGGAGTCTCGCTCTGTCACCCAGCCTGGAGTGCGGTGGCGTGATCTCGGCTCACTGCAAGCTCCGCCTCCCAGGTTCACGCCATTCTCCTGCCTCAGCCTCCTGAGTAGCTGGGACTACAGGTGCCCGCCACCACGCCCAGCTAATTTTTTTTATTTTTAGTAGAGACAGGGTTTCACTGTGTTAGCACCTATGGCTTTTTTGAAAAAACCTGTTTCTATGTTGTCATAATGTCAAAAAAAAAAAAAAAGCATTGAAGCTGGCTGCACCTCACACAGCTGACTGTGCACTTGCCACCCACAGCTTGATGTTGATGAGCTGTGATTTAATCAGATTTAAGTTTTTCAAAAAATTTAGAATTAGACACCCAGCTGGAAGGCTATCACGCACTGTCGGGCAGCTTAGGCAGGGATGCAGGGACACAGGGAGCTGGAGGACAGGGCCTGTTTGGTCAGCTGATGTAACCAACCACACCAGGGAGAGCGAAGGGCTCAAGGTTGGCGTCTGGCATCCCAGCTAGGAAGGGGCCCTTCCTGCCCCTCCCTCAGCACACTGTGCTGTCCGTGCCTTGGCCAAATGCCCAGGTGACGGGATGGAGATGACCGAGGCCCCAGGGCTTGGCTATGCGGAACACGGGCAAGGCAGTGAAGAGGAGCCAACGTGATGTCTCAGAACAGCAGAAGCACAGGGAGCTCAGGCCTCAGAGAGCCTCAGAGACACCCTGTTTTCTTTGTGAGGGTGAGAGGCCATCTGGTGAGGACCCTCATGAGTCGTGCGAAGTTACAGGATCCATTGCCCCAGGTGGGTCACACTTGGTACCCAGCTTCTAGACCAATGCTTTTTCTTAGGATTCTGTCACATCAAAAACGTCAGGTGTACCTTTTTGTTTTTTTGAGACAGAGTCTTGCTCCGTCTCAGGCTGGAGTGCAGTCGTGCGATCTTGGCTCACTGCACCCTCCGTCACCTGGATTTAAGCGATTCTACTGCCTCAGCCTCCTGAGTAGCTAGGACTACAGGGGCCCAAGTAATTTTTGTATTTTTAGTAGAGGCGGGGTTTCGCCATGGTGGCCAGGCTGGTTTCGAACTCCTGGTCTCAGGTGATCCACCCGCCACAAAGGAGTACCTTTTATAACACCCAACCTAGAAGTATCAGAGAAACTTAAAAACGCGGCTCTCCCCAGACCTCCAGGCCCTTACTTTCCGTCACAGATGACCACAATGAAGGTTTTTCCCCCTGGAGGGACAAGCCCCCCAGGCTCAGGCTCTGTCATCTGCTTCCTTGATAGAATGTTGTCTTTTTCTCCATTTTCTCCTTTACAGGTACAATCACCTGGGAAATAAAATTTTAATACAAAAGTTGACCAAAAGGTAAATTATCTCTAACAGTGCTGGCATGCTTAGTGGAAATGAATACTCTCTCACACACACAAAGACAGATGCACACAAAAACACGGGGCAAAGCCTCAGGTGGTGGCTGGAAAAACATAAAGAGAGAGAGCAGCTGGAAGTAGGAGAGGGCTGTGACTACCAAGTGCTGGGATAGAAGGCCTGCCCCGGCGCGCCCAGCAATCTTTCCCTGCTTCGAGGTACTCAGGAGCCGGCCGCCATCTGAAGCACCTCTTGGTATTTGTCAAGCTGCTTTTTGTCCCTCTCCCTAACGTCGTCAGCAAGAGAAGGGCCTGAAGCCGAAGAGCTCAGAGCACAAAGCACTGTAGCTGCCGGGTGTCCTGGCCCCTGCTGCCCGCCCTCTGTCCAGAACTCACAACCCCACGGCCCCCAGCCCACCCGACCTCACGCAGTGACAGCCGAAACGTCCACTACCTGGAGAGATTCCTCTGTTGTTCACCAAACTGCTCTCCGACATCTGAGAGGTTTTGTTTTTTGTGTGGCTATTTAATGAATTAATATTTTCATCTGATGAATTCTCCTTCTCAGGAACAGAAACAAAAGATACCACGGGGCACATCTGGTCTTTATCCAGCATTTGGAATCTGAATTGTTTAGATTTATCCCAGCCAGCCAGTTTACAGCTGACTAAGTTTTGAGGAATGTCTCCTTTATTCCTGGAAAAATACAATTAACTATGAACACAGCCAGGATTTCTAAAACCAAAATATTCAGTTATCATAAAACACAAAACCTAATCTAGGAAGTGGTGACTGCAAATACACTTATGAATATAAGTCAAAAGGTCATTTTTGGGTAAAAAATTTTGAAAAGATCTTCATGCCGGGCGTGGTGTCTCACGCCTGTAGTCCCAGCACTTTGGGAGGCTGAGGCGGCAAATCACAAGGTCAGGAGCTCCAGACCATCCTGGCTAACACGGTGAAACCCCGTCTCTACTAAAAATACAAAAAATTAGCCGGGCGTGGTGGCGGGCGCCTGTAGTCCCAGCTACTCGGGAGGCTGAGGCAGGAGAATGGTGTGAACCCGGGAGGCGGAGCTTGCAGTGAGCTGAGATCGCGCCACTGCACTCCAGCCCGGGCGACGGAGCAAGACGCTGTCTCAAAAAAAAAAAAAAAAAAAAAAAAGAAAAGATCTTCATAAAGAAAAAAATAAATGACCAAAGTAAAGTTGGTTTTACAGAAATTATTGAGTCATAGTGTAAAAGCCATTAATGTAGCTTTATAGAAAATGTTTCAGTGGCAAACTCACTCTATCCAGATCACCATGGTTTTACTTCTTCCTTCCTTTAGGGTTCCAAAATGCGTCACCTGTGTAACTTCAATATCACCTTTGTTCTTCAGCAAAATCGTTCCATAGAAATGAGTGGCCTCATGAACAGGGGCGGCGTCTCTGAAAAAAGAGCCCCAGAAAGACATCCCTCTGCAGCAGCACCACCCCTTCCTCGCCTGCCTCCGCTCCTGAGGATAGACTGCTGGTGGGGGCACTCAGAGGACCACCTCACCACAGGCAGGGCTTCCACAGACTTAGGTTTCTAAGGAGGATGGCAAACCCTAAGGAAGAGAACGATGCACTTCATAAAGTCTAGAGAAAAGGGAGCAGCCCAGGGGACAGCCACAGGCAAGGAGTCTGAGAACGGTGTCCTGAACGTGCTCCCCAGCACTCCCCTACCTCCTGCTCAGAGTGCAGGGTTAGGGTGGCATTCTCAGTCCTCTTCTCTCCAGCCAACTCCCAAGGTGGTGGTGGGGGAAGCATGGGCCTTGCCTATTAGGGCTCCACTAAACTTGCTTTGGAAAGAGTTTTGTTGCTTTGAAGTGTTTGAAAACAATGAAATGAGAAGTTTTTCTCTTTAGAAAATGAGAAGATGAGATTTTACCTTTCCCTAAAAATGGACCCACTTACTTCCCCTTCTTCTACTGATGCTACAGGCTTGATTCTCCTCCCTGCCTCTCCACAACCTCTTTCCAGAAGGTAAACCTGCCTCATGCCACTTCCCAGTCCGAAGCACCATTAAAAAAATGGGGTCTCTAGAATGGCTCGCCACACTTCTGGCCCCTGCTGCAAACTCAGTGAGGTTCCCAGCTACAGAGCAGCCCCTCCTGGCGGGTGCCTGTTTGGCTCTTCCTTCTCTGTGTGCCCTGGTGTGACAAGGGAGGTACAGGGGCAGAGAGTCCACAGCGTTGCTGATGGACGGGGTGGGGATTTTGCAGAAAGGAGTCGTCAGATGCGACTGCCCGGTGCGTGGCTCAGCCCCCACAGGAGAAGCTGCGGAGCTCTTGCCACGGGAAGGCTGTGGGGCTGAGTGGAGAGCAGGAGCTCGCTTGGCACATGATCTGTTTCTAGAGTGCAGAGGGGCTGCCCCACCCGGGGCCACGAGCTGAGGAACAGGCACCCCAGCTTCCCTGGCTCACCCACCCCAGCAGCTTCTACTCTGTGGTCAGGAGGCCTCAGTGGGGAAATGCTGTGGGGGCAGAAACAGGTCTTTTTCAAGCATTACTAGCCTAAAGAGAAGGAGAGTGCGGGTTCCGTGCTGTGCTGTCTCCTTAGCGGCCCTAGTGAGTTCCTGAAGACCCCCAGGCCACGCTTCAGGCCCCTGGTTCCTGGGCCTGATGCAAGAATGGGACGCCACAGCTTCTGCCTGGGGATGAGGTCAGAGAACAGACAGGAAGCCTGAGGAGTCCGACTCAGACATAGGGAGGAGGTGCAGGTCTTATTTCCTGGCACCGCCAGGCTCAGCGGACTGGGCTGAAAGCAGAGCTCCTGTGCGTCCCAGGCTTCCGTGGTCAGATGCAGCGGGAGCAGTGCACGTCACATCCACGCCCCACAGGATGGGCCCTAGGCACCCTCCCAAAGGAAAGCGTGGTCCAGTGGGGAGGGGGAACTGGGCTCCGAGCACCCAAACAAGCATCTGCCAGTGGGCCGAAGGGCAAGGCTCCTAGGAGGCTGAGCCCACCAGGCCCTGTCCCATAACACCTCCCACAGCCCCAAGTCCACCCTCCGGCTGCTACCTTACATGGGGTGCACTGCTCCGCACACCCCTGTGGCTCAGTTCACACAGGGCTGTCTGTCTGCACCCAGAGGCCCAGCCAGGCACCAGATATGGGGCTGGAAAGCAGACGCTTTCCCCAAACAGAACCTGCATTCTATCGGGATCAAAAATAAGCAGACTGATGGAGGAGATGTCTCAGAAGCTCACTGGTGGTGAGTGAGGAGTGTGAAAAGAAAATAAAGACTCGGGGCCGGGCGTGGTGGCTCACGCCTGTAATCCCAGCAGTTTGGGAGGCTGAGGTGGGCGGATCATGAGGT
Source organism: Homo sapiens (assembly GCF_000001405.40). Taxonomy (NCBI): domain Eukaryota; kingdom Metazoa; phylum Chordata; class Mammalia; order Primates; family Hominidae; genus Homo; species Homo sapiens. The sequence goes on along the minus strand of NC_000022.11, from coordinate 50,111,733 downwards.
CAGGAGATTGAGACCATCCTGGCTAACACGGTGAAACCCCGTCTCTATTAAAAATACAAAAAATTAGCCAGGCATGGTGGCAGGTGCCTATAGTCCCAGCTACTCAGGAGGCTGAGGTGGGTGAATGGCGTGAACCCAGGAGGTGGAACTTGCAGTGAGCAGAGATCGCGCCACTGCACTCCAACCTGGGTGACGGAGCGAGACTCCATCTCAACGTCTCAAAAAAAAAAAAAAAAAAAAAAAAAAAGCAAAGACAGAGTCGGGACCCCACTCACCATGCCAAAAGGAAAAAACTCAGCCAGAAGCTGTCATGAAAGAAGCTGCCTTTCCTTTGTCCCCAAGCAGAGAGCTACAAGACAAGGTTAAACATCTCCATGTTACCTTCTCTTACATCAAAGTGCTGATTTACACAACCAACTCTCCCTCCCTGTTCCTTTTCCTTTCCTCTTGCAAATGTGTATTCAGTCATGTGACCGCACCCTCTTTCTCCTCCAGCCCACTTTTCTCTTTTAAATATTGAAGGCCTCAAAATCATCTTTGGAAAAAGGCATGAACCACAGATGGTTCCTGTGGATTTGTGGTCCTTTTTCCCAGGCATGTCCTTCACCTTGGCAAAGTGAACTTCTAACTTGATTGAGACCTGTCTCACATACCTTTTGGTTACAGGAGGAAAGGCAGGCAGGGAGGGGGTGGGTCAGAGCTGGGGCTGCCCCACAAGTAGGGAGCTCAGGGAAGCCTCGTCATGGCTAGCACACAAAGAAGAACACAGATACAGGAAATCTAATAATTTTTTTTTTTAATTGGAGATGGAGTCTGGCTCTGTTACCCAGGCTGGAGTGCAGTGGCGTGATCTCTGCTCACTGCAACTTCTGCTTCCCGGGTTCAAGCAATTCTCCTGCCTCAGCCTCCAGAGTAGCTGGGATTAAGGGTGTGCGCTGCCACGCCTGGCTAATTTTTTGTATTTTAGTAGAGATGGGGTTTCACCGTGTTGCCCAGGCTGTTCTCGAACTCCTGAGCTCAGGCAATCCGCCCGCCTTGGCCTCCCAAAGTCCTAGGATTACAGGCGTGAGCCACTGTGGCCAGCCAGAAATCCAATAATTTTAAGAACCAACTACATCCAATGCATTTTTTAAATGCCAAAATGTGAAACAACAAAACAGAAAAATCCACCCAAAACAGCAATCACCAATGTAAGATGAAGGATGAAGAGCGACCCCTAACTCCACCTTCAGTCAACCATAGAGATGGCTGAAAGCTTCCAAAAGACAGTCTTTTTTTTTTTTTTGAGATGGAGTGTCACTCTGTTGTGCAGGCTGGAGTGCAGTGGCGCGATCTCGGCTCACTGCAAGCTCCGCTTCCTGGGTTCACGCCATTCTCCTGCCTCAGCCTCCCGAGTAGCTGGGACTACAGGCGCCGGCCACCACGCCTGGCTAATTTTTTGTGTTTTTAGTAGAGATGGGGTTTCACCATGTTAGCCAGGATGGTTTCAATCTCCCGACCTTGTGATCCACCCACCTCGGCCTCCCAAAGTGCTGGTATTACGGGCGTGAGCCACCGCGCCCGGCAAGACAGTCTTCTTTTTTTTGAGACAGAGTCTTCCTCTGTCACCCAGGCTGGAGTGCAGTGGTGCAATCTCGCCTCACTGCAACCTCTGCCTCTTGGGTTCAAGTGATTCTCTTGCCTCAGCCTCCCAAGTAGCTGGGATTACAGGTGCCTGCCACCACAACCGGGTAATTTTTGTATTTTTAGTAGAGACAGGGTTTCTTCATATTGGCCAGGCTGGTCTCGAACTCCTGACCTCATGATCTACCCGCCTCAGCATCCCAAAGCGTTGGGATTACAGGCGTGAGCCACCATGACCAGCCTCCTTTTCCTTTCTCTTTTTATTTTTTAAGACAGAGCCTTGCTGTGTTGCCCAGGCTAGAGTGCGGTAGCACGATCACAGCTCGCTGCAGCCTCAAGCTCCTAGGCTCAAGCAATCTTCCTGCTTCAACCTCGTGTGTAGCTGGGACCGGAGGTGCACACCACCATGCTCGGCTAATTTTTTTTTTTTTTTTTTTTTTGAGAAGGAGTCTCGCTCTGTCGCCCAGGCTGGAGTGCAGTGGCGCGATCTCGGCTCACTGCAAGCTCCACCTCCCGGGTTCACGCCATTCTCTTGCCTCAGCCTCCCAAGCAGCCGGGACTACAGGTGCCCGTCACCACGCCCGGCTAATTTTTTGTATTTTTTTAGTAGACACGGGGTTTCACCGTGTTAGCCAGGATGGTCTCGATCCCCTGACCTCATGATTCACCCGCCTCGGCCTCCCAGAGTGCTGAGATTACAGGCGTGAGCCACCGTGCCCGGCCTCGCTTGGCTAATTTTTTAATGTTTTGTAGAGATGGGGTCTCACTATGTTGCCCAGGCTGGTCTCAAATTCCTGGGCTCAGGCAATTCTCCTGCCACGGCCTCCTGAAGTGCTAGGGATGCTCTCCTCTTACCCCAACAACTCAGGGCTTGAAATGTCTACTATTTGGCTTATTAAAGTAACTCTTCAAAATATACTTATATGGGGCCTTTCACATCCCAAAGAAGAAAAGCGTTTTCTTTTTTTGAGACGGAGTTTTACTTGTCGCCCAGGCCTGAGTGCAGTGGCGCAATCTCAGCTCACTGCAACCTCTGCCTCTCAGGTTCAAGCAATTTTCCTGCCTCAGCCTCCCGAGTAGCTGGGATTACAGGCGAGCACCACCACGCCCAGCTAATTTTGTACTTTTAGTAGAGACAGAGTTTCACCACGTTGGTCAGGCTGGTCTTGAACTCCCAACCTCAGGTGATCCGTCTGCCTCAGCCTCCCAAAGTGCTAGGATTACAGGCGTTAGCCACCGCACCTGGCCAGAAAAGCATTTTCTTACCGCCTCTTCACTAGGGTCATACAAAGTGCCCTCCAGACATAGCATGACTGGCTGCTCTCCACCACCACTGCATTGACCACGTCACCTCTCCGGGGTGTGTACCCATCTGGCAGTTTCAAGGAGTCCAAGGTAAAGAAGATGCTTTCCTCTAACACCCCGTTCCTTCCACAGAGGCTAGAGATGCAGACCTGGGAGCAGAGAGCTGAGCGTCACAGGAAGCAGATGCTGCATGACGACAGGGCGCAGCTCTAACACACGCCCAAGTCAGCCCAAAGCACACAAGCTGCACCAGGAAGCTCAAGTCCGCCATCCCGTAGCACTGGTCCAGTGATTCTCCAACACACCTTTCTCCTTAGAACATTTTAGCACTGTTGCATAAGCTACAGACCTTAGAATTCAGGTATGCAAGCACTAGGAGTTATTGTTTCCAAACGAAACACAGCATTGTCAATAGGAAAACACACTCCTCTTTGGCCATGACAAAGCTTTATTTTTCCAGGCTTCCAACACATGCAGGAGAAGCCTGGGCCGTGCAAGTTACCCCTGATGGCAGGTCTGCCAGAAGCACAGAGAGGAGCCACTAGTCGGCACGCTACCTTGTCCACGCGCTTGTATCTCAGTGGCTTCACTGAGGTGGCTTCGCTGCTCCACGTGCCAGGCCGGATCCGGTACTCAGCCTCCACCCAGTCTCCCTTGCAGGGCTCGAAGCCTAAAACCGCCAGGAAAAAAGCCATGGTAGTGTTAAAGTGCACAAGTTATTCTGAGGTCATGGTGCACTGAAATCATTTCTATCATACCTGAGGATACATTTGAACATTTAAAAGGCACTTTCTACTACTGTGAGAAACATATTTTCGAATAAAAAACCCTGAAGTATTATTATTAACCACTGCAATAAAATGAGCTGAGCTGGAGCCTCTCACTCACACCTCCAGGCTCTAGAAGGTGCAGTGTGCATGCTCGTGGCAGTCCCTCCTCGTGTGGCACATCTGAGGGCAGGTGGCATCCCCCTTCCCCCGTCCTGCAGTGTTTGTGGCACCTCCCTGTCAGGGACACACACACGGTGTTCGGGAACAGAGAGACACCTGAACTCAGGTGTGAGGGAAGCACTCAGTGGTCCAGCCAGCCCCTCAGTGTGCCAGAGAGCTGTGCTGTGGTCCAAGCCATGGCCTGCCGGACGCAAGACACCGCTGGGCCTCCCGCAGCTGGTGGAAAACTGCAGGTTCAGTGACATGAAGTGGCTGAGTGGTGCTGACAGAACAGAGAGATGGTCTGCACAGGTCTGCCATGGTACAGGTAGTTAAAATCTTTTTGTTATTTTGCAATAAGCACTCTGGAAGCTCAAAAAAAAAAAAGTGTATAATTGAATACTGAGTTTGTGTCTCCAGAAAGCTGGTGATGAACACGTAACAGCACAAATAGCAGCTGACACCTACATTCGACATGTGAGCCATGGTGAAATCACTGTCTATGTGAAAACAGAGGCCAAGCGCGGTGGCTCACGCCTGTAATCCCAGCACTTTGGGAGGCCGAGGCGGGTGGATCACGAGGTCAGGAGATCGAGACCACGGTGAAACCCCGTCTCTACTAAAAATACAAAAAATTAGCTGGGAGCGGTGGTAGGCGCCTGTAGTCCCAGCTACTCGGGAGGCTGAGGCAGGAGAATGGCGTGAACCCGGGAGGTGGAGTTTGCAGTGAGCTGAGATCACGCCACTGCACTCCAGCCTGGGTGACACAGCGAGACACCGTCTCAAAAAAAAAGAAAAGAAAGAAAACAGAAGACACTAAAATATGCTAGGGCACTGACTTCAAGGTCAGGGAGTATTTTAAGAAGACCATGTCCTGGCCGGGCATGGTGGCTCACGCCTGTAATCCCAGCACTTTGGGAGGCCGAGGCGGGTGGATCATGAGGTCAGGAGATTGAGACCATCCTGGTTAACACAGTGAAACCCCGTCTCTACTAAAAATACAAAAAATTAGCCAGGCGTGGTGGCAGGCGCCTGTGGTCCCAGCTACTCGGGAGGCTGAGGCAGGAGAATGGCATGAACCCGGGAGGCAGAGCTTACAGTGAGCCGAGATTGAGCCACTGCACTCCAGCCTAGGCAACAGAGCGAGATTCCGTCTCAAAAAAAAAAAAAAAAAAAAGACCATGTCCTAAAACCACAATTTAATACGTGCAACTCTGGAGACACATTTATACAGCGTTTTGTAAACCATGCCTTCATTTATTCCACAATTAACAGAATTTTGCCAATTTTTATTCTCAATTTCCCTGGACATAAATGAAAAGTGAAGCAATAGCTATTAATGTACTAGTTCTATACGTTGTACAGTTACTTTAAAGAAAAAAAAAGTTAAATTCAATTAATTTTTTTTTCCAGCAGAATCATGGAATCATAGTAAAGATTTCTAGCACTTTGTGAGGCTGAGGTGGGAAGATCACTTGAGCCCAGGAGTTTGAGACCAGCCTGGGCAACACAGTAAGATCCCATCTCTAAAAAAAAAAAAAAAAAAAAAAAGAATTAGTTGGGGTGTGGTGGCATGAGCCTGAAGTCCCAGCTACTCACGAGGCTAAGGTGGGATGACTTAAGCCCAGGAATTCCAGGCTGCAGTGAGCTACAATTGTGCCACTGCACTCCAGCCTGGGTGACAGAGCAAGACCCCGTCTCTAAAAAACAAAAACAAGCAAACAAAAGTAAAGATTTCAGAAGACCTTTCTATTGAAGGAGAAATATTTGACATTATGGTGAATGCCATTGTAAATTAAGTTTAGAAATTCAACACTGGAGATAAAAATATATGTTTCTACAGTGATAACAGGATGTTAACGGAGTAAAGCACCACAGTACAAATCAGACCCTGCAGGTCAGGAAGCTGAGACAGCAGAAATGCACTCAGATGGCTATAGCGCACACGTGATCCTCCAGACATGCAGCCAGCTGGAAGACAAGCACGTACAAGTTCCTGAACTTCTATGACATACATACATGCACAACTCCTGTGACAAAGCTCATGACAACGAAACACACACACGGACACTGGGGGCTGGCAGCCCTCATTTTCTCTTTGCTGCTCCCCCAACCTGGATTTTACAAATGCTGGAACCTGAGGAACCGTTCTGTAAATCAACCAAAAGGTCCTGTGATGATGCTCCTTTTACTTTCTTTTTAAGTGAGATCTCTAAATTTTGGTTTTACTTTTTTCAAGTCAGCAGAAAATCTTTATTTAATACATGTAGAACCCCAAATCTTCAGCTTTTGATAACTTTTGCAAATTGTAGTTATTGAAAATAAAGCTGATGAGCAGGAACATGGAAAAACAATGGAGGAAATAATGAGGCCTCAGGAGCCCAAATGGAGTCCACAGATGAATGCTCAAATTCTAAGACTGGACTTGAGAATATGCCAAACTTTCAAAAGAATCTTTCGATGAAGCCCTTTCTTAAACTGGACAAGCTGACATTGTGTAAGGGCATGAATGGCCCTGAGACGCTGAGAAGGCCTACACATGAAAAGAATGACAGAGACAACTTACTTGATGAATGTCAGCTTGTAAAAATGTTTGAACACTTATGGGCTCTGAATTGATGCAAAAAGACAGTACCTATGAAAACATCTGGGCTGGAACAGTAATATATTTCAATAGAAAAAAATACAGAATTGTCAACATCTTACATTTTACAGATTTTGCTTTGAGTTTACTAATATTTCCTCAATTAAAAACACTGTGGCTCAAGAACAGCCTGGGCAATGCGGTGAAACCCTGTCTCTACAAGAAACACAAACATTAGCTGGGCATGGAAGTGCATGTATGTAGTCCCAGCTACTAGGGAGGCTGAGGTGGGAGGACTGCTTGAGCCCACGAGGTTGAGGCTGCAATGAGCTATGACTGAGCCACTGCATTCCAGCCTGGATGACAGAGGGAGACTCTGTCTTTAAAAAAAAAAAAAAAAAGAAGGCTCAATCAAAGGTGTTTACAATTTCAATTTCAAATTCATCAACCATAAAATGCAACTTTGAAGACGACACCACGCAATTATAGAAATAATAAGAGTAAGATCATATTGCAAAATATACATTTTTCGGAAAAATACATCTTAGATGCTAAGATATTAAAGTATGTTAATATGTACCAAGAATATAATGTCCAGATAACCAATATGACATTTTTTAATATACTCACCTTTTTTTAATAGTTTCTGAAAAATACTTCTTTAAAAGTCCACTAATATAATAAAATCACTCTGTTAACCAATACATAGATATTTCAAAAATGATCTAATTTTAATTCTGACATCCCCTTTCCTTCTCAAACGTGTACCAGTTTGGAGGCTAAACCACATGGTCATCCTGGCTGTAGCTCCGGCTGTGAGGGGCCGTGGCCTCATGGGAAGGACAGACGCCTCCAAAGGGCACCAGGCAGGGAGTGCCCCTCCCAAACTCACTCCCCTGACCCCTGTGCCAATTTCTGCTAGTGCTTTCCACAAGCACCAAGAACAAGGCTGGACAGTCCACACAGGGCAGGCTGGGGGAGAGTAGACAGAAGGCACCGGACTGTGGCCTGTTAGAAACCAAGCTGCACAGCAGGAAGTGAGCTGGGGATAACAAGCAAAGTTTCATCTATATTTGCAGCCACTCCCCATTGCTCACATTACAGCCTGAGCGCCACCTCCTATCAGATCAGCAGGGGTAGTAGATTCTCATAGGAGCTGGAACCCTATTGTGAACCGTGCATGCGAGGGATCTAGGTTGCGTGCTCCTTATGAGAATCTAATGCCTGACGATCTGTCACTGTCTCCCATCACCCCCAGATGGGACCATCTAGTTCTGGGAAAACAAGCTCAGGGCTCCCACTGATTCCATGTTATGGTGAGTTGTATAATTATTTCCTTATAAATTACAACATAATAATAATAGAAATAAAGTGCACAATAAATGTAATGCACTGAAATCATCCCAAAACTATCCTCCCTCCCTGGTCTGTGGAAAAAATTATCTTTCACAAAACTGGTCCCTGGTGCCAAAGAGTTTGGGGACTGCTGCTCTAAGTGGATGCACAAACTGGTATAACTTGAAAATAATGAAATCACCTGATGTGTGACCCAGCTGGGTGCTGCGGCCACACGGACTACAATAAGAACCTGTGAAACCTTGATCTCACCATAGACTACTCAGTGCTCAACTGGGAATGAAGAGGGCCGGGACAGAGCCACCACATGCTCGCAGCTCAGACCCCACCTTCAGGCCAGTGGATCCTACCTGGGGGCTATTCTGTCCTCAGGGGCCATTTGATGGCATCTGGACATGCTCTAGGTTGTCATAACATGGCCAGGGTAGGATGCAGCTAAACAGCCTCCAGTGCCCAAGACAAGCCCCACCACAGAGAGTGCTTCAGCCTAGATGTTGGAGCGCTGAGGATGAGAAACTGTGCTTCAGCTAAATGTCCAATTCAATTTTAGCTGCCTTCATCCAAATGGCAGAGGGTTTACCAGACATTCGTGTATAAAACAACCTGAGCCCCACCACTGATGTTAAGAATTCCCATCTCACATGTGTTGTCTACAAACCTCAGGAGCAGGCCAGGGCTGGGGGACAGTGCTGTTCAAACATGCACAAGCACGGTCTCTTCCTCCAGTCACGTGCCCCAGCACGCTGTCCACATTTGCTCCCTCCCACGCTACAACCACGTGTTCCCCTCTGCTGCCCTCGTGTGTCAGACCTCACCTAGGTAACCTCAGAGGGTTGTGTTTAGGACAGAACCTGACCCAGGCCGGCTGGCATTACCTGGACCCTCCTCCCGCCACACCTGTGACCCGCTCAGCTCTGCCCTAGCCTCAAGGCTACACGCAGGAAGGAACTCCAAACCACCCACTCTAGTCCTCTGACACGACCCTGGACAGTTGCTGCAGAGCAGAAGATGTTAATTACTTTTTCTTTTTTTTTTTGAGAAGGAGTTTTGCTCTGTCGCCCAGGCTGGAGTGCAGTGGTGTGATCTTGGCTCACCGCAACCTCTGCCTCCCAGGTTCAAGCGATTCTCCTGCCTTAGCCTCCAGAGTAGCTGGGATTACAGGCATGCACCACCACGCCCAGCTAATTTTGTATTTTTAGTAGAGACGGGGTTTCTCCATGTTGGTCAGGCTGGTCTCCAACTCCCAACCTCAGGTGATCCGCCCGCCTCAGCCTCCCAAAGTGCTGGGATGACAGGTGTGAGCCACTGTGCCAGGCCTGATGCTAATTATTTTCTTTGTTCACTTGCTTACTGTCTGTTCTCTCAAAATGCGAATTCTCTGAAGCAGTGTCTAGCACAGCAAGCACTCTAATAATTTGTTGAATTAACGTCAAGAAGGAAACAGCATCTTCTGACTCTCCCACAAGCAAATGAAAAATTTAGCATAATTCTTCCTTTTGCCACCTTTAGGTCAGAAGTTATAAATAAAGTTTTATGAGGACACAGCCGCACCTTTTGCTCATGTACAGCTATGTCTGCTTTCAGCTACGTGGTACGACCATCCTGTGGGGAGGAGCTTTGAAGGAGACGGTGCTTGACCGGTTTGCTGATCTCATTAGATACTCTGTATCAGCCTTTTTGCACATTGTATTTTCTCTTTCAAAAAAGTTCTTTTGCTGTGGTCCTTAGGTTTTGTGATTGTGTTCACAGCAATTCTGACATGTCTGAGTGTGACTCTCTCAGCCTCAAGAGGACCTGACTTTGCCTCACTTGAGGTTTTTTATACTGGGAAATCCCTTGGCCTGGGCTCCGGATCCCTGCCCATCTTTATTACTCAGGGGACACCTTCTCTTCTCTGCCCCATCAACATCTGCAACATCAAACATTTCTGGTTTTCTTCCTCTTGAGCCATTTCCTGGCGACACCCCTGAGAGGGGCTTCCTGTTAGCAGGGTTGAGGGGCCTCCATGATTATAGGCGCCTTTCCCCAGAACTGAGCGTTTCTCTGGCAGCACAGAGATTCTAAAATCCCAATAGACACCTATCAATTTCATCTTGGGGATCCCAGGGTTAACAACCAAGGTCAAGGCTGGGCACAGTGGTTCATGCCTATAATCCCAGCACTTTGGGAGGCCGAGGTGGGTGAATCACCTGAGGTCAAGAGTTCGAGACCAGCCTGACCAACATGGCGAAACCCCGTGTCTACTAAAAATACAAAAATTAGCCAGGTGTGGTGGCACACAGCTGTAGTCCCAGCTACTCAGGAAGCTGAGGCAAGAGAATTGCTTGAATCCAGGAGGTGGAGGTTACAGTGAGCCACCACTGCACTCGAGCCTGGGCAACAAGAGCGAAACTCTGTCTCAAACAAAGAAAAAAAAAACAAAACCCACAAAAGGTCAGGCGCAGTGGCTCATGCCTGTAATCCCAGCACTTTGGCAGGTGGATCACAAGGTCAGGAGATCGAGACCATCCTGGCTAACACATTGAAACCCCGTCTCTACTAAAAATACAAAAAATTAGCCAGGTGTGGTGGCGGGCACCTGTAGTCCCAGCTATTCAGGAGGCTGAGGCAGGAGAATGGCATGAACCTGGAAGGCGGAGCTTGAAGTAAGCCAAGATTGTGCTACTGTACTCCAGCCTGGGAAACAGAGGAAGATTCCGTCTCAAAACAAAAACAAAAACACACATACACATAAAAACCAAGGTGAAAAAGAGTGAGACAGCAGCTTCCTGGTGGGCAGAGCTACCCCCCAGACCTCCCACCCCCCAGCTTAAAGCAGAAAACTTCTATTCATCTTCCAACAGGCAGTGCTGTGGGCTGTGCAAATGGACTTCAGCTCAGAAGCCACTTCCCCAGGCAGCTTTTCCAATTCCTGCCCTACCACAATGTATGCACAGGTCTGTTTCTCCTGGGAAAGAAGAAACAGACCTGAGTATGGAGTCCAGCTCCGTCTTCACCACCATAGGCAGCAGGAGTAGAGTAAACCGCTGCTGAGTTCAGCTCAGTCAATGACATCGACATATTCTTTCTTTAGGTATAAAAACAAATCCTTTGATCAGCCAAAAACAAATGCAATAAAAAATGGATATATAAAGCCGGGAGTGGTGGCTCACGCCTGTAATCCCAGCACTTTGGGAGGCCAAGGCGGGCAGATCACAAGGTCAGGAGTTCAAGACCAGACTGGCCAACATGGTGAAACCCTGTCTCTACTAAAGACACAAAAAGTTAGCCTGCTGTGGTGGTGGGCACCTGTAGTCTCAGGAGGCTGAGGCAGGAGAATCGCCTGAACCCAGGAGGCGGAGGTTGCAGTAAGCTGAGATCGTGCCACTGCACTCCAGCCTGGGCGACAGGGTGAGACTCCATCTCAAAAAAAAGAAAGAAAGAAAGAAAGAAAAAGGATATATACTTTAGGAAACGTACAATGTCATCCCCAAGCCCTATTTTAAAACATCTAAAGTACTTTAAATAGTACCTCAGCATGCCAGTAACACTAACTTAGATCATAACACTATAATTATATGGAAGCAACAACTACCCAGAAATTACTGACTGCATTTAACAAATGAACACAAAACACATAAAAGCACAAGTTTAAACAGTGACCTGGCTGGGTGTGGTGGCTCATGCCTGTAATCCCAGCACTTTAGGAGGCCGAGGCAGGTGGATCACCTAAGGTCAAGAGTTCGAGACCAGCCCGGCCAACCTGATGAAACCCCATCTTTACTAAAAATACAAAAAATTAGCTGGGCATGGTGGTGCACACCTGTAATCCCAGCTACTCAGGAGGCTGAGGCAGGAGAATCAATCAAACCCAGGAAGCAGAGGTTGCAGTGAGCTGAGATCATACCACTGCACTCCAGCCTGGGCAACAGAGTGAGACTCCATCTCGAAAAACAAAAACAAAAACAAAAACAAAAAAAACAAAACAGTGACCTGGTGCCCTCTCCCATAGTCCACTCAATATCCAAGAGCCTCTGTGTGAAGCCAGCACCTGGAGAAGCTACTCTAATCCCGAAACCCTCTCAACAAACAAAGCATGCCCAAAACTGATCCCTTCAATGTTGTGTGTAGCCATCACAAATATAGACACAGGGTTGTGTTCTGTCACCCAGGCTGGAGTGTAGTGGCTGGATCATAGCTCACTGCAGCCTCCAACTCCTGGGCTCAAGCGATCCTCCTGTCTCAGCCTGACAAAGTGCTGGGATTATAGGCATGAGCCACCGTGCCTGGTCCATAACAATTCTTTAAAAGACAAAACCTAATTTTCAATGTGGAACACAGACCCCTGAGCATACCTTCGCACACACTCTCCAGAGAGAAGTAGGTGGTCTGACTGATACAGCCTGCGCCCTCCACCAGGGAAGTCACACAGCCAATCAACACTCGGGGGCCGCAGTCTGAGGGACTCCCATGGTTTCTGCTGTCGTCTTCCCACTTATCAGAGACAGCTTCTACCTGTAAAACAAACACACCGCTCTAAACCATAATACGAGAACTACAAGAAAAGCAAACTACAGGCTGGCATGCCTGTCTGAGACCATTAGGGCTGCAAGTCCAAGATCAAGGCCCTGGCAGATTCCGGGTCTGGTGAGGGCCTTCTTCCTGGTATACCGTCGGTGTCTTCCTGCTGTGTCCTCACATGGCAGAAAGGGCAAAGGGGTTCTCTGGGGTATGTTTCATAAGGGCTCTGCCCTTGTGACCCAGTCACCCACCAAAGCCTCCTAATAAGATTCCACTGGGGTCAGGATTTCAACATACGTATTTTGGGGGACACCAACATTGAGTCTATAGCAATCCCTTATGAACACTGATGCAAAAATCCTCAATGAAATATTATCAAACCAAATGCAGCAGCATATTAAAAGGATTATACCCCATGACTAAGTGGGGTTTATCCCAGAATGCAAAAGTGTTTCAACATATGAAAATCAGTCAACATATTACATTGATAAGATGAGGGAAAAAATCACGATGATCTCAACTGATGCACAAAAAGCATTTGACAAAATCAACACTTTTTATGATGCAAACACTCAATAAACTAGGAATCGCAGGAAATCTCTTCAACACGAGAAAGGCCATAAACAAAAATCTCACAACAAACACCACACTCAATGGTGAAAGGCCGAAAGCTTTCCCCTAAGATCAGGAACCAGGCAAGGATGCCCATGCTTACTTCAAGACTTTCAAATTTCAATTATCTTTATTCACAGATGGTAGGATCTCATCTGTGGAAAACTCTAAAGATTCCACACACGTAAATGAAACAAAAAATGGTTAGAGCTAATAAATGAATCCAGCACAGGACACAAAGTCAACATACAAAAATCAGATTTCCATACATTTGCAATGAAAAATCCAAAAAGGAAATCAAGAAAAATGATCCAAAGAAAGGGAAAACAATTCCATTTATAACAGCACTGTTAGGTTAATAGGTTAATTCCTCAGAACACTTAGTAACCTAACTAAGGAGATGGAAGACACGTAAAATGACACTAATGAATGAATTAAATACCTCAATAAACAGCAAGACAACCGCGTTCATGAATTGGAAAACCTAATATTATTAAAATGACAATCTTAAGACTTAATTATTAAGATGATAATACTACTCAAAGTGATTATGTGATTATTAAGATGTTAATCTTAATAATTATTATTAAGATGTTAATCTTAATACTTAATTATTATTAAGATGACAATCTTAGACTTAATTATTAAGATGACAATACTACCCAAAGTGATCTATTACACAAATTCAGGTTGGGTGTGGTAGCTCATGCCTGTAATTCCAGCACTTTGGGAGGTTGAGGCAGGTGGATCACTTGAGGTCAGGAGTTCAAGACCAGCCTGGTCAACATGGTGAAACCCCATCTCTACTAAAAATACAAAAAAAATTAGCTGGGTGTAGTGGCAAGCACCTGCAGTCCCAGCTACTTGGGAGGCTGAGGCATGAGAATTGCTTGAACCAGGGAGGCGGAGGTTGCAATGAGTCAATATCACATCATTGCACTCCATCCTGGGTGACAGAGCAAGACTCTGTCTCAAACAAACAACAAAAAAACCCAACAAATGCAACGCAATCCCTATCAAAGTCCTATGGGTCTATTTTTATATAAATAGAAAAACTCATCTAAAATTCTAATGGAATCTCAAGGGACCATGAATAGGCAAAATGGTCTTGAAAAGGAGTAACAAAATTGAAGGTTTCATACCTCCTGATTTCAAAACTTCCTACAAAGTTACAGTCATCAAACTAGTGTGGCACCAGTGTAAGGACAGAAATATAAACCAATGGAATAGTAAAGAGACCCAGAAATAAACCCTTGCATGTGCAGTCAATTGATTTTTGACAAGGACCATTCAATAAACTGCAATTGTGCAGTCTCAAAAAAAAATAGTGCTGGGAAAATAACCATGGGCAAAATAATAAAGTTAGACTCTCGTTTTACACCAAACACAAAAATTAACTCAAAATGGATTAAAGAGGCCAGGCGTGGTGGCTTACCCCTATAATCTCAGCATTTGGAAAGGCGTGGGATGGGCGGATCACTTGAGCCCAGGAGTTCGAGACCAGCCTGGGCAACATAGAGAGGCCCCATCTCTACAAAAAATACAAAAATTGGGTGAGGCAGCACACACCTGTAGTCCCAGCTGCTCAGGTGGCTAAGGTGGAAGGATCACTTCAGCCTGGGAGGTTGAGGCTGCAGTGAGCTGTGACTGTGCTGCTGCACTCCAGCCTGGGCAACAAAGTGAGATCCTGTCTCAAAAAATTTTTTTTAATGAATCAAAGACTTTAATTTAAAAGCAAAAACTATAAAACTCTTGGTAGAAAAAAATCTTCATAATCTTGGATTAGTCAATGGTATCTTGAGTGTGACATCAGAAGTACATGCAATAAAAGAGACAAATTAGACTTCCACCAAAATTTAAAACATCTGTGCATCAAAGGATACCATGAAGAAAGTGAAAAGACAATTGATAAAATGAGAGAAAGTATTTGCAAATCATGTATGTGATGAGAGATTAATATCCAGAATATATAAAGAATTCCTACTACAAGAAAACAACCTAATTTCAAAACGGGCAAAGGATTTGAGTAGATATTTCTCCAAAGAAGATATATAGATGGCCAATAAGCACATGAAAAGATGCCCTCACAAATCATTAGGGAAATGCAAATCAAAACCACAGTGAGATACTACCTCACAACTACGAGGAATAGCTACTGTCAAAAGAAAAAAAAAGAAAAAGAAAATAGCAAGTGTTGGCAAGGATACAGAAAAAGTGGCAGCCTCATGCACTGTTGGTGGGAACATATAACGGTGCAGCTGCTGTGGAAAACATCTGGTTCCTCACAAAGTTAAACCTAGACTTACCATACAGCCCAGCAATTCTCTTCCTAGGCGTAGCCCCAAAAGAACTGAACAAGGACTCAGACAGACTTGTTCATGGCAGCACAATTCACAACAACCAAAAAGTAGAAACAACCCAAGTGTCCATCAACAGATGAATGGAGAAACAAAATGTGATTTATTCACACAATGGAATATTCAGCCATAAAAAAGGAATTAACTTTTGATACATGCTACATGGGCAAATCTTGAAAACAGAAGTCAAATAGCCAGACACATGATTCCGCTTATATGAGGTATTTAGAATGGGCAAATTCATAGAGACATAAAGTAGAACACTGAATAACTGTTTAATGGGTACAGAGTGTCTACTGGGATGCTGAAAAAGTGCTGAAGACAGATTGTGGTGATGGCTGCGCAACAATGTGAACGTGCTTAATGCCACTGAACCGTACATTTCAATATGGTTAAAATGGTATATTACGCATATTTTACCACAAGAAAAATATCTAAATAAAAAATAAATCCAGAAGTACATTCAGGTTTATACCAAATGGGGATCATTCCCATCAAGTGAGAACGGCTCACAACACAGAAACTGTATTTTCCACCATATTAATAGCAAAGGGACAGAAACTATGGGATCATTTGGAAGATACTGAAAAGTACTTGAAAAATCCATTACTAATTTATAAAAGCAAGATTGTGAGTAGAGATGAACCCTCTTCACCATAACAAAAAAGGTCCTGCATTCCTTACAAGATGGAA
Source organism: Homo sapiens (assembly GCF_000001405.40). Taxonomy (NCBI): domain Eukaryota; kingdom Metazoa; phylum Chordata; class Mammalia; order Primates; family Hominidae; genus Homo; species Homo sapiens. Next base: position 50,095,774 of record NC_000022.11, on the reverse strand, counting down.
CAAGTGAAGGGCAGCTGACCACCAAGAGGGCTGGGATTTGCTGGACACCCAGGGGCCAGTTTTTCCACATTGTCACATTTCTGAGATCAGAATGAGTCTCACAACCTACGTTTCCATTTTAAATTTTCATTATCAAATTAATGGTGTATCTTAAAATCAACGGGAATTTGGTATGAGAACCTGCTTTGGAAGGCCGCGTGTGAGTACACGACCACAGCTCAGAGAATGAGGTAAACATCATCTCTACAGGTTCTGGGTTCCAGATCCTCTTTCAAAGATTCTGAACCCAGAGTACTCCTTTAAATACACACAAAAACATGAGGACTATCGTATAATTTCAAGTTCAAAAGGAAATCTTTGGAGGAAAAAATATAATTAAATAATTGGGAGAGGAAAAGAGGGTAGTGTGAATGAGCCAGTTGTACATCTCTGATGATGGAAGTCCATAAATACTAACATTGGTGAATTAATAAAAGATACAAGCATATTGTTTAAGTGACTCAACTATCTACCAGATAAGGTAGAAACAGAAACCCAGAAGAGCATCAGGTCTGCAGCATGAAAGTGCAGGTGGGGAACGTGGAGGGAGGCTCTTCTACTTTGCATTCACAGTCTCTAAGCCAGAGCTGACAGAAATGTTCTCTATGTGTGCTGCCCAATTTGGTAGTCACTAGGCTTCAGTTAGCACTTGAAATGTGGCCAGGGAAACTGAGGAAACACTTTTATTTATTTATTTTTAAGAGACAGGGTCTCTATGTGCCCAGGCTGGTCTCGAACTCCCGCCTCAGCCTCCCGAGTGCTGGGACTCCAGGTTTATGCCACCGCGCCTGGCTGTAAGTTGCATTTAGTTTTAATAAATCGAAACTGCTGCACATGAGTGGTGGCTACCATATTGAATGATGGAATTCTAGACTTTGAATTATTTTATTGGGTATGCTTTTTTTTTAATTTGAGAAAGATGATACTAAGCATTAGATGGTACTAACTATAATAGTATAATAAAGTACATCTCAAGTATTTTTAAAAAGTAGTTAATAGCTCAATACGTTTGCCAGATTCCAAATTACATTTAAAAATCGCTGGGCATGGTGGCTCATGCCTGTAATCCCGGCACTTTGGGAGGCCGAGGTGGCGGATCACGAGGTCAGGAGATCGAGACCATCCTGGCTAACACAGTGAAACCCCATCTCTACTAAAAATACAAAAAATTAGCTGGGCGTGGTGGCAGGCGCCTGTAGTCCCAGCTACTCTGGAGGCTGAGGCAGGAGAATGGTGTGAACCCAGAAGATGGAGCTTGCAGTGAGCCAAGATCATGCCACTGCACTCCAGCCTGGGTGACAGAGCGAGACTCCGTCTCAAAAAAAAAAAAAAAAAATTGAAAGCTTTCCCATACAGGAAGAAAAAGATTAATTTGAAAATACGATGGAAAATGATGTTAATAGAACACATAAAAACTCCTGAAAATAAATTTAGTAAGAAATTTACAGGACCTAAAAGAAGAAAACTATTGAACTATAAAAAGAATACAAAGGAAGGCTTAAATAAATGGACAGACATATGGAAAAGACTCCATATGACCCAAATATCAATTATTCTAAATGAAATGCATAAACTCAGTGCCATCCAAAGCAAATCTGGGCAGAGGGGGAGAAACAAGATTCCAAACTCATCCAGAACATGTGAAGAGCCAGAAAAATACCATATGCTAATAAGAGCAAAGAAGGGAAACCTGCTCACCACCTATCACAGCAACCATGCCATGGGGCCCCCTTACAAGCATCAGGACCACATCACATGCAGGTGGGATTCTGATACATGATTAAGGAATTTTCCAAATCAGCAGGGAAAAAGTGAGCTACTCAGATGACTGGCTAGCCATTAGGAAAGCAATGTCTGGTTCCTTCTCTCAGTCTGTGCACCCAAATAAATTCCAGGCAGGTCAAATATTTAAATATCAACAAACAGGCCAGGCATGGTGGCTCATGCCTGTAATCCCAACACTTTGGGAGGCCGAGGTGGAAGGACCACTCGAGGCCAGGAGTTTCAGATCAGCCTACGCAACACAGTGAGACGCCATTTCTACAAAAAAATTTTAAAAATTAGTCAGGTATGATGGTGTACACCTGTGGTCCCAGTTACTCAGGAGGCTGAGGTGGAAGAATCGCTTGAGCTCAGGAGTTCCAGGCTGCAGTGAACTATAATCGCACTACTATACTCCAGCCTGGGCGACAGCGCAAAGCTCTGTCTCAAAAATTGAAAAAAAAATTCTAATTGTCAATAAACAATTTTCAGAGTAAAATTTGAATATTAGGAATAAGAAGTGGAATAAGCCTCCCTAAGGCTTCTTACAGCATCCAAAAGCTACATGGAAAAGAGGCACACTTAACTACAAAAAATGAAACTATAAAACACAGTCAAAGATGATCCTGGGGAAAATATTCCTAACACTTTCATATAATAATTTTCCTTAAAAAGCTCTGATTTCCCTAATATATAAGCTTTAACAAAAGAAAAAGCTGAACTCAACAAAAATGTGGACAAAGGACCCAAAAATAATTCATAGAAAAAACATGAGGCCGGGCGCGGTGGCTCACACCTGTAATCCTAGCACTTTGGGAGGCTGAGGTGGGCAGATCACGAGGTCAGGAGCTCCAGACCATCCTGGCTAACACGGTGAAACCCCGTCTCTACTAAAAATACAAAAAAATTAACTGGGTGTGGTGGTGGGTGCCTGTAGTCCCAGCTACTCAGGAGGCTGAGGCAGGAGAATGGCGTGAACCCAGGAGGCGGAGCTTGCAGTGAGCTGAGATTGCGTCACTGCACTCCAGCCTGGGCGACAGAGACTCCGTCTCAGAAAAAAACAAAAACAAAAACAAAAAGAAAAAGAAAAGTTACCATACTTAAGGCTTAAGTGCAAATTAAGTGCAGTCTCTCATTCTGCTCCTAAGAGTATAAATTTGTATATTATTGATGTTACTTTGGTGATAACCATTAAATTGTTGAAAAAGCAAGAAAATAATGGATATATAATTGCTATGTTCTCCACAGCATAAATTCATAGGCAAACTTTACTTTCTAAAGTATACATGTCTATGTTGTTTGAATGATTTACAAAGACTGCTGTTTGTTTATTTATTGAGACAGGGTCTTGCTCTGTCATCCAGGCTGGAGTGTGGTAGTGCAATCATAACTCATTGCAGCCTTGACCCTCTGGGCTCAAGCGATCCTCCCGCCTCAGCCTCCCATGTAGCTGGGACTACAGGTATGTGCCACGACACCAGGCTAACTTTTGTGGGTTTTTTTTTTGTAGACACGAGGTTTCACCATGCTGCCCAGGCTGGTCTCTTAACACCTGAGCTCAAGTGATCTGCCTGTCTCAGCCTTCCAAAGTGCTGGGATTACAGGCGTGAGCCACTGTACCCAGTCTATTTTTTAAAACATAAATCATAAAGAGCAAAAGCATCCCCTTGAAGGTACATTCCACTCTTTCTCCCTTGGCCGGGTCATGTCTGATAGATTAAACACAAGGAAAAACAACACAAAGTCCCGTGGCGAAGAAAAACTGTTCCCAAATGAACTCAAACCTTACCCTGATTGCTTTCAGTCCATTGGACACTTTATTTTCTTCCACAACTGCAATCACTTCCTGTCCAACATTCAGAAGCACTCTGCTAGTCACAGCATCACTGGAGAAGTAGATCATATCATCAATCATGCCATAATCGCTGCAGTACCTTGTCACGACACCCCGTACAGTTTTCAGCTTAGTGTCACCTGAGGTAGGTAAACAAAGAAGTTATCTTGGCCATAAAAGCAAGCGTACGCTACAGTGAACCCCACCAGAGAAAGGCAGAGTGCAAAAGCCTCCTTTTTTTGCAGTTCGGAGGCACTGACTCCGAACGGGCTGACTTGAGACAGAGAGAATCCCATCAGAGAGTGCTGTGTCTGGAACGTGGGGTTTGGAGGCAGACAGCCCAGTTTCCTCAGAAGGGCACAGGTAGTGGTTGTGGAGGTGACAGCCCTGACTCCACAACAGACTGCATGGGGTTGACTCCTAGCTCTTCTACTGCCATTGGTGTAACCCTGGACTAGGTCCTTAACTACTCTGGGCCTGTTGCCATCTGTAAGATGGAGACTAATCGTCACTACCCAAGAGAGCTGCTGAAGGGTTAAGTGGCAGAACACACGTGCATGTATGGACCTCTGCGTGGCTGACACGCGTTAAGTGCTATGTAAATGGCCACTTATATCAGCATCTGGGAGTCATTAGCATGCACGGTTTTATTAGTACTATCGATTATCTTTTTATTACCATCAGCAGCAGCCTCGGAAGACTGGAGAATCTCAACAAACACGGTGCTGGAAAAGGTTCGGGGCTGGGCAGACAAGTCTGGCCCAGGAGCAGCGCACGCCCTCAGCCGTCTGGCCACTGCTGCAGCCACGGTCCTGAGTCCTGAACGTGCCTTTACTGCAGCTTCCCAGCCACGGGAGGAACCTGGGGCGACGGTTACAGTACAGGCATAGGATCTGAGCGCTGCCAAGAGCTGGAGCTCCAGCTACCGCTGAGCGCGTGTTCTACCGAAGAGATCCACGGAGCAAGTGCTCCAGGTAACACAGCCGGCCCCCCGGGCATCGGCCCTCGTGGATCCAGAGGCCCTGAACACGCTGCCTGCAGCAGGAAGCTCCCCTCCTGAAGCCTGTTCCTGTCTTTTCTCACAGAAGGCAATTAGGGACCCACTACTGTGGATTCCATTCCCACATAAGGAAACATCGGGAGAAGCCATCAGAACCTCGGGAGAGGTCGGGCGTGGTGGCTCAAGCCTGTAATCCCAGCACTTTGGGAGGCCAAGGTGGGTGGGTCACCTGAGATCAGGAGTTCGAGACCAGCCTGACCAACATGGCGAACCCCCCCTCGACTAAAAATACAAAAATTAGCCGGGCGTGGTGGCGGGTGCCTATAATCCCCGCTGCTCGGGAGGCTGAGGCAGGAGAATCACTTGAACCCAGAAGGCGGAGGTTGCGGTGAGCCGAGATTGCGCCACTGCACTCCAGCCTGGGCAACAAGAGCGAAACTCCGTCTCACACACACACACACACAAACACCTCAGGAGAAAGGAACGGTGAGGGCATCCGGGCGCATCCCGGGCTTTAGAAAGATGGGCTTGAAAACCAGACAAGGAAATGGCACGCCTTGGCGCAGCGCGTTCTGAAAGGACAGGCCAAGTCTGCGGGGCCGCGTTTTTCGGGGCTTTCTAGACACACCACCGCCAATGACGCTGCGGACAGGGAGGAACGACATGGAGAGACGACTTGGCAGCTGCTCGGCGTAAACACACAAAGTGAGGGCGGGAAGAGGGGCTGGTGTCACCGGAGAGACCTCACAGAGGACGGGCGCCCAGAGCGGCGGGATGCTGTGGGGTCGGAAGCCTCCTGAGGCGAACGGGGATCCCCGCCAGCGGAGATGAGGAAAGGCCGGGCCCAGCGTTGCCTGCCGGCCCGCACTGCACTCAAAGACCTATGGGCGCGGCTCCCTCGTGGCCGACACGCGAGGGCCCGGGACCCGCCTCCCAGCCGCCTCCCGCGAGCCACCTTCCGCGAGCTCGGGCTCCAGCTGCCCGGCTTCCTCCCTAGGGGTGTCCGCCGTCCTCCAGAAGAAGGCCACCAGCTTGGCTGCGAGGCTCAGCATGGCCCTCGCCCGGCCTAGGCTGCCGTCACCGCCGCTGCCGCCGCCCGCACGCGCCCGCGCCGCTCCCGCCGCCCGCCACCAATGGGGTCGCCGCGCCTGGGCATGCGCCTTGGGGTCGTTGCGCGAGCCGGGACCCGTAGCGGTCAGAGGTCGGCGGTTGGCGCCTGGCAGCTCCTGACAAGGCGAGGTGCCTGGTGGGAGTGACGTCATGCCGAGCGCGCAAGGCGGTGTGACCGCCGGGTGGGCGGGGCTTCGAGCGGGCGGGCGGGGCCTCGCGTGGGTGGGCGGAGCTTCGAGCGGGTCCGCCTTCTTGCCGCCCACACATTAGGGAAAAGTGCGCTTTCACCACCCAGAGTGATGTTAGGAGTCGTTTTTTGTTGGTGTTTTTTATCAAGTTGAGGAAGTTCCCTCTATTCCTGTTTTTCCAAGAGTTCTTATGAGTGGGTGTGAAATTTTCTGCAACGCTTTTCTGCATGTATTCAAATGATCCTGTAGCTTTTTATTTCAGCCCATAGGGAATTACATTGTTTGGCTCTCCTTGGAAAACTCACTTGGTCACGATTCGTTATCCTTTTGGTGTATTGCCTGACTCAGCTTGGTAACGCTTTGTCCAAGGTTGGGGACGGTGCTGGTGAAGCAGATTGCTCTGTGGCCGACCTCCCGTTTTCTGTGTCTGTCTGGTTTGGGGTCGGTTTAAGCCGGGCCTGCAGTGACCTGGGAGTAGGATGGGGTAACTTATTCCCTAAAAATTGTGGTAGTATTCGCTGGGGAACCCATTTGGGCTTCGAGATTTCTTTGTGGGAAGGTTTTTAATGAGAAATTCACTTCTGCATCAGCTAGAGGGCTATTCAAGTTATCAAGGTAATATTGAATAAACTTTGGTAATTCTTTTAAGGAATTTGTCCATTTCATCCAATTATTAGATGTCAGATTATTGGCATAAAGTTGTTCAGCATATTTCCTTATTATCCTTTTAACGTCTGTATGGTCCATAATGATGAGCCATCTTTCATTCTTGACATAGGTAATTTATCTCATCCCTCTCATTTTCCTTGATCAGTCTATATTTATCAATTTTATTGAGTTTTTAAAAAAAATCATCCCTTGATTTCATTGATTTTTCTCTATTTTAAAAATATCTTTACACTTTGCGAGGCCAAGGTGAGCAGATCACTTGAGGTCAGGAGTTCGAGACCAGCCTGGTCAACCTGCCAAAATCCTGTCTCTACAAAAAAATACAAAAAAAATTAGCCAGGCATGGTGGCGCATGCCTGTAATCCCAACTACTTGGGAGGCTGAAGCAGAAGAATCACTTGAACCCAGGAGGTGGAGGTTGCAGTGAGCTGAGATCACACCACTACACTCCAGCCTGGGAGACAGAGCAAGACTCTGCCTCAAAACAAAAACAAAAACAAAATACGTATATATATCTTTACTATTCCAGTGGTTTCTGTTTTTTATTATTTCTTTTTTTTTTTTTTTGAGATGGAGTCCTGCTCCGTCGCCCAGGCTGGAATGCAGTGGCATGATCTTAGCTCACTGTAGCCTCCACCTCCCGGGTTCAAGTGATTCTCCTGCCTCAGCCTCCAGAGCAGCTGGGATTACAGGCGTGCGCCACCACGCTGGCTTTTTTTTTTTTTTTTTTTTTTTTTTTTTTTTGTATTTTTAGTAGCGACAAGGTTTTACCATGTTGGTCAGGCTGGTCTCGAACTTCTGACCCGCAGGTGATCCACCCGCCTTGGCCTCCCGAGTGCTGGGATTACAGGTGTGAGCCACTGCGCCCAGCCCCGACTTATTTTTGATTGACATAGCTTTATTTTCCTAGGTCAGATCTGTCAGTCTGATGACAGCCTGGACCTTGCCTGTCCATGGATGCAGAGTGTACTGATAGTTCTTGCTGTGGGAAGGGAGAGAGTGGCGCACTCCCTAGCATTTCAAATCCCCGCTAAGCCTGTGTCTTGGGCTGGGTGCTGGAACACATACAGGAGCCAGCAGGGTCCCAGGGACCTACTGGTTGGTGGGAGATTAGCTTGGAAACAAGAGCGAGCTGCATGAGGGCTGGTGGCTCATGGGCTCCCTGCCAGGGCAGCTCGCAGCGGGTGCTGTGCCTGCAGGGCTGCCCCTCAGCTCCCCAGCTCGGGCCACTCCCTGGGATTCTGGACTCAGTAGACCCGGCAGATGCCCACAGACATCTCGGCCTCATCATGTCCAGAATGGAACTCCAGATCCTCGCTCCACACCTGCTCCACCCTGGTCTTCTCATCTCTGTCCTCACTGCTCAGACAGAACTCAGCAACGTCGCCCTGACAGCAGATTGCGTCCGCTCTTCAAACCCTGTTCAGAGCCCAGTCCCTCCTCACCACTTGCCCACTGCCACCTCAATGCCAGGCAGCACCTGCTCCTCCCACCCCCCAGCCTGCTCTCCACCCAGTGAGTGACCGGATGCTGCTCTGCCCAGACCCCTCCAGCAGGTCTGTCTCAGAGTTGAAGCAGAGTCGTCTCCATACCCACAGGTGCTGGCACCTGGCTGTCCTACCTGTATCCCCCTTGCATGGTCCTCGCCTGCCTTCCCCAACCTGTGGCCTTTGCTTCAACTCTGCCAGCCTCCCCTCCCTGCCTCCTTCTCACTGAGGCCTGCCCTGGCCCCTGCAAACAGCAGCCCCTCATTTCTCTCCCCTGACTTCTTTTCCCTCATAGAGGAAATCATGTGTGTCACTGGATGCATTAGTCTGTTCTCACGCTGCTATAAGGACATACCCAAGACTGGGTAATTTTAGAGTCAAGTCCTTATAAAGGAAAGAGCTTTAATTGACTCACAGTTCCACAGGGCTGAGGAGGCCTCAGGAAACTTACAATCATGGTGGAAGGGGAAGCAAACATGTCCTTCTTCACAAGGTGGCAGGAAGGAGAAGTCTTGAGCAAAAGCGGGGAAAGCCCCTTATAAAAGACCATCAGATCTCATAAGACCTCACTCATTGTCAGGAGAACAGCAGCATGGGGGTAACCACCCCCATGATTCAATTACCTCCCACCGGGCCCCTTCCACGACATGTAGGAATTATGGGAATTACAATTCAAGATGAGATTTGAGTGGGGACACAGCCAAACCATATCACTGTATAACACACTAATTTGTTTATCCTGTGCACTCCTGTGCCCCCAATGAATGTAAACAGCCTATAGGAAGGACGTCACTTCTTTGTCCACCCCATAAATGTTTGTTGAATGTTGAATGATGATGGGACATCAGCAGGCAGAGGGATGAAGGGCATTTTAGGAGCAAGAATTTGTTGGAAGATTGTATGAAAGAACAGGGCCTGTTCTAGAAACTAGTGTTGCCAACAGAAACTTGGGAGCATTTCTCAAGTGATGACTTATGATCTGGGAAGCTGAGGGATTTGCTCTGCAACCTCTGGTTCAGGGCAGCTTGTTTGTATTTCTAAGTGGAGAGCAACTTTTGAAAGAAAAAAATGTTGAAATCCGATTAACATTTTTTTCCAAACAAAAAGAAACACAGGAGGATTCGATCCAGTTGGACCCACTCCCACTAATCCCGTTTATCGCTTTAAAAGATAGTGAAGTTTGGGAGGTTTCTCAATCCATTAAAATGAGTTCTTGACTTCACAGATTATAGTTTTTGAAAATTATTTCTCATCCTTGCTTGATTGAAATGAAGACAACAGAACATTGGCTGTGGTGGCTGGCACAAAATTAACTAACCCTAAAATACTAGTATAGCTTAAACTTTCGTTTATTGCTAAAAATTTATCACTGCTGTTTCCTGTGGGGGTGAGGTTGAGCAAAGTGTTTTGAGCTGCATTTATGCGTACTTGACACTTACGCATTTTGATCGAGGTGATTTAGTGGGCATTTTCACTGGGACAGGGATGCTTGTATGTGTAATCTTACTAAAAGCTAATAAAAACTTACTAAAAGCTAATAAAAGCTTACTAAAAGCTTCTTGCTTGATTGAAACGAAGACAACAGAACATCCCATGGTCTGGAACCTGATGACTTTGCTCAAGTTTTAATGTGGGTTCATGGTTTAAGGAGCTGGTTTTTCAGAAACTTTAGTTTGAGCCTTTTTACAATGTGCACAAAGAACCCGTTGCTGTAGTTGTCAGGGTGCCAGTGTCTCTGGGCGACACACATTACTGTGGTTTTTCTCTGCTTGGTGAGCAGAGATAAAGGGGGCAGCAGGACCGGGCCCACCAGCCATCCGGGCTGCCCACGCAAACCACAGGGCCGAATCCGGAGCCGCCCAAGGCCACACAGCTAAGCCGAGTGCGTGAATGCTTATGTGACCGTGTGAAGGAGGTTCCCACCGTGTGGCTGTGGGGGATGGAAAAAGGCTACTTGGAAAGATGTAGAAGACCTTCGAGTAAACAGTTACGTTTCAGAAACAGAGCCTGCTCAGAATGTGTACTTGGTGGGATTCTATTCTTAGGGACGCTTCTTTCTTCTGAGAGACCCGAGCTCTGTGGCGAGTGGCACAGGCAGGGCCCCTTCCTTTCCTAGTTGGGTTCTGACAGCTCCGAGGCAGTGGTTTACACAACCAACACGAAACATTTCTACGATCCACCCGATTCCTCCCCTCATTGATATTCAGGAAGCAGCTCTCCTTCCCCTGCCTTCAGCTCAAGTTTGCTGAGCTTTTGTTTCATTTGTGAATACTTCTTGCTGGAAGTCCCTCACCCAGAGACCAGTGCTCCCAACGGCAGAGCAGCGGGGGAGGTAAGTGCTCAGACATTAAGCCGTTGAGTAGAGGCATGTTTTGCAATCTCTCGTTTAGCTACCAATTGGAGCAGTTTAACGTGCTTGAGTCCCCGGCGTGATGTGTTCATGGACGAAGTTGCCGATGGATGTTGTCAGGTGTTGCACCTGGAGGGCCCAGATGGATCAATGAGGCATTTAAAGTGTAGAATCTCACCCTGAACCCAGACTATTCAGGTCCGTTTTTCTAGGAAAGTTATTTCTTTTTCACTTTTAGATTCAAGTGCTCATTTTCTTCTTCAAATTTAGAGCACTTCAGTATGAACAATATTTCTTTTGTTAAAAAATATTTCTTGGAAACAACTTATTGAAGTTTCCTCAGAGTGGCCAAAGCCGATGATAATTTTATTCCAGATAAAGAACTGGTGACACGTGGCTGTACATTCAGCACAGCTGTGGTGTCCCCAAGTGCCATGACCCAGGAGCCATTCAGAGAGGAGCTGGCCTATGACCGGATGCCCACGCTGGAGCGGGGCCGGCAAGACCCCGCCAGCTATGCCCCAGACGCGAAGCCGAGCGACCTGCAGCTGTCGAAGAGACTGCCCCCCTGCTTCAGCCACAAGACGTGGGTCTTCTCTGTGCTGATGGGGGTGAGTAGCTCCACACTAAGCCCTTGGAGGGCCACGAGCATCTGGTCCCTCTGGTGACGGACTGCAGCGCCCTGGAGCCCCAGGTGGGACAGAGAGAGCAACTCTCAGACTAACCCTGCTGCTGCAGAACTCTTGGATGCCGACGAGCTTGTTTTGCTTGTGTTTTCACAATTATTTTTATTAATTTATGGGTGTCTGTTGTGCCAGCCTTGAGCTGCTCCAGGTTGTGGCTTAGTCCCACCAGGGTAGGGACAGTCCCAGGGCCATGAATGGGCCCCAGGAGTCTCCATGACCCTCGGCTCTGGGGGCCCAGGGTCCTCTGAGGGGTCACCTGCAAAGGTGGGAGGAGGCGTCTCAGGCCTTCAGGTCGGCCCTCACAGAGAGAACCTCAGGGACCTCCTCCTCCTAGGGAGGGCCTCAGGGGCCGGCTGGGAGGGAGCTGGGGAACAAAGGAACAGGTCTGGGGTGGACGGGCAGCGCCAGATGTCCGAGGGATTTCCCTGGGGTCCTGGCCATTCCCTGCACAGTCGTGGGCACAGAGATGATTGGAGGAGCCACTTGGGCCTGAGTGTGTGCAGCTGCTCAGAGCCATGCTGCAGGACAGGCCTCTATGCAGGGACCCCCGGTTCCGTGTAGCTTGGGCTGAGAATGAGATCCAGGCTGTGATTTCTCCCCTCCCTGTGCCCTGGCCTCCGCCGGCAGCCCCTGCAGCACCCACAGTGGTCCTGCCCACCTCCCGTGGCCTGAGCATGCCCCACCAAGACAGGCGTCTGCCTCGGAGCTGGGGACAGAGGCGGCTCCCGGGTGGTGGTGGCCATCTCCGGGCTCTGCCCTCCTCCACCTGGTGCCCTGGACTTGGTCGCAGCCCCTCCCCCGCCCAGGCCAGATCCCCTCTGCCCCAGACCTCGCTTCCTCTGCCAGGACCCTGGGTCCCAGTGACCTTTGATACTGACTCCCCTCAGACTCACCCCGGGGGTGCTGTGCGTGAGAGAGAGCCCCCTCCCCACCGCACCCCTGCAGTGCTGTGCGTGAGAGAGAGCACCCTCCCTGCCTCCTGCTAGGGTCTTCCCTGCTCAGGAGCCCCTGGGCCTGGAGCCCCTGCCTGGAGGGATCTTCTTCCAGATCTGGAAATTAGGTTCTGCAGACGGAGGGGGATGGGCAGTTGTTTTCCAGTCTCGTGTCTGGACCTGGGTGTGGGATCTGGAAGACTGCACGCACAACATGTTGGGGCAGGAGTATTTTGTGGGGAGAGGTGCCATTCCTTGCTCTAAATATTGGCAGATCCCCTTTCTTCTCTCCTCCAGATAACAGCGTGGGGGGTCCATGCTCCGACATGGCTGGGGGAGGCTGGTCCATGTCCTGGGCTGCGGCGGGGCTGCGTCTGTCCTACAGGAGGAGTCCAGGATGGGCGGGTCCCAGGTGCGGGTGTGGTTGATGCTGGGGGACGTGGGTGAGTCACCAATACACAGACAGTGAAGCAGAAGTTGAAGGGTCAGGGTCCAGCCTGGGGACGGGGCGCGTTGTAACCTGGGATTCTGTCGCTGTCTTGCAGAGCTGCCTCCTGGTGACCTCGGGGTTTTCGCTGTACCTGGGGAACGTGTTCCCGGCTGAGATGGATTACTTGCGCTGTGCTGCAGGCTCTGTAAGCAGCTTCCTCCACGCCTCTGCCAGTGCCCAAGCTCGCCGGCACGTGCTCTGGTTTCTTTGTTCTGAGATGTGCAGGTTTCTGTCACCTGTACCTCATTCAAACCTCTTCATATGGGCCGGGCACAGTGGCTCATGGCTGTCATGCCAGCACTTTGAGGGGTGGAGGTGGGTGGATCACCTGAGGTCAGGTGTTTGAGACCAGTCTGACCAACATGGACAAACCCCATCTCTACTAAAAATACAAAAATTAGCTGGGCGCGGTGGTGGGTGCCTGTACTCCCAGCTACTCAGGAGGCTGAGGCAGGAGAATCGCTTGAACCTGGGAGGCGGAGGTTGCAGTGAGCCCAGATTGTGCCACTGCACTCCAGCCTGGGCAATGAGAGTGAAACTTCGTCTCAAAACAACAACAACAAGAAAAAAACAAAAAACTCTTCATATGACTTTAGTTTCACGTAGAGTTCATCACCTTTGAGAATTACTGATGAAGCAGGCCTGAACCTTGCTCTGCAGACGCCTGTGCAGGGAATTGCGTGTTGATTCTGAGCCTGCGGCTGCGTCCTGCCAGAGCTGGCAGCATCTGCCCTCAGGGGACTGGGACCTGTGCCCCACATCCTCCCAAAGCTTCATGTTGTGTTTTTAGAAACTTACACAGTGCCAAGGCCGGTGGAGGCACCCACTGATCCTCAGAGCAAGGGAGGACAGACAACCGCTGTCCCCTGGTCCTCTGTGAACCCCGGCCACTGCCTCCCCAGCGTCCCGGCAGCTAGAGCACCATGCTGGCTGACCCCTGGGCTCTGGCCCGCAAGCCATGGACCCCATGCCCCTCTGGCCCGCAAGCCGCGCACCCCATGCCCCTCTGGCCCGCAAGCCGCGGACCCCATGCCCCTCTGGCCCGCAAGCCGCGGACCCCACGCCCCTCCTGCTTCAGCTGGTCCCGAGCTCTCCCCTCCTCTCGCTTCCACATGCCTGCTGGGTCTCTGGCCCCTGCCCTTTCTCTAGGGACACTGTTGGTGACTGTCCCCAGCAGCGCCCCCGAAATGTCTTAAAAACAAAGTGGATGCCCCGCCCCGTGCTGTCCTGGGTCTCTGCTCCCTTAGAACAAAGCCCTTTGGGGCAGGTGACCCGTCCCACTCTGCTGCCCTCTCTGGAAGCTTCTCCGTGGCCTTTATCCTCACCATGGGAGCCGCCCTTGTCCCAGTGGAGCTGTGAGCTGTGCCCCTTCAGCCTCAGCGGCTGCCGGATATGGGCAAGTGCCCACCCCCGCCCAGCCTTGGCCCCACTCGGCCCTGCCCCCGGCCTTTCTTCTCTACCCTGGGCCCTCGTGGCACCTGAGTGGGTGCTGAGCTGAGCCTGGCTGTCCTGGCCCTAGCTCTGCCCCTCGCTCAGGCCCCGACGGGGCTTCTTCTGCCTCCTCACCCAGCACTGCTGTGCTCAGCCCCTCAGGGCCTGCACCCCCGACTCAGGGCCCGGGGTCCCATGGCTGCAGGAGCAAGGCCCTGCACGGCAAGGGCCACAGGCCTGGGCTGGCCCGACTCCATCCACCTCCCTGTCCCTGACGTCCCAACCTCCCTCCCTGGCCCTGGACTCCTAGCCTTGGTGTGGCCCTGTGGGGACAAGAAGGCTGAGGACAAGAAGGCTGTGGGACTCCTTTCTGCCTCCCTCACATGCAGAGTCTTGCTACTTCCTTTGCTCCTTCCTTCCTCTTTCTTTCTTTCTTTTTTTCTTTCTTTCTTTCTTTGACGGAGTCTTGCTCTGTCACACAGGCTGGAGTGCAATGGCGCCGTCTCTGCTCACTGCAACCTCCACCTCCTGGGTTCAAGCAATTCTCCTGCCTCAGCCTCCTGAGTAGCTGGGACTACAGGCACCCGCCACCACGCCCAGCTAATTTTTTTTGTATTTTTAGTAGAGATGGGGTTTCACTATGTTGGCCAGGCTGGTCTCAAACTCCTGACTCTGATCCACCCGCCTCAGCCTCCCAAAGTACTGGGATTACAGGTGTGAGCCACTGCACCAGACCTCCTCTTTCTTTCTTTCTTTCTTTCTTTCTTTCTTTCTTTCTTTCTTTCTTTTTTTGAGACAAGGTCTCACTCTATCACCGAGTATTCACAGCTCACTGCAGCCTCGAACTCCTGGGCTCAAGAGATCCTCCCAGCTCAGCCTCCGGAGTAGTTGGGACTAGAGGTGTGAGCCACTGCACCCGGCTGATACTTTTTCCTTTTTTGGGTAATTTTCAGCAAAGACCAGGTCTTGTGCCTGCGTGAGTTACATTCTAGGCTTCAAAGCTTATCCAGCTAGAAGAGCCTTCATTAACAAATATCTTTTTAGCACATCAGAAAAATAAAAACTTCTTTCAGAATAAATTATTTTGAAGTACCTGGGGGTTGGGCGCAGCGGCTCATGCCTGTAATCGCAGGGCTTTGGGAAGCTGAGGTGAACAGATCATTTGAGCCCAAAGTTAAGATCAGCTTGGGCAACAGAGTGAGACCCCATCTCAAGAAAAAATTAAAACTGAGAAGTACCTGGGGGCCTTCTAGTCAAGCCAACCCACTGTGTTGCATGGACTGGCAACACTGTTTTGTGAATATGATTCAGATCCTTCTGGAAGCGCAAATGTTAGAGTATTTCAGAGTCTCAGTTGCTCAGGTGAGCGGCAGGCTCATGGGATTCCGGTTTCATTCCAGTGCATCCCCTCGGCAATTGTGAGCTTCACCGTCTCCAGGAGGAACGCCAATGTGGTGAGTCTAGCTTGCAGGCAGCCTCTGCCAGGGAGAAAGCCGGAGGGGCTGACAGACAGTGTGCCCATGTGTGCTTGTGTGTGTGCCCACGCACAGACGTTGTGGCACCGAGAGGGGCCCCCGAGGTTGCCCCCCAGACAGTAAAGCTCCTGCCCAGCCCAGCCTTTGCCGCACAGAGGGGAGAGCGGGCTGAGCACGCAGGACTCCCCACCATTATGTCCTAATCAGGATAATTTTTAGTGAATGGCCTGAAGTGTGGTTTATCTGTTACCTTTTTTCTTTTATTATTCAAAGAAGGAAAACCCCTCCTGCCTTGTTTTTCAGATTCCCAACTTTCAGATATTGTTTGTTTCCACGTTTGCTGTGACCACTACGTGTTTAATTTGGTTTGGATGCAAACTAGTCCTGAACCCATCAGCAATAAACGTGAGTTCACACGAGCTTCGCGCAGACGCCTGACACCCACAGCCCCACTCCCACGAATGGTGTCAGCAAATGTTTGTTGAGCTGGAAATAGGTGGTAAATGTTATTCACAGCTCGTGAGTTTGACTAAAGTTGAGAGATTTATGCATCCAAAGAAAATAATTGTCTTTATTGAAGTCTCGTGATTCTGCGGGACAGATTTATTGGTAAACAATGTCTTTTCCAACAGTCCTTAAAAATTAACAGTGACATAATACTATGTTTCATCCAATCTGTGTAAGACAGTTGTTCAATGCACCTCTAAACAAAAATGTGAAATTGTAGGGGGCAGAGGTTGTGGGAGCCGAGATGGCGCCACTGCACTCCAGCCTGGAAGACAGAGCAAGACTCCGTCTCAAAAAAAAAAAAAAAAAAAAAAAGACAAAAATCCCAAAGGAAACCAGGACCTCATCCGAGATACTGCAAGGAGGGCCTCCTGCTTTGTGTGACATGTGGAATGCACTTGATGATTGGGGAAAGCTGGAGGAGGCTTGAGTATGTCCTGGCCACTCTCGTTGGGCAGGAAAAATGAGCAGACACAGGAGGACCCAGTGGGAACACCCACACTGCCTTTTTGTTTTGTTTTGTTTTGTTTTTGAGAAGGAATCTCGCTCTGTCGCCCAGGCTGGAGTGTAGTGGCGCCATCTCGGCTCACTGCAACCTCTACCTCCCGGGTTCAAGCAATTCTCCTGCCTCAGCCTCTGGAGTAGCTGGGATTACAGGCGTGTGCCACCACACTCGGCTAATTTTTGTATTTTTAGTACAGACAAGGTTTCACCATGTTGGCCAGGCTGGCCTTGTACTCCTGACCTCAGGTGATCCATCCACCTCGGCCTCCCATAGTGCTGGGATTACAGGTATGAGCCACCGCGCCCGGCCTGTGACGCTTCTTTATTAAGACGGAGAGCAGATGGGGTGTGGTCCCTGGGTCAGTGGCTTGTATCTGAACTGCTCAGAGGCAAGTTACTCACTGTAGCTGTCGGCTGGCCCTGGGAGGAGCTGTCTCTTCAGGATCAGGAAGGAGCCAGAGGTCAAAGCACCAGAAATACAGAAAATAAAAGACAAGGTTAATGTCACACTTTTCTGAATTTTAGAGTTCTCCTTATGCTTTTGTCTTTTTGATCTGTCATTTTTTTTTTTTTTTGAGACAGTCTCGCTCTGTCGCCCAGACTGGAGTGCAGTGGCTCCATCTCGGCTCACGGCAACCTCCGCCTCTCGGGTTCAAGCAATTCTCCTGTCTCAGCCTCCCGAGTAGCTGGGATTACAGGCGTGCGCCACCGTACCCAGCTGATTTTTGTATTTTTAGTAGACAAGGGGTTTCACCATGTTGGTCAGGCTGGTCTGGAACTCCTGACCTCAGGTGATCCAACCGCCTCGGTCCCCCAAAGTGCTGGGATCACAGGCGTGAGCCGCCTCCCTCTGCCTGATCTGTCAGTTTCTAAGAAAAGTGTTTCAAGTCCTTCCCCACCTCTACTGATATATCTACATCTTCCTGTGGCTCTGTTATGACATCATATATTTCGAGGCTCTGTTTTTAGTTGAATGTGGTTCTGCACTCTTTCTTTTTTAAATGTATTTTAAAAATTGTCAGGCCGGGCGCGGTGGCTCACGCCTGTAATCTCAGCACTTTGGGAGGCCGAGGTGGGCGGAACACCTGAGGTCAGGAGTTCGAGACCAGCCTGACCAACATGGAGAAACCCCTCTCTACTAAAAATACAAAATTAGCCGGGCGTGCTGGTAGGTGCCTGTAACCCCAGCTTACTCGGGAGGCTGAGGCAGGACAATCATTTGAACCCAGGAGGCAGAGGTTGCGGTGAGCCGAGATTGCGCCATTTGCTCTCCAGCCTGGGCAACAAGAGCGAACCTCCGTCTCAAAAAAAAAAAAAAAATTGTCAGACAGCTACACTGACTTTTTAAAATGTATGCTTCTATGAATATTAACACACATATAAATTCATGTCACTGCCAATACGGTCAGGGCCTGCAGTCGTTTCATTACCCTCCAAAAAACCTTATGTTCTCAGTGCTTGACAATCATGCATGAAGCTACTCTAAACATTCCGTGAAGGCTTTTGTGGGAACAAGGAGCGTTCAGAATGGGGTCGGTAGACCAGAGCCCAAGGCCAAATCCAGCCCTGGCCTGTGTTTGTACAGCCTTTGCACTAAGAATGGTTTTAAAAACTAAAAGACCCCAAAGGCCCATGTGAGGCAGGAGAGTGTGCAGCCCACAGTGCCTCACAGCTGGCCCTGGATGGGAAAAGTGGGGACCGTGGCTGAGAGTCCTGCGCAGCCTGCCCGTGAGGTGGTCCGGTGGACGCTGAAGCGCGGTGGCGTGAGAAAGGCGGGCCCGGTGCTGAAGCGTGTGTGCCCCTTGGCAGATCAACTTCAACCTCATCCTGCTGCTCCTGCTGGAGCTGCTCATGGCGGCCACGGTGATCATCGCTGCACGGTCCAGCGAGGAGGACTGCAAGAAAAAGAAGGTGGGTGCAGCTTCTGACCCCGCAGGGCAGGGGGTGCAGAGGCATCACCCCAGGGTGAGCGAGGTGGGTCTCAGCGTCACCCTCGGAGGGCCGATCTGGGCTGCTCCAGGGCATTCCCATGAGACCCCTCTCTCCTGGGTCTCAGAAACCCCGGCCAGGAGGGGCTCTGGAGCTGGGTGAGGGGTTGGCGGCCGCTGGCTACAGGGAGGTGAAGACAGATGCTGTACCCTCCCCTCCCCCTAAGCCTGACTCAGTCCAGTGCTCGTCCCCAGGGGATCACCAGGAGACACCACATCTGCTAATTTTCATATGCAAGGACAATGTGTGTGAACATTTCCTCAAGCCCAAAGATCCACGGGCGCCTCCAAGGCGGTCTCGCATCTACACGGCAGGCTGACCTGACCCACTGCCCACGGCGGCCGGATGCCAGCGGCAGTGCTGAGTCCCTGTGCCCGTGCACCCGGGGTGACAGTTCTGTTTCTTCGTAGGGCTCCATGTCTGACAGCGCCAACATTCTGGACGAAGTGCCATTTCCTGCTCGGGTCCTGAAATCTTACTCAGTAAGAAAACTTCCCTTCTTTCTCTTTTCTCTCATACTCTGTCGGGGGTGACTGAGGCTGGATTAAACGTCACGTTTCGATTCCGAGTTGGCGAAGAGTTGGCTGTCTACACCGCATGGCGGCGTGCGCCTCATCTGTGGAGACTCTAGTCTGTTATTGGTATCATTGGTAATAACCTTCCTTATCGCGAAAGGTGCTGCTGGTGTCCTGTAATTTTTAGGGGGAGTTTGTTACTGCCGTAGGTGAGTTGACACTGTTGTCCCCGAGGAATTTTTTTTTTTTTTTTGAGACGGAGTCTCACTCCATCAGCCAGGCTGGGGTGCAGTGGTGCTATCTCAGCTCACCGCCACCTCTGCCTCCCAGGTTCAAGTAATTCTCCTGCCTCAGCCTCCTGAGGAGCTGGGACTACAGGCACATGCCACCACGCCCGGCTAATTATTTTATTTTTAGTAGAGGCAGGGTTTCGGCATGTTGGCCAGGCTGGTCTCGAACTCCTGACCTCAAGTGATCCACCCACCCAGGCCTTCCAAAGTGCTGGGATTACAGGTGTGAGCCACCGCACCTGGCCTCTTTCTCCTTCTTACTTTCAACTTTTCTTGCCTTGTACTTTGGTATAATTGTTATAAGCAGCACGTAACTGTATTTTGTTCTTTATCTTGTCATTCTCTCTCCCTAGCTTTTTGAATGTAGCCCATTTCCTCTGAGAGTTATTACTGATAAATTTCTACTTATTTTTACCATCTTTTGAGTTTTCCATTTTCCCTGATTTTGCCTTTTTCCCTCCTTCCCTGCCTTCTTTTGAATTGGCAGAGGCTCCGTCCTTCCTTTTCCCTCTAATTTTGGATGGGAAATTTTTCAGTATTCTTTTGGGGGTTGCCCTTCATATTCTAATACGCTCCTTGATAAACAGACCATGCGGGGTCTGTCCCCCTTCCCTCCGCCTTGGCCTTGTTGTCTAGCTTGTGACATTTAGTGACATTTTGCCTTTTTACTCCAACAATGGGACAGCCTCCTGTGTGCTTGACTGTGTCTGTGTGTGTTTCCCAGTGCCTTCACTTCCCCTTATTTAGCATTTCAGTCCTCTCTTAGGTTCCATTTCCGTTCTGCTTCTTTTTTTTTTTTCCTTTTTTTTTGAGATGGAGTCCTGCTGTTGCCCAGGCTAGAGTGCAGTGGTGTGATCTTGGTTCACTGCAACCTCTGCCTCCTGAGTTGAAGCGATTCTCCCGCCTCAGCCTCCCGAGTAGCTGGGATTACAGGTGCCCGCCACCACGCCCAGCTAATTTTTGTTATTTTTAGTAGAGACGGGGTTTACCATGTTGGCCAGGCTGTACTCAAACTCCTGACCTCACGATCCGTCTGCCTCGGCCTCCCAAAGTGCTAGGATTACAGGCATGAGCCGCCGTGCCTGGCTGGGAATTCAGCTTTATTTGTGCATCTGGAGTTTTGTGCCTTCTGGACGCAAGGCCTGGCTGCCCAGGTCCCTTCCGGCCCCCAAGCCCTTGCTGGCCCACTCCTTATGCCTGGCTTTCCTGCTGGCCACAGCTCTGTGTTTGCGACTCACAGAGATCCTTCACGGGAGCAGGTTTTCGGGCGTGTGTTTCTTCCCCAGCCCTCCCTGAGTCTGGCGGTGCTGGTTGCGGCCCCTCCCTGAGTCTGGCGGTGCTGGTTGCGGCCCCTCCCTGAGTCTGGCGGTGCTGGTTGCGGCCCCTCCCTGAGTCTGGCGGTGCTGGTTGCGGCCCTGATGGTGCCGGGCAGATGAGTCCACAACCAGGGCTTAGGCCAGCAGGGTTCTTGGCTTTGTCCAGGAAAGAATTCAAGGGCGAGCTGGAGGTGACAGACAGCAGCTTTGTTTGCAGTGGCAGTATAGCAGGGCTCTCCAACCGGCAGGTGCCTCGAGCAGCAGCTCAGAGACAGCTCTGCCTCCTATTTATACCCACTTTTAAGTATATGCTAATTAAGGGGCAGATTATGCAGAAATTTCTAGAAAAGGGGTGCTAACGTCCAGGTGGTTGGATCATTGCCACGGAAAGGGGTGGTGACGTCCAGTGTTGCCGTGGCAATGGCAAACCCACATGGCACGGGTGGGTGTGTCCTATGGGAAGCTACTTCTGCCCCAGGCCTGTTTTCCCGAGTCCCTTCGATGGGGTCCAGGGTCTGAGCACCGCCGCCTGCCACACTGTGAGACAGGGAAGGGAGTCTGAGGGTCTTGGTTTTCTGCCCTCACCACTGTCAGGTCAATACCCTCAGTTTCTGTGGACAAAAGCAGCAGTGGGGGAAACACCTCTTTGGCTATTTTACTCCAGGAGGGACGTGAAAAGCCGCAGCTGAGGGCAGAGGGGGTCTGGGCCAGGTGAGGCTGGGGGTCCATCCAGGTGGGCTCCTCCACGGTTAGATCTGGGGCCAGCCCACTGGACCCTGCTCCTGGGGGTCCATGTCTGCACAGTGCATTCTGGGAATCTGGGGGTGTCTCCACTTCCTTATGAGCCGATGCTGTCCTGTCCCCTCCAGGTCGTCGAGGTAATCGCAGGCATCTCTGCCGTCCTCGGGGGGATCATTGCCCTGAACGTGGATGACTCAGTTTCAGGCCCACACCTCTCAGTGACGTTCTTTTGGATCCTAGTGGCCGTGAGTAACCCCTCTGGCCCGCCCGCCGCCGCTCTGGGCCACACTGCTCAGATCCTGCGTGGCTGGGCCCCGAGCTCAGTCTTGGTGCATTCAGACAGAGAGTCACCACAGAGGGTCCTCGCTGGCCCCCAACTTCAGAAGAACTGGGGAGTTAAGGATTAAATGAGTCAAAGTATTAACTGCTTTTATATTAGTTTGTGTGATTATTTTATATTATTTTTCCTGAAAAAAATACCAATTATTTTTATTATTCTAATCTTTTTAACATATGAATGTCAGGCTGTAGATGTTTATTATTCTATATAATTTTCTAATATATAATGCATTTATATTACACTATGTGTTTCATACAATGCAGCATATTTCTGTTATTACTTTACATTAAATGTTACTGCAGCAGATGTGTCACACAGCACCTGACACATGCCACATGCTCAATACATGGGCATTGTTTTATTTATTTTATTTATTTATTTTTTTGAGATGGAGTCTCACTCTGCCACCCAGGCTGGAGTGCAGTGGCTCAATATCACCTCACTACAACCTCTGCCCCTCCCCGGGTTCAAGTAATTTGCCCACCTCAGCCTCCCAAGTAGCTGGGATTACAGGCGTGGACCACCATGCCCAGCTAATTTTTTTGTATTTTTAGTAGAGACCGGGTTTTGCCATGTTGGCCAGGCTGGTCTTGAACTCCTGACCTCAAGTGATCTGCCTGCCTCGGCCCCCAAAAGTGCTGGGATTACAGGTGTGTTCCCTCAGAACAGTGAGTCTAGAGCAACCCCTCCACACCCCAGATCCCCTCACAGCCTGTAGCCCACCCAGAGCCACCACCCACCTGCCTCCGGACGCAGACCCCACGAGGTTCTCAGCACCTTGCCGCGTAGTGGCCTGCACACCGGTGTTGACGGCCAGCCCCTGGTTTGTCTCATGCTGTGTGGACTTTTAGATTTTGCCCCTGCTCTCTTATGTACATGAGCAGGAATGGTGAGCACCCAGCATCAGCTACAGGCTCCTCCTGGGCAGCAGTGGGGCTCTTCCTGAAGCTGCCGAGGCCCATGCCTGCCTGGGAGCAGTATGGCCAGGTGGACTGCCGAGAAGGGGCCCACGCCTGCCCGGGAATGGTATGGCCGGGTGGACTGCGGAGAAGGGGCCCACGCCTGCCCGGGAACGGTGTGGCCGGGTGGACTGCCGAGAAGGGGCCCACGCCTGCCAGGTGGACACATCCCATTGGCAGCAGCTGTGTTTCAGCTCCCTGTGGGGGCGAGTAGGCACAGAGCAATGCCCCCAGGGCACCAGTGCCCGACCTAGTGGGCTGCTGAGGCGCTCAGAGAGGGAAAGAGACCCAGGCAGGACCGAGCTGGGATAGAGCCACACCCCCGGAAGGGGTAGGACCAGGCCCAGCTACTGAGACAGAGAACTCACATGGGTGCCCACCCAAGCGGGTCTGTGACAGAGAGAATGACGCCTGCAGGTGTGTACAACTGACCCTGGGGTCTGAAACGCAGGGATTACATCCCGAAGCTGAGGGAGGACAGAGACCACATACCTCCAAAAAGTTGAGAATGAAAGGCACTTGCCCTACCCCCTTCCCTGTCCCTGCAGTCAGCCCTCATCACAGAGGCCCCTCCCATCCCGCAGACCCCTCCTGCCTCGGGGGTGGCTCTGCTCTCTCCATCTTCCCGGAGAGCACCCCCTGCCCATCAGGTGCTGCCCCCTGGGCGCCCCTAAATCCACCCACACTCCCAACCCTCTCTTCAGGGCAGGAGACCCCAGGAGGAGAGGAGAGCGCTGAGGCATGCGTGGTGAGGGACCCAGCTCCACCTGCCTGAGTCTGGCCTGGGTGCGGCAGAGGGGCCCAGGCCCTGCACCATGGGCTGG
Source organism: Homo sapiens (assembly GCF_000001405.40). Taxonomy (NCBI): domain Eukaryota; kingdom Metazoa; phylum Chordata; class Mammalia; order Primates; family Hominidae; genus Homo; species Homo sapiens. The sequence continues at coordinate 50,072,337 of NC_000022.11, read as the reverse complement.
AGGCAGGTGCTCGGGGCTGGAGTTGGGGGCTGGGCTGCAGGCCTGGACCCTTCCAGGGCAGGGCCCTTGATTGAGCTGCCCCAGCCCCTATGGCTGAGCTTCCTGGCCCTCTAGGGCAGGGGCCGGAGTGGCCATGCTGGGTGAACGGGGAAACTCCCGCCCTCCCATGGCTCACTGGGGCCCTGAATAGGCCACCCTGAAGCCACCATCCCTTCCTGTGCCCTCACTGCTGCTTACAGCTAGAAGGCCCTTTCAGAAGCACCAAGCCCAGGAGAGACCCCTGTATTGACACCTCAGCCTCCCTGGCCAGGGCCACACCCACCTCAGCAGCTGGCTTGGGGCCTTTGCACTGGCAGCCCCTCAGCTCCCCAGTCTTCTCCCTGCTGCCCAGGCTCCCCTGCTCGGAGCCCATCTCTGTCCTGCCCACCCTCTCACCACAGCCCCTGGCTGATGCAGCCCCCTCCCCAGCAGGCCGGGCTGGGGTGCTGGCACCTGGACACCTTCGGGGAGATGAAGAGGATGAAGAGCATGCATCCTCCCTCTGCCTACATTGTGCGGAACTAAGGCAGGCTCCTCACAATAAGTGGGAAAAGGGCATTTCTTGGTTATAAAAAGGAAGAGGTGCCCATCCAACAGAGGAACCTACAGATCCCCCTAACCCAGTGAGTCAAGTCAGCGTCATCAGGAAGGGGCAGTCCACACCCTGGGGCACTGCAGAGTCTCCTCCGAGGCTCCCCAAGGCTCATCATGAGGAAATCCTGTCCCACACGGAGGCCCGACTGCAGCTGATGGGCTGCACCCCCCAGAAGCGACCAGGTAACGGAGGTGACAGAGGCTGAGGGACTCCCCGATTAACAGGGACCCACAAGGAGACTACGAGCTCAATGGCAGACCGAATCCGGATCAGGAGCAAACAAACAAACAGCTCTAGAAATAACATGACCAGGGCCAGGTGCGGTGGCTCATGCCTGTAATCCCAGCACTTTGGGAGGCCGAGGCGGGCGGATCACCTGAGGTCAGGAGTTCGAGACCAGCCTGGCCAACAAGGCGAAACCCCGTCTCTACTAAAAATACAAACATTAGCCTGGTGTAGTGGTGGGTGCCTATAATCCCAGCTACTCAGGAGGCTTGAACCTGGGAGGTGGAGGTTGCAGTGAGTCAAGATCGCGCCACCGTACTCCAGCCTGGGTGACAGAGCAAGACTCCATCTTAAAAAAAAAAAGGAGAAGAAGAAAGAAAAATTATTAAAAAATTAAAAAGAAAGAACATGATGAGGACAACTGGAAGAATCTGGGCATGGACCACATCGGCCCCACGTGGAGTCTCTCGAGCGTGGTCCTGCTTTGGGTGTGTGCAAGAGTGTGCCCTGGGCTCAGCCAGCACTCTCAGGTGTTCAGGCATCAGGCTATCTGGGAGAGCTGGAGAGAGCACAGATATGAATGTCAAGGACTCTGGTGATTTTGGGGCCTCAGATGCCCCCTCCACTGCTCTTGCAGCTTTTCTACAGGCTTAAAATTTTAAACCAATGGTTGAGGAACAGAGAGCACACAAAACCTCTGAGAGGCTACCCCTGCTTCCCTGCGGACCCGTCCCTGCCCCAGCTGCGCCTTTGGGCACTGCACCATCCCCCCTGCCCCCCACAGCAAGCCAGCCAGGCAGCCTGCATGGAGGGGTCACTGGTGGGAGGGCACATGTTTGGAATTCGACTTCTTCGACTATTTCCTCTAAAATCTTTCCTTTTTCTTTTCTCTTAGTGCTTTCCAAGTGCCATTGCCAGTCATGTGGCAGCAGAGTGTCCCAGCAAGTGTCTGGTGGGTGAACCCCTCAGCCCTGGGTGCCAGGGACCCACCGAGCGGGGCCAGGGCCTGGCCTAGCCCTCCCTTGGTGCCATGTGACCAGGCTCCAGCCCAAGAGAGCGCAGTGACTGGGCTGCAGGGCCTGCACAATGAGGAAGGTGGGGTTGTGGGAGGTGGAGGCTGGCCCGCTCAGCAGGGACTGTTCTCAGGGACAGGCAGACCTGAACAAGGTGGTGTAGACACTGGAAGCGCTCTCTGTGCCTAACCCTTGGAAGGAGACCAGTGTCTGAGCATCATCTGCACCTCCTAAGGCTGGTCGATTGTTTTTTTTTCTTTTTTGAGATGCAGTCTCGCTCTTGTCCCCCAGGCTGGAGTGCAATGGCACGATCTTGGCTCACTGCAACCTCCGCCTCCCGGGTTCAAGTGATTCTCTTGCCTCAGCCTCCTGAGTAGCTGGGATTATAGGCGCCTGCCACCATGCCCGGCTAATTTTTGTATTTTTAGTAGAGACGGGGTTTCACCATGTTGGCCAGGCTGGTCTCGAACTCCTGACCTCAGGTGATCCACTCACCTCAACCTCCCAAAGTGCTGGGATTACCGGTGTGAGCCACCACGCCCGGCCGAAACTGCCACAAACTGACCGCAAACAATTGAACTGGTCGATCGTTAATGACTGCTGCCAAAATGTGGACCCTGAGTGCTTTGCAAGGTGACTGCCCATGCTTGGCATGAGTGAAGGCTGTCTCTGAGACTTGATGGGTCAAACAGGAAGATTTGGGGTGGGTTAAAAGGACAGACTTCAGAGCAGTGAAGGAGGTGACCCATGCGGAAGGGCTATTTTTTCAAGAGTGGAGAATTGCAGGTAAATGTTTTTTGTTTCTTGGTTTTGTTTGTTTGAGACAGAGTCTTGCTCTGTCACCCAGGCTGGAGTGCAGTGGTACGATCTCAGCTCATTGTAACCTCTGCCTCCCGGGTTCAAGCGATTCTCCTGCCTCAGCCTCCCAAGTAGCTGGGACTACAGGCATGCGCCACCACACCCGCTTAGTTTTTGTATCTTTAGTAGAGATGGGGGTTTCACCATGTTGGCCAGGCTGGTCTCGAACTCGTGACCTCAGGTGATCCGCCCTCCTCGGCCTCCCAAAGTGCTTGGATTACAGATGTGAGCCACCTTGCCTAGATGGTAAGTATTTCAAAACTTGTGGCACTGTGCTGTGAATGAAAAGGCAGGCTGCTCATGCCTGTAATCTCAGCACTTTGGGAGGCCAAGGTGGGTGGATCACAAGGTCAGGAGTTGAAGACCAGCCTGACAATATGGTGAAACCCTGTCTCTACTAAAAATACAAAACAATTAGCCAGGTGTGGTGGCGCATGTCTGTAATCCCAGCTACTCAAGAGGCCGAGGCGGGAGAATTGCTTGAACCCAGGAGGCAGAGGTTGCAGTGATCAGAGATTGTGCCACCGCACTCCTGCCTGGGCTACACAGCTAGGCTGCCTCTCAAAAAAGAAAGAAAGGCAGGCCGGGCGCGGTGGCTCATGCCTGTAATCACAGCACTTTGGGAGGCCGAGGTGGGTGGATCACCTGAGGTCAGGAGTTCAAGACCAGCCTGACCAACGTGGCAAAACACGGTCTCTACTAAAAATACAAAAATTAGCTGGGTGTGGTGGCGGGCGCCTGTAATCCCAGCTACTCGGGAGGCTGAGGCAGGAGAATCACTTGAACCCGGGAGGCGGAGGTTACAGTGAGCCAAGATCATGCCACTGCATTCCAGCCTGGCGACACAGCGAGACTTGTCTCAAAAAAAAAAAAAAAAAAAAAGAAAAAGAAAAAAGAAAAGGCAGAGGTTTCAGCAGGAGTCATGCAGGGAACCAGCTTGGGACTATGCCCATGAGTGCCCGGCCATGCCCGCCCCCCCAGCCCTGGCCACGCCCGCTGTCCTGGGCTCCCAGGCTCCGGCCGTGGTCCTGCAACCCGCGCTTTTTTTCCAGGTGGAGGTCCTGATTGCCATAAGCAGCCTCACGTCTCCGCTGCTGTTCACAGCCTCTGGATATCTGTCATTCAGCATCATGAGAATCGTGGAGATGTTTAAGGATTACCCGCCAGCCATAAAAGTGAGTTGTATTTTATTTCAGAGCCCCCCAGACATGTGGTGCTCTGCGTGTTGGCCTGGCCCTTGCTGGCTTTGCCTGGGACTCTGGGGGCGCTGGCTCCAGGGACAGCTCCAGGAGGCACCTCCTCCGCTGTTCCTGGGCAGCGGTGACCGTGCTCCCCAATGCCAGCCTGGCCCCAGGGCCTCGGGGCCTCGATTCCGCCCTGTATCTGGGGCCACCACCTGCTTCACAGGGACCTGGGACCCACTCTGTCCCTGAGCCCATTTTAGAATCTGTCCTGGGTTTATGAGACATGCTTTTCGGATTTGCATCAGAACTGCATTGAGTTTAACAGGTGAATTTAAGGAGAATTCAAAGTCCTGTTACTTTGAGCTGACCCAGTAGGAGCTTATCTCCAACACGACTTCTGAGGCTCAGGCACGTGTAGCTAGATGTATTTCTTAGATACCTAGTGTTTTTTTGTTTTTTTGTTTTTTTTTTTCCAGTATAAGTGGTTTTGCACCCAAATCATTAGAAGACCTGTATTAAGCTGTTTGCTCCAGGTCAACATGCGTGTGCTGATGGGGAATGGAGTCACTGCCTGATGGGGGGATGGAGTCACTGTCTGATGGGGGATGGAGTCACTGTCTGATGGGGGATGGAGTCACTGTCTGATGGGGGATGGAGTCACTGTCTGATGGATGGATGGAGTCACTGTCTGATGGATGGATGGAGTCACTGTCTGATGGAGGATGGGGTCACTGCCTGATGGGGGATGGAGTCACTGTCTGATGGGGGATGGAGTCACTGTCTGATGGGGGATGGAGTCACTGATGGGGGATGGAGTCACTGCCTGACGGGGGATGGAGTCACTGCCTGACGGGGGGATGGAGTCACTGCCTGATGGGGGGATGGAGTCACTGCCTGACAGGGGGATGGAGTCACTGCCTGACAGGGGATAGAGTCACTGCCTGATGGGGGGATGGAGTCACTGCCTGACGGGGGATGGAGTCACTGCCTGACAGGGGATAGAGTCACTGCCTGACGGGGGATGGAGTCACTGTCTGACGGGGGATGGAGTCACTGTCTGACGGGGGATGGAGTCACTGTCTAATGGGGTAATGGAGTCACTGTCTGATGGGGGATGGAGTCACTGTCTGATGGGGGCATGGAGTCACTGTCTGAAGGGGGATAGCGTCCTCGGCCTCCCACAGGTGCTGGGATTACAGGAGTGAGCTACAACACCCGGCCCAGGGTTTTTTCTTCACTTCTCTTGTGTTTGCTTCACCCACTCCTACTCCAATTATTTTGTTTCCTGTGACATTTAATATATCTCCTACTTCATGTTGTCTTACAATATGCATATAATTGTTCACGATTACAAGAGACAATATTACCACCCAGGGGCCATCTCCTGAGTGAGCCTGAGGCTTCCCTTTTATCTTCAGCATGCATTCTGCTAGCAGGGGACGGCCACACGCCATCGAAGTCGGCCCCTTTCTGTGTGGGGTTATCCTCTGGGTTCGATACCCCATTAAGTTTAATGGCCTCTGGTTGTATTCCATTTTAGGGCTTGGTGCTTTTTTTCTTTTTAAAATGGTATTTTTTGAATATATAAAATATTTATGTGGTTCAAAAGCCAAACTATAAAAGACGAGCTCAGAAAAGCTGTGGTCTCATGCCTGACTGACCTGCTCCTCTTATGGGCAACCAGATGATAATTTTTTTTTCTTTCTTACAAAATAGCTTGTATACTAGAATCACTATTCTGTACCTTGCCATTTTTTTTTTTTTAAGATAGAGTCTCACTCTGTCTCCCAGGCTGGAGTGCAGTGGCACAGTCTTGGCTCACTGCAACCTCTGCCTCCTGGGTTCAAGTGATTCTCCTGCCTCAGCCTCCGGAGCATCTGGGATTACAGGCATATGCCAACACACCCGGCTAATTTTTGTACTTTTAGCAGAGACAGGGTTTCACTATGTTGGCCAGGCTGGTCTTGAACTCCTGACCTTAAGTGATCTGCCTGTCTCGGCCTCCCAAAGTGCTAGGATTACAGACGTGAGCCACCGTGCCCAGCCATATACCTCGCTTTTTAGTTATGTATTTATTTATTTTATTTTTCAGAGACAGGGTCTCACTCTGTTGCCCGGGCTGGTCATGAGCTCCTGGGCTGAAGCGATCCGCCCACCTTGGCCTCCCGAAGTGCTGGGATTACAGACGTGAGCCACTGTGCCCAGCCATGTACCTCGCTTTTTAATTATGTATTTACTTATTTTATTTTTCAGAGACAGGGTCTCACTCTGTCGCCTGAGCTGGTCATGAGCTCCTGGGCTCAAGCGATCCGCCCACCTTGGCCTCCCAAAGTGCTGGGATGAGGAGGCTTCTGCCACCGTGCCCAGCCCCTTGCTTGTTTTTTTAAACTTAATAATTTATCCTGGTGTTTTCTCGATACCCAAGGGGATCAGAGCTCTTCTGAATTCCTTCATCGCTCCTGACTGCCCGGTCAACCCAGCCAGTCCCTAGTGATGGAAACTGAGTTATTTCCAACCGTCTGCTACTATAAATAACTCCTCCGTGAACAACCTGCACGCATCTTCCTTTTGAATCCTCAGCGCATCTTTAGGATATCCAGCTAGGAGAGAGACTGCTGGGTAGAGGGTAGGTGCAGCTGTCATGCTGATAAATCTCGGCGACCTCCTCAATGGGGGCCGTCCACCTTCCCTCCTGCCAATGGCGTGAAGGTGCTCACTTCTCCACAGCCCCCCACAGAGGGTGTCACGCTGGAGTTCGGTGACACGGGTGGGAGCACCTCCGTCTCAATGTGGGTGAGGACGAGGACCTCTTACAAAGCATGAGGACGTCTGCATTGCTTTTTCAGTGGACTCTGCTCATGTCTCCTGACCATTTTCCGCTAACCCTGGTGCCGGGGGAGACCAGCTCCATCTGTGATGGAGGATACAAATGGTGGTCTCAGCCTGGCGGCTATTTCTTGTTCTGCTTGTTGTGATTTTTGTTATGTGAAAGCTATTTTTTTAAATAGTTAAGTTGATTAATATTTTCTTTAATGGCTCTGGATTTTTTTTTTTTGAGACTGAGGAAAGCATAGGCTTTGCAATAAATGGTGTCTCAACAACCGAAGAGCAAAGACCACATGGGGCCCATGCCTTTACCATCCTCCAGGGTAAACTCCAGCTGGGAACACAAGTACCAGACTTTCTAATAATTACTTAAAATCCAGGCCGGGCGTAGTGGCACATGCCTGTAATCCCAGCAGTTTGGGAGGCCGAAGCAGGCAGATCACCTGAGGTTAGGAGACCAGCCTGGCTAACATGGTGAAACCCCGTCTCTACTAAAACTACGAAAATTAGCTGGGCGTGGTGGCGGGTACCTGTAATCCCAGCTACTGGCGAGGTTGAGGCAGGAGAATCGCTTGAACCTGGGATGTAGAGGTTGCAGCGAGCCGAGATCGCGCCACTGCACGCCAGCCTGGGTGACAGAGGGAGACTGTCGCAAAAAAAAGTTTTATGTTAACTTGAGAAGAGCTGTTCGTTCTGTTTCTTCTCTTACTTTTTGTAGCAGTGACATTGGATAGATGTTTGGCTCTTTTGTGTGTTAACATTTAGTTGCTTTGTTTTTCTTGAGCCAACACGGGAAAGCTATCCATGGGCACAGAGGGTTTTGGGTGCTCCGTGGTCACTCTCTGGCCCCCTGCATCCTCGGCCGCTCCCTCCATCCTCTTCCCTGCCGAGCTCACCGCGCTGCCTCCTGCCCCTTCCTTCCTAGCAGCTGGTGCTCAGGGGTGAAGCTGTTGGGGGTCTGTGCACCCCATCCCCCCAGGACGGCTGCCCCCTGTCTCCTCCGCTCAGGATCCTGCTGACACGGAACGGTCAGCGCTTCTGCCTCCCGCGGACATTCTCTCTGGCTCTGGGACTGAGCCTTGCGCGTGTTGGAGCAGGAGGGGTGGAGCGACTTGACCACTAGCAGCCAGCACTGTCCACGGGGCCTGGCAGTGGCTCGGTCACTTTTATTCCTGTATGTTGAACACAAGCTGATGGAATTTAAAGCAGAATTGACCTCATTAATTGAGCTAGAATGATTATCATCAGGTTGTTGAAATAGCAATGCGTTTGGGTTACTGGGGCTCCGACTCGAGCCCTGGCACCTGCTCTTTGTGAAGGCCGTGGGCACGAGGGAGCTTTGGTCTCCTGGGCTGGAGGGCGGCTGGGCCACTCTGCTCACACCTCCTTCCGCCTGCAGCCATCCTACGATGTGCTGCTGCTGCTGCTGCTGCTAGTGCTCCTGCTGCAGGCCGGCCTCAACACGGGCACCGCCATCCAGTGCGTGCGCTTCAAGGTCAGTGCAAGGCTGCAGGGTGCATCCTGGGACACCCAGAACGGCCCGCAGGAGCGCCTGGCTGGGGAGGTGAGTGGCCTGCAGGGGGAGGGGGCACTGGGGAGGTGAGTGGCCCACGGGGGTGCCCAGCCAGGGAGGTGAGAAGCCTGTGGGGTGGGGGGAAGCTGGGGAGGTGAGTGGCCCACAGGGGTGCCCAGCCGGGGAGGTGAGTGGCCTGCAGGGGGAGGGGGTGCTGGGGAGGTGAGTAGCCCACAGGGGTGCCCAGCCGGGGAGGTGAGTGGCCTGCGGTGCAGGTGCTGGGGAGGTGAGTGGCCCATGGGGGGCCCAGCCAGGGAGGTGAGAAGCCTGTGGGGTGGGGGCACTGGGGAGGTGAGTGGCCCACAGGGGTGCTCAGCCAGGGAGGTGAGAGGCCTGTGGGTTTCAGGGGTGCTGGGGAGGTGAGTGGCCCACAGGAGCACCCGCTGGGGAGGTGAGAGGCCTGCGGTGGGGGCTCCTGTCCTGGTGAGGGCCTCCGAGGGCCACACGACGTGGCCCTCGAAGATTCATTGTGCCACTTTGTATTTTTAAAAACACCCCAGAAAAACCCCGAAGAAGTAAAATGTCTTTCTTTTCTTTTTTTTTTTTTTTTTTGAGAAGGAGTCTCAGTCTGTCACCCAGACTGGAGTGCAGTGGCGCGATCACGGCTCACCACAACCTCCGCCTCCTGGGTTCAAGCAATTCTCCTGCCTCAGCCTCCCGAGTAGCTGGGACTACAGGCACCCGCCACCAAGCCCAGCTAATTTTTCTATTTTTAGTAGAGATGGGGTTTCACTATGTTGGTTAGACTGGTCTCGAACTCCTGACCTCATGATCCGCCTGCCTTGGCCTCCCAAAGTGCTGGAATTACAGGCGTGAGCCACCGCGCCCAGCCGTAAAATGTCTTTTAAAAATACAAACACAAAGCCTGGGTAAACCCAGACCCATCCCTGGGAAATATTCTGGACTTAATGCTTTCAGATTTGCTCTTAGAGACACAGAAGAGGGCTTTGTGAGGACTCCCACAGGTCCTGAAGTTTCCTTCCCTGGTCTCTGGTGGGGACGCGGTTCTGCAGGGAAGGCAATGCCCACCCAGCCTGGCACATGGGGCTCCGTAAAGCTGGGGTGTCAACAACTTCTGGCTGTCACTGCCTGAACAATGTTCCCCCGGGCCCTGCCTACTGTCTTGCTGCCCCCACATCTGAAAGGCAGAGGCTCAGCGTCTTCCCCCCACCGAGCTACGGGTCCTGGTGGTGCTCCCCTGGGCAAACCTGCCCGCTGACCCTCAGGTGCAGTGACCACTAGGACTGTCACCTTGATGCCCAAACACCTGGGCAGCCACTCAGCGGGGCTCTGAGTCCTGCCCCACCTCTAGGCCATCCTGGGCGGACCGGCCGCTGCTCTTGCCCTGCACACCCTGCCCTCCTGTGTTCAGCACACCACCGGCCTCAGAACCTTGGTGCAGAGCCTCCAGTGCCCGCTAAGTCCCGGAGGACGCTCTCTTGCCCTTGGCTCGTTTCTCAGCTGACCCCGTCGCCCCCACCCTCCACCCTCCCTACTGCTGTTCCCTTAACCTGCCTCCTCAGTTGCTTTGCTGCCATTTTTCCTGGCTGTGGTCAGTCTCCCTGCTAGGACGGCAGTCCCTGGGCCTGAAATGAGACCCGCCTGGGTTTCTGTTGTGACCAGCAAGGCCCAGAGTCAGACGCATGAGGTGTTCTCCCCAGATCCCAGAACTGCTGGTCCCAGGGGCTCAGGGTGGGCGGCTGGGGCTCAGGGTGGGCGGCTGGGGCTCAGGATGGACGGCTGGGGCTCAAGGTGGGTGGCTTGGGCTCAGGGTGGGCGGTTGGGGCTCAGGGTGGGCGGCTGGGGCTCAGGGTGGACGGCTGGGGCTCAGGGTGGATGGCTGGGGCTTAGGGTGGACGGCTGGGGCCCAGGGGCTCAGGGTGGGTGGCTGGGGCTCAGGGTGGACAACTGGGGCTCAGGGTGGACAGCTGGGGCTCAGGGTGGACAACTGGGGCTCAGGGTGGACAGCTGGGGCTGGCGCTGTCCTCCCTTTTGCCTGGAGGCATCTGGTTACCTCTGCCTTAAGTGTTTTCTTCCTCAGCCGTCAGGCACATGCCCAACCTTGGGCGGCCTCCCCCCGCTCCCCGCCCCAGAGCCAGGGCAAGGGGCCGAGTGAAGGGCTGCTCCATCCCAGGCTCGGTAGAAACCGTGTGTGCGGGGGGGGATGCAGGCGTTTCTGGGACACTGAGGAAGTGAAGGCTTTTATCTCTTTCCACAGAGGCCCAGGGGTTAGTTTCCCCACTTCCTTCACATTCGAAGAAAACTTCTGAACGCTGGCTGCTCGCTGCCTGTGGCCGAGTGGCGTGTCCACCTTCCCGCCGCACAGGTGGCCCTGGTGAAGTAACACCTTTCCTGTCTCGGTTGCAGGTGGCCAGGAGCCCCCTGAAGGAGTTCGACAAGGAGAAAGCCTGGAGAGCCGTCGTGGTGCAAATGGCCCAGTGACCCCCAGACGCGGAAACCGGGTGGCAGCGCCCAGCCTGGCCCCAAGCATGGAAACGCACAACCCCTAATCGCCCTGAGCTACTGCTTCTAACACCTCTTTTCCCTTGTGTGAGGGCAAACCAGGCTGCAGGTGGGGTTTTCACTTCCTAGGGTAGTTTAATTTTAAAATAGGCCAATGTTGGCTAGTCTGTGCCTCAGTGAGATCAGTCAGCTCCGAGTGGCTCCCGTGTCGTAACAGCAGGAGCATGGCCGCAACTTCCCAGGCCGAGGAAGGGCCCCCGGCTCGGCCTCTTGAGAGCCCCACCCCTGAACTGGCCCCAGCTCCTCTTCCTGCCTCTCTCATGGCTTGGGCTGGAGTGGGCTCTCTGGACCTGACCAGACTGTGGGTCCCTGCGTCTCCTGCCCACTCTGACCGGGCTTCCTCCCTCCACGCTTAGGGTCTGTCCCGGGTACTCAGTCAGCCCAGTGGGATCTTACCCACTTCCCTGCAAGGTGCACCTGCCCCAGGCTCAGGCTGCCCAGCGGCTCTTCCTGGACAGTGAGAGCAGGGCTGGGCGCCTCTGTCCTGGCCCGGGAGCCGCAGGGGCCCCTCCTCCAGAGCCTGGGCGCAAGCGACACAGGCTGCCGCTGCTCTCCCAGGTGAAATCCACACCAGTCCACGCCGGGTCGCCTGCCCTGTCTCCCTACTTAGACCCAGTCATTCTAGAGGGATCCACCGCCACACTGGCCGGCCCACGTCCTGGGTGCTGTCATGCCCAGCTTGGAGTGCCACGTGGCCGCTGCCCACGTCCCGGGCACTGTCATGCCCAGCTTGGAGTGCCACATGGCCGCTGCCCACGTCCCGGGCACTGTCATGCCCAGCTTGGAGTGCCACGTGGCCGCTGCTGTGACAGGCAGTGTTCTTGGGGGTGGGGCTGCATCCAAGGCTTTGTAAACCGGCTGGACCACGTCTCCCTGGCCCCAGTGACCGGGGGAAGCTGAGCCCCTCCCTCCTGTGTTTGCTCCCATTACTCAAAATGCAGGACAGATCAGGTCAGAGCCCAGGAATTCTCACAGGTTCACCCAGCGCCCTCTACCTCCTAGCAAGTACTTTGTCTTGATCCTCACTGAGAAGGCCCCAGGGCAGCGGTCTTCTCCATCTCCGCTGTTTTGGGGTCTTAGGGTACAGCCCAGGCGGTCACTGCCCACCTGCCAGGCTGCAGGGACAGTTGGGTGTGAGAATAACACTGGCTTTGGGTAGTGCCATGGCCAGGAGTGGGTTTCCCTGCGTCTCCTCGTCCCGAGGGCGCCTGGGTCCTCCCAGCTGACGGCAGTAAATCCACAGTGAGTTGGGGCGACTGTGAAACTGGAATGCTGTTACTTTGATAATTACTTTCCAGCAGGTGTTTTCCTTCACAATGGTTTTGTTTCTTTCCTTCTGATCTGAGAAGACATGAACGTTTTCTCTTCACCGCCGTGGGGTGTATTGACTGGTCCCCCATGGGCTGCTGGAAAGGCCCGGAGATGCATCTGTGGCCTGGGGCCATCAAGATCAAAGAACCAGGAGGCCTGGGAGATGCAGCTGGATGGGGCGGCCTGCAGACCCTGCCAGGGGGTTTGAGGACCCTCCCAGGTTTCCCACTGCGGAACAGGAGTGACTCTGGCTGCCAAGATACCTTCATGGTGTTCATGACAAGTGGAATCATTATTTTCAACCATTGAAGGGGGATGCAGGCAAGACACCTTCCCAGCTGCTCCTAGAGGGGACAAGCCAGGCCCTCTCTGCAGTCCTCGGCAGCTCCGGAAGGACACAGTCAGGGGCCGGGCAAACACTTTGGCCACAGCCCCAAACAAGCGCCACCGTGGGAGAGGAGAGGCTGCTGTCACTGGTACCGGATGCAGACCCCACCCTGTCTGCAGGCCACCCCCACCTCCCTGCAGCTTTGAGGCTGGCGGGGTCTGCTCCTGGGAATGGGGTGGGAGCCACAGGGACGACCCGGGGCGGGCTGATGTCTTCTTGGGGGCAGACCAGAGAGCTCAAGTTTCAGAGTCAGAATTAGGCACTTGGAGCGTTTTTGCTGGCTTGCACTTTCTTATTTTCTTATTTTAGAGCGCTTAAAAAATCCGGAAAAATGGGGTTTAAAAGAACTGTCTCTTTCAGTCTACATTTTTGTTTAATACGCTTGAGCAATAAACGCTGACTTGCAGACGTGGCTGTGGCTATTTAATATTGTGTCTCAGCAGCGTCAGCTCACTCAGGTCTAAAAACATCGGGACACAGGGAGGAGGGGCGGGTGGAGGGAGGGCCAGCTTTTCACTCACTGATTTGTGTAACCCCTAGAGGCCAGTACTGGGGTCTGGTGAGAGCCCAGTGGCATTCCCCGGGGAAGAGGGAGGGAGCTGGAAGGGAACCACCCCCGCCAGGGGACGCTCCCACTCCCCCCCTTCAAGTCCCCCACCAGCCCCTTCAGAGTCGGGGCAGAACCTCCCTTTTGGGGTGTCTTGGGAAGTTAAATGCAAAATAAAGTTGATTTAAAACCAAATGAAGACATCTAGGCTTTGGAAAGTTGCCAGGAGTGAGGGTCCTGGTGGGGCAGGTGTGTCTTTCCTACCCCCACTCCGAGATGCCAGATCAGACACGAGCTGCCCTGGCGGGGTGATCCGCGGGGTGCGGGGGGAAACGACAGGGGCCGTGTGGACCTGGGTGGGCTCAGAACCCCCCGGGGGGCAGCGGCGTGGGACCCCACGAGTGGTTCTGCGGATACCAAGGCCCTCCCAAGTTCCGCCGCAGGACGGGGGGCGCTGATACGGTCACCCCGTCGCCCCCATCCGCCAGGACCCGCAGCGCGCAGCCCGGGAGGAGCCCAGCGCCCGCGGCCTCCTCACCCCGCCGCTCCAGCCTCGCGTCGGGGAAGGGCCCAGGGACAGAGGGCGGCATGAGGGCCCCGGGGAGGGCGAGAAGGCCTGGCGGGCCTGGGGGGCCCGAGGGGGAGGGGCAGGATGTGACCCGCGGGTCTTTGTGACCTGGTGGGGGATGGAGTGTGACCTCCACAGGGGGGCGCGGGGCCGCAGCGCGTGACCCGGGGCTACACTCGGGCCCTCCCCCGGCGGACACCATGGCGCGCACCGTCCCGCGCCGCCGACCCCGCAGCCGCGCCTGCTCCGACAGCAGCCCGGGACCCGGACCCCAACCCGGGCCCAGCCCAAGCGCTGATGACTGCTGCCCGTCGGGGCCCGCGCCCCCCGCACGCCGCAGCTCCCCGCGCCCCCGCGCCCCCCGCCGCCCGCGCAGCCCCACGCCCCGGGGCCGCCGCCGCTGCACAGCCCGAGGCCACGGGCCCAGCAGCCGCCGCACCGGGGGTGCACAATGCGCGTGGCCGCCCCAGCACGTTGTCCCAGGCAACCCCAGGAAGCCGGGCGGCGCAGCGCGAGCCACTGACCCGGTCCCCGGTGAGCACGACCCCCGACCGCGGAACCCCAGGCCCGTCCGCGCTTCCGATCCCGGACAGGACCCCTCCTCCCCATCTGCCTTCGGAACCCCAGACCCGCCTCCCACACCCGGAAACCCAGGCCTACCCCCTCCCCGCCCCGGGCCTCCAAATTCTAGACCCCTTACCCTAGGAATCCCAGACCCGCCTAGCTCGGAACCACAGAACTCCCCCACTAAACCTGCCCAACTCTACCCACTCGCCCGCCCTCGAAAGCCCAGAGCTGTTCTCCCCACCTTCCCCCATCTTCTGGGAACTCCACAGCTGTCCACTCCCCTCTGCCTTCAGAACCCCATACCTCTCCTCATTAACCTAGACCTGCACCCCCAACCCAGACCTCCCCCTCGACCTAGACCTGATCCCCAATTGAGACCTGATGCCCACAACCCAGACCTGACCCCCAACCCAGACCTGACCCCGACCCAGACCTGACCCCAAAAACCCAGACCTGATCTCCCAACCCAGACCTGACCCCAACCCAGACCTGACCCCCAACCCAGACCTCCCGCTCAACCCAAACCTGACCCTCAACCCAGACCTGACCCCAACCCAGACCTGACCCCCAACCCAGACCTCCCGCTCAACCCAGACCTGACCCCCCAACCCAGACCTGACCCCAACCCAGACCTGACCCACAATCCAGACCTGATCCCCCAACCCAGACCTGACCCCCAACCCAGACCTGACCCCCAACCCAGACCTCCCGCCCAACCCAGACCTGACCCCAACCCAGACCTGATCCCCCAACCCAGACCTGACTCACAACCCAGACCTGACTCACAACCCAGACCTGACACCAAACCCAGTCCTGACCCCCAAACCCAGACCTGACCCCCAAGCCCAGACCTGACCCCAACCTAGAACTGATCCCTCAACCCAGACCTGATCCCCAACCCCAGAGCTGACCCCTAATCCAGACCTGACCCCCAACCCCAGACCTGACTCCCATCCCCAGACCTGACCCCAACTCAGACCTGACCTCCCAACTCCAGACCTCATCCCCCAACCCAGACCTGATCCCAACCCCAGAGCTGATCCCCAACCCCAGACCTGACCCTCAGCTTGGGCCTCAGAACCCTCTCCATCCCCAGAGCCCCCCACACCCTCCCAGTTTCCTGTAACCACCACACCCTCTCCTCTAGGGGTCAGAGGAGCAAAGGGCAAGCTGTCGGAGGCCAGTATGGAACCAGAGAGGAAGGGGCTATCGTTGGCTTCTTCTTCAGATGGAGACGGGAGAGAAGAAAATAGTGGGTATCGTGTATTGCCTGTGTGCCAGCCACTCGCCCAGAGTGGCCCGGGCTCAGAGGCAGTGCTGGCTGCAGCCTGCTGCCAGGAAATCAGGGACTCTGGGGGCAGGCACTTCACTGAGCTGCAGAACCAGGCGCCTTCTCTTGGACGGTCCAGGCGGAGGACCCCAGGGGTGTTGGGGGGCGCTGGCTCCTGCCTCCTGTACCCCGATCCCACTGGCCAGCTTCCTGGGAAACTGGGAAATTAAACGTGTGGGTGTGGAGGGCTCTCCTGGCGGGTCGTGGAGGCCCTGCACTCGCCTCTCTCTTCCTTCCTGCCCTTGCCCTCTTCAGACTCGTCTTCGTTGCGTGGGTAAATGCTCCCTAGGAGTCAAATGACTGGGTTACATGGCAGGCGCATACTTAGCTTTAGAAGGTCCCCCAACCGTTTAAGGGCCAGATCGAGAGCTCCGGTGCCCCCGCCCCCGTCCCCACCCGCAGTGGGTGTCCTCGCTGCCATTTCAGGCACTCGGGTGTGTGGTTTTAATTTGCATTTCCAGACAGCTCAAGGTGTTGAACTGTTTTTCACATGATTATTGGCCATTTGGAGCTCTTCCTTCTCGGAGTGCGGTTCCGGGACTGCAGGCCGCGGTTAAATCGCGCTATGGCCTCATGGACTTGCAGGAATTCTCTGTATGTCCTGGATACATGCTCTTTGTCAGATGGATGTGGCCTTGTCAGTCACTTCATGCTTCCTTTTGATAATCAGAACTTCTTAATTTAATTTTATTTTATTTATGTTCTTTGAGACGGCGCTGGTGGGAGTGTAGCAGTGAGGACGACCGGAGGTCACTCTCATCATCATCTTGGTTTTGGTGGGTCGTGGCCAGCTTTACAGCAACCTGTTTTATCAACACGGTCTTTATGACCTGTGTCTTGTGCCGACCTCCTATCTCATCCTGTGACTTAGAATGCCTTCACCATCTGGGAATGCAGCCCTGTAGGTCTCAGCCTCATTTTAACCAGCCCCTATTCAAGATGGAGTCGCTCTGGTTCACACACCGCTGACACGTCTACCACCATTCCTTGGACCAATCTCCGGCCACACCCCCTCTCCCACAGCTCTGGTCTCCATCACTGTGGATGAATTTTGCTGGCTCATGGATAGCACCCCTCAGAATATGCCATTTCATGTCAGCCTCATCAGACGAATGTCTTTTTTTTTTTTTTTTTTGAGACAGAGTTTCGCTCTTGTTGCCCATGCTGGAGTGCAATGGCGCGATCTCGGCTCACCACAACCTCCGCCTCCTGGATTCAAGCGATTCGCCTGCCTCAGCCTTCCGAGTAGCTGGGATTACAGGCATGAGCTACCATCACCCGGCTAATTTTAGTATTTTTAGTAGAGACAGGGTTTCACCATGTTGGCCAGGCTGGTCTCGAACTCCTGGCCTCAGGTGATCCAACCACCTCGGCCTCCCACAGTGCTGGGATTACAGGCATGAGCCACCGTGCCTGGCCTTGGATGCCTTGTCCTTTGACTTGATGTCCTCCTTCTCTTTTGCAGAATTAAAACAAGGAATTTCCCAAGACTTGGCTTCTTCCTCCAGATTAGACAGATACAAAATAGCAAGGCAGTTAACAGAAAAAGCAATCAAGGTAAATGCTCCTTGGGACTCGGTGGGGAGGGGGACACTTTTTTAAAAGGACATTTGTTTTGGAACTTGGAATCTGTCCATCTGGCCTCTGACGCACTGTGCCCCCGAGCTGCAGCCTCCTCCCTGTGGGGACTTGGCTCATGTTACCTTTCATTTATTTACTTAACTTATTTTTGAGATGAAGTCTTGCTTTGTTGCCCAGGCTGGAGTGCAGTGGCACGATCTCAGCTTACCACAACCTCTGCCTCCCGGGTTCAAGCAATTCTTGTGCCTCAGCCTCCCGAGTAGCTGGGACTACAGGTGCACGCCACCATGCCCAGCTAATTTTTGTATTTTTTAGTAGAGATGGAGGTTTCACTATGTTGGCCAGGCTGGTCTCGAACTCCTGACCTCAGGTGATCTGCCCGCCTTGGCCTCCCAAAATACTGGGATTACAGGCATGAGTGACTGCGCCTAGCCTGGAGATACCTTTTATTTTAGCCGTACTTTAGAAAGAAGCAATGCTTCTCTGCCTCCCACCAAGGGGTGGCCAGCGCCGCCCGCTGTGTGTCCTAGGGTGGGTGCTTGTCCCGGCTTTATCTGTTTATCTGCTTATCCCCACAGGAAGCATGAGGCTCCTGGATGGGAAACAGACTTCCAGGTACTCAGAGAATGCCTGCGTAGGTTCCCCACACCCCAGCTCCCCTTAGGGACGCTCACTGTGCCTCCACCTGTGTGTGCAGAGGGGTTTGCACCTCAGGAGAGGAACCCCAACATTATGGCCCTGGGAGCTTATATGGGGCAGTTGGCACTCTCCCTCCCCAGGAGAGGGAGCCCAGGAGAGGGAGGCCTTACCTTTTAACTGGGATGTAAGCAAGGCCTCCCTTGGGGAGGGAGGAGACCTCTGCTCCCCATATGTGTCTGGGGAGACAAGGAAGGCTCTCGTGTTCTGTAAATGGGAGCTGAGGGCTCCAGGTCTGCCATGCTTGGAATGAGAAGAGCAAGTGACCTGGGGAAAGGCGGCTTTCTTTGTCTTGATGGTGTGTCGATTTCCACTGCTCAGAAGGCCTGACCACAGAGGAACCCCAAGTCATCCAGCTGGCAATAGTGTGAGAAAACATCTGCATTCCCTTAACTCCCCTCTGAGGTACAGCACACACTGAAAGTGCACAGACTGCAGGTGCACGGCATGGTGAGGTTATGGCCAGACACACCCGGACGGAGAGCAGAACGTGTACAAATATGTGCAGACTGCAGGTGCACGGCATGGTGATGTTAAGGCCGGACACACCCGGACGGAGAGCAGAACGTGTACAAATATGTGCAGACTGCAGGTGCACGGCACGGTGATGTTACGGCCGGACACACCCGGACGGAGAGCAGAACGTGTACAAATATGGGCAGTCAGACAGTCTCCATAAAGACCGTTCCATCACCCTCAGGTACAAACATGTGCAGTCAGGCAGCAATCTTCATAAAGACCATTTCATCACCCTCAGGAGTTCCCCTTGGCCCCTATCGGTTATTCCCCACCCCTGTCCCAAATCCTGGCAACCATGGATGCGCTATTTGTGCTTTCTCTCACTGTCCTTTGGGCTTTTCTGGAACTTCATATAAGTAGAACCATATCCGCTCATTAATTTTCAGATTTTCTTCTGAAACCTTTAAATGTATAAACATTTATAAACATAAATGTTTTAAAGTTTATAAATGTATAAACATTTAAGGCTACAACTATCCCTCTGGGTACCGCATTAGCTGCATTTCACAAGCTTTTATTTTGGAGTACGTTTGTCTATGTTCAGTTCAAAGTATTTTACAGTTCATGTTACTTAAAAGTATTGTTCTTACAGTCTACACTTGTTACTTTTTTGTAGTTATATTGTTCTTGTTTTCTAGCTTGATTGCATTGTGGTCGAGAATGTGCTATGTGCAATGTTATTCCATTGAAATTTGTTTAGACTTGCTTTACGCCTAACATTTTGTTAATTTATGTAACAGTTGGTGTAGAGTGTGCTTTTTTTTTTTTTTTTTGAGATGGAGTCTCGCTCTGTCACCCATGCTAGAGTGCAGTGGCACAGTCTTGGCTCACTGCAACCTTTGCCTTCCAGGTTCAAGCGATTCTCCTGCCTCAGCCTCCTGAGTAGCTGGGACTACAGGTGTGCACCACCATGCTCGGCTAATTTTTGTATTTTTAGTAGAGACGGGGTTTCACCATGTTGGCCAGGCTGGTCTTGAACTCCTGACCTCAGGTGATCCACCCACCTCGGCCTCCCACAGTGCTGGGATTACTGACTTGACCCACCGTGCTCCGCCAGAGTGAGCTGTTTATAGCCACTAGAGTAGAGTTTGTTATTTGAGTTGTTCAAATCCTCTAAAGTCTTATGGAACTTATTGGTCTGTGCATTCTATCAATTACTGAGAGAAGCAGGTTAAAATACCCTATTATAATCTTGGGTTTGTCTACTTTGTAGTTCTAGTTTTGTTTTTTATAACTAATGCCTTCTTAATAGGTGCATACACATGTATCTTTCTAGTGAATTGAATCTTTTTAAAATTATGAAATGGTTTTCTTTACCTTAGTAATGTTTATTTGTCCCAAAGACTATTTTGTCTCATATTTCTATCTTTTCCTTTTCTACCCCATCATCTGTATACCTATGTGTTTGATGGTCTCTTTGCCTTTTGTCTGGAGCATTTAGTGTATTTATCTATAATTAAACCGTTGATGTATTCAGGTGTGTCTGTTATCTTCATTCATTTAGTACGTTCCTTTGGTTCAATTTTCCTTTCCTCTCCTTTCATGTGCTCTCCCGGACTGGTTACTTTTTAAATCCCCCTTTCCCCTCTCTTACCTGTTGGAAATCTTACGCTGTTTTTATTCCTTTGGTGGTTTCCTTAGGAATTGTATTCTGCCCATCCATTTTTCTAAAGTTACTCAGTTTGACCACAGCTAAGCAGGGTGTTGGGGGTGGCAGAGTGTCTTGTGGAGTCGGAGGGTGCCAGCCCTCTTGCGGACTGTCCAGCTCCCCCACCGTTCTCCCCAAAGCCTCGGGTGATAGGCTCATTCACGTGCACAGCCACGTGGGCGGGTGACAGGCCTCAGACTGATTATCGGAGTAGACAGCGGCCCAGAGCGGTGCTGGGACCAACCAGATGTCTCGTGTGGGTGCTGGGACTCAGACTCGGGGTTCCCAGAGAGGTGCTGGGACCGACCGGATGTCTCGTATGGGTGCTGGGACTCAGACTCAGGGTTCCCAGCTACAGCTGTAATTGTGCCGCTTCGTCCGCTGTGTGCCTGGGTGTGGGCATGGTCTTCTTTGAGCAGATGTCTTCCTGCCAGAGCACAGTTTGTCTCCTTCTGCTTTGAAAACTCCTCTTACAGAAAAATAATCAACTTATTTTTCAATTCCTTGACTTAAAATACTATACAAACAGCCAACAAACGTGAAAAAGCGCTCAGCATCACTAATTCTCAGGGAAATGCGAATTAAAACCACAATGTGATACCACCTTCCTCCTGCAAGAATGGCCATAATGAAAGAGTGAAAAAGTAATAGAGGTCCGCGTGGAAGTGGTGAACAGGGAACACTTTTACGCTGCTGGTGGGAATATAAACTAGTGCAACCACTGTGGAAAACAGCGTGGACATTCCTTAAAGGACTAAAAGTAGATCTACCATTTGATCCAGCAACCGTACTCCTGGGCATCTACCCAGATGATAAGAAGTCATGATACAAAAAAGATACTTGCTCACGCATGTTTGCAGCAGCTCAGTTCACAACTGCAAAAATATGGAACCAATCAAAATGCCCATCAACCAACGAGCGGATAAAGAAACTGTGGTGTATCTGCACCACGGAATACTGCTCAGCCATAAGAAGGAACCAGATAATGTCTTTTGCAGCAACCTGGATGGAGCTGAAGGCCATTCTTCCAAGCGAAGTAACTCAGGAATGGAAAACCAAATATCGCTTGTTCTCATAAGAGGGAGCTAAGCTATGAGGATGCAAAGGCATAAGAATGATAAGATAGAGTTTGGAGACTTGGGGGAAGATTGGGAGGGGAGAGAGGGATAAAAGATTACATATTGGGGCTGGGCGCGGTGGCTCACGCCTGTAATCCCAGCACTGTGGGAGGCCAAGGTGGGCAGATCGCCTGAGGTCAGGAGTTCAAGACCAGCCTGGCCAACATGATGAAACCCCATCTCTACTAAAAAATACAAACATTAGCCAGGCCTGGTGGTGTAGCAGGATGAGCCACAGACAAAACTCCTCAGACACCGGATTAAAGAAGGAAGAGGTTTTCATTCGGCCGGGAGTGTCAGCAGACTCGCGTCTTAAGAACTGAGCTCCCAGAAAAGGAAATTCTTGGCCTTTTTAAAGGCTTACAACTTTAAGGGGTCCACGTGAAAGGGTCGTGATACATCAAGTAAGCATGGGAAACGTGACTGGGGGCTGCATGCATCAGCTAACAGAACAGAAAGTTTTACAATGCTTTTTTCATGCAGTGTCTGGAATTTACAGATAACACAAGTAGTTTAGGTCAGGGGTTGATGTTATTATTATTACTTTTTTTAACTCCTAGGGCTGGGTGGTGGTGCCAAGGTTGTCTGGCTATTTATCTTACTTTTCTTTTCCCCCAACTTTTTGCTCTTTCTCTCCTCCTGTCTTGTGAACTAGGCAAGGTGGGGGAGGAGGGCAGCAGGAGTAGTAGTGGTCTCCTTCCTTAGTGGCAGGCACCTGTAATCCCAGCTACTTGGGAGGCTGAGGCAGGAGAATTGCTTGAACCTGGAAGACAGGTTGCAGTGAGCTGAGATTGCCCCACTGCACTCCGGCCTGGATGACAGAGTGAGATTCCATCTCAAAAAAAAAAAAAAAGGACATATTGGGTGATGGGTGCCCCCAAATCTCAGAAACCAGCACTAACAAGCTTATCCATGCAACCAAAATCTGCCTATTCCCCAAAAATGATTGAAATAAAATAAAATATCCTCTTGCCATTTTAGGAGAAGAAGATTTTCTCTATCTACGGACACTACCCGGTGGTCCGGGCCGCTCTGCGAAGGAAGGGCTGGGTAGAGAAGAAGTTCCACTTTTTGCCCAAGGTCATTCCGGATGTCGAGGATGAAGGCGCCCGGGTCAATGGTAGCGTATCGGAGGCGCACGTCTCAGCTCAGGGCGTGTGCGTCTGTCACGGGCAGGAGGAGTCGGCGCCGGCCTGAGTGTGGTGCCTGCCCCTCGGCCCTGGTGTGCGTGATGGGGTATCTCCGACCCCAGGTCTCCATCACCCTCCTGGCCTCCCTGCCCCAGGCGGTCGTGCCAGGCAAACCCTTTCAAGCCCCCAGCCCTGCTCCCTTCTCAGAGTCCCTGTGGCCTCCACCCAGGCCTCCTCCTGCCCGGGCGGTTTCTGTCATCCTCTCTCCGCCCGGCCTCAGCTGTCCCTCCTCCAGCCCCAGGTCCCTGAAGTCCACTCCTCAGGCCCCCGTGGTGCTGGCTGCTCCTCGCTGACATCTGCACAGCTGTGTCTGCATCCTCTTGGCCCCATTGAGACCCGGATCAAATGTCCCCCTCCTCCTCCACCCCTGCCTGTGGCCCCTCAGCCTCTATCACTCCCACCCCCATCCCGGGCTGTCTCCACCATTCCACACCTGGGGACACCTGGGCCTCCAGGAATCCCGGGCCCCCAAGCCCTGTCACAGCCCTGGGGAGGTGCTGTGCGGTGGACGCTCATTGGATGTATGGGGGCTGCCAGAATGCCCCAAGCCTGACTCAGGACCCACAGAGGCTCCTGCTCCACCAGGGGAAGGCCCCATCTGGAGCCAGGTTTCTGGAAGTAAAGTCGCTGTCCTGCCTGCGGTTGTGGTAACGGACCCGGTGCGGGAAGTCTGGCTGAGGCTTCATGTTCAGGCCTCCCCTGTGTTTTGTTGGCAGATGATACATGTGCCAAAGTCAAAGAAAATCAAGAAATGGCTTTGGAGAAAACAGACAACATCCACGACGTGATGGTACGTCCCCTGCATGCGTCATGGTCAGCTGCGGCCTCTCCAAAGCTTCTCACACCGTCGCCCTGCTCCGTGCCCACTCTCCCATGTCCTGGGGGGATGGCAGCCCGGCGAGGGCAAAGCCCCAGTCACAGCAGGGCCCCTTGACCGGGCAGCAGGGCCTGGCTGCCCCCAGGGGTGGGGCGAGCCCTTCGGTGCTGGATGAGCCGCTGTGTAGTGGGTGGACCCGGTGCTCCCAGCTCCCCTCCACCCACACTGGGCTGGCCTGCTGTGCGCATGTGGAAGCTGAGGGCACTGAGGCCCGGCAGGGCTCGGACAGCCCGGCTGGTGTGTTGCAGGATGGGGCCTGGCCAGCGAGTGAGCTCCTGTCTCCAGCAACACAGTAGTATGTGCCTCCCCACCTCCCCAGCCCAGCCTAGTCCCTCCGGGGCTCCCAACACTCCACCATAAAGAGGGCGAAAGAGAAACCAGGGTGGGAGGCGGCATTTGCAGTACTTAAAATTTAAAAGATCAAATGTCCAGAATATATGAAGAACTCACAAATCAGTAATGAAAAGACAAATAGAAAAATGGGCCCAGATTTGATGAGGCGCCTCCCACATGGCCAGTGAGCTCGCCCTTCCAGGTTCCTGGAGTCAGTGCCATTCCTACAGAGCATCCTGGGTGCTCCAGCGGCTCCCACAGGTCCGTGGGCAGTGGTGTGGACACATCAGAACATTCCTCACTGTTCTGGAGGCTGGAGTCTGGGTTGGGGCAGTGTGGCTGGGTGCTGTGAGAGTGTCCTGCTTCATGGACGGCTGGCTTCTCTCTGCGTCCTCACCCAGGGGCGAGGGTTTTTCTGGGGCCTCTTTTATAAGGGTGCTAGCCCATCATAAGGGGCTCAGGCTCATGACCTAATCCTAAAGCCTCCTATGCCATCGCCCTGGGGATGAGGATTGTAGCACATGCATTCCAGAGAGACAGAAACATTCTGCTCATTGTGCCTGGAGGACAGACAGAAGCAGGTGGCAGTTACCGGGTGGGGGCGGCTGGGGGACTTCGGCTCTGTTGACGATGCTGTTTCTCACCCCAGTACCCAGTGGTTAGTGATTAGTATGCTATTATTTACACACACACACACACACACACACACACACTTTTTTGGGGGGGTGTTTTCAGATGGAGTCTCACTCTGTTGCCCAGGCTGGGGTACAATGGTGCAATCTCGGCTCACTGCAACCTCTGCCTCCTGGGTTCAAGTGATTCTCCTGCCTCAGCCTCCGGAGTAGTTGGGATTACAGGCGCCCGCCACCACGCCCGGCTAATTTTTGTATTTTTAGTAGAGACGAGTTTCACCATGTTGGTCAGGCTGGTCTTGAACTCCTGGCCTCAGGTGATCTGCCTGCCTTGGCCTCCCAAAGTGTTGGGATTACAGGCGTGAGCCACTGCACCCAGCCTGGTTGGAATTTTGACTTAACACATGCCATTGTTATAAACAGAAAAGCACCAACAACAGGCCCCCAGCTCCACGACCAACCCCTCTATCAGCAGGGGAGGAGCGGGAGGCCAGTGCCTGGGGCTCAGGGAGGGGTGTGCAGGGCCCATGGTACAGGCCTGGGGGCTTCGGTCCTGGGGACTGTAAGCTCTGGGTTATGAAGTGTCGTGTCACCTCGGCAAGTGGCACGTCCCCACACCCACGTAGACCCCATGCGGACGGCTCAGACCCCACCTGCAGCCCCACATCGGGGTGGCCCCCCAGAGCCCGAGGCCCCTCTGTGGAAACCGTATGTGGTCCTGGTTGCGCCCCACATCCCATGTGCAGGAGGCCCACAAGGAGCACTACTGCCTGCAGCAGAGCCCGGCTGGGATCCTCACGCTGCACGCCATTTGTCCTCTGATGGTTGCCTCACTCCATCCCATCCTGGCTGGTGTGAACCTTGAATGCTGGGCATCAATAAAGACTTTTTTCTTGCCAGTCTAGGTTGGTAAAAAATGAGATGCCGTACCTCCTCTGGACCATCAAGAGGGACATCATTGACTATCACAGCCTGACCTACGACCAGATGCTGAACCACTACGCAAAGACAGCCTCCTTCACCACCAAGGTGAGCCGGCCGCGCTTGAGCGTGGCGGGAGCCGGCAAGGGTGGTGGGGAGGAGCTTCTGCAGCCATTAGGGACCCTCGGTGGCTGGTCAGTGGCCACCAGTCACCTCCTGGGTGCATCCCAGGACTCCTGGTCTAAGGCCGTGGCCAGAATCACTCGGTGCCCACCCCACCCCCAGCACCCCTGTGCCCTTTGCTCTGTGTCTCTGGGTGAATCCGGGGCCCCAGAAGCTCCCTCCTCAGGGCACAGAGGCCAAAGATGGGGCTGACTGGGGGCTGCCACCGGGCTTTGGGTGCTGAGGGGGCTGTGGGACCCCAGGGGAAGAGGTGCCGCTCCCCCCAGCACCGGGCACTCCCCCGCCTCCCCCGGCCTCCAGCCCTGCACAAAGCAGCTTGCCACACCCTTCCCACCAAGGCCCAGGGCTGAGGCCTGCCCAGGACGCAGGGTGTGGGGACCCTGCTGAGGGAGGGGTCCCGGAAGAGGGGCTTCCCTGGCACAGAGGTCCCTCTCAGCAGGCCAGGTGCGGCTGCCTCAGCACAGTGTGGGGCGGAGGTGCAGGACAAGGTTCCCTTCCGCACCTAATACCCCAGGGTCAGGCCAGCGCCAGCGCTGCTAGTGGCAACATGGCCCCTTCAAAGACCCCGTGTGCAGAGCCAGTCAGCGTGCGCTGTGTTTTCTGGGGGCCAGCCACTTTTTTCCTTAACAGGGTGACAAACCAGACATCGGGGTGCGGGGACTTCACGATATGCCTCTCTAATGGCGCGTGCTACCTCGCGTGTGGTGGGCAGTGCTGGGCATGTGGCTGCGTTCCGGGCCCTGCAGCCGCTCCTCCCTCTCCTGGGGTCTGAGGTGTGGGACACCCTGTGGCCCGTTTGGGGGCCTGGAGGGAGCCCCAGTGCCCACCGCCCTCGGTGCCCTCAGCTGCAGCCTCCCCATTCCCTGGGGCCTGCCACGCCCTCCACTGCCTCAAGGATGCGTCTGAGCCTGGCCTGCACATCCATGCTCCCACCGGCTGGAGGGGGTGTTCTGGGGCCCTGGGGGACCGTATATCTGGGGAGGGGGAGGGATCCGCCCTAGGGGTGCTGTGTGGTGCCCCATAGCCAGGCAAGTCTGAGGTGGACGGCCCGTCCTCGCCTTGTGAGCGAGGCAGAGCTGAGCTGAGCTGCCCCTCCTGCCTAACACGCCACTGTCTCTGGAGATCGGGCTGTGCGTGAACATGCGGAGCCTGCCCTGGTACGTCCCGGCCAACCCCGACTCCTTCTTCCCACGCTGCTACAGCCTCTGCACCGAGAGTGAGCAGCAGGAGTTCCTGGGTAAGTGAGGAGACGGCAGAGGGCCCCAGTGCTGTCAGCAGAGAGGCTTCTAGAAAGATCCCCCTGGTGCTGAGACAGACTGATGGGGCAGGGTCTGAGGATAGAGGACCGGGGAGAGGCCTCCCATGGTCATGGTCATGGCAGTACAGAGGCCAGGGGCCCCGGGAGGGAGGGCGGGCAGTCAAGGAGTGTGTGGTTCTGTGCTAGGCTTGTGGACAGCGCGGCGAGCAGCTGGGGCAAGGCCGGCTCCGTGGTCGGAGGCCGAGGGGTGCAGCTGGACGGCCGCAGTCACAGAGACACTGCAGGGAGAAGGGCAGGCAGACTGGGGGTGTGGGAGCAGGCCTGGGCCCCATCGGCTATGAGGGCGGGAAGTGGGGCGGGTTGGGGAGCCTCCGTGGCCCTGGCCCCATCTCCAGTCCCCAGTCCTGGCTCGGACAGATAGGGCGAGGCTGTGCTGTCCTTTCAGAAGACTTCCGGCGCACCATGGCATCCAGCATCCTCAAGTGGGTGGTCAGCCACCAGAGCTGCAGCAGGAGCAGCAGAAGCAAGCCCAGGGACCAGAGGGAGGAGGCCGGGAGCAGCGACCTGAGCAGCAGGCAAGGTGCGCTGGGCCGGGGCAGGGCAGTGCCAGGCCACCAGAGCTCGGGGCCTCCACAGGGGCCCTCCCGCCTCCTGGGTGTGGTCAGTCCTGAGGGTTGCAGCAGCCGGGGCTGGATACAGCGATGCCTCAGACTCTCTCGATTCTCATGGCAGACGGGTTTTCTGTTCTAACCGTGGGGCTAAACGTCAAAGTCACCCCGTTTGTAAAGCACCTGGCAGTTAACGCAGCCCTGGGACGTCCGAGTCCCACACTCACTGCCACAGTCCTGTGCCGCGGACGTGGTTCCAGCCTGTGGTCGGAAGCCTGCCCCACCCCACGGCCACCACGATGCCGCAGCCTGAGTCTCCCCAAAGGGGCCCCGTGGGAGAGGACACAGGAAGCCCAGGGGAGAGGCGCCCCTGGGTGGTACAGGGATGTGAACCAGCCGTCGTGTTTTTGGACAAAACCCAAATCTTTTTTGTGGTTGTTGGTTTTAATAAAATGTAATTTCTAGAGCAGTTTTAGGTTCACAGCACAGCTGAGCAGAGGGTACAAGATTTACCACACTCTCCTGCCCCCGCGCCTCCTGCACCGCCAACATCCCCCACCAGAGCAGTGCGCTTCGACTGTTGACAGATGAACATTGGCGCATTAAACTTTTAGAGTGTATTTGAGCAAACGGTGATTTGTGCCAATCAGGAGGCTGCAGGGCTCCACCGAGGGGAAAAGCCCTTCTAGGTAAACGTGGAAACAGAGGAAATAAATCCTGATTGGTGAACGCTGGAGCGGTGGCTTCATTTGTGCTGAGTGAGAACTTGTTCCCAGCTGGCTGCCTGTGATTGGCTGTGCTTACATTCCGTTTTCAATTCTGAGTTAGGTTGTAGTTTGCATTGGTCGGAGACCAGGTCACTTGGGCCACCTCATCTGATGGCCTCCTAATTAATGTTTTTTTTTTTTTGAGATGGAGTCTTGCTCTGTCACCCAGGTTGAAGTACAATGGCATGATCTTGGCTCACTGCAACCTCCGCCTCCTGGGTTCAAGCGATTCTCCTGTCTCAGCCTCCCGAGTAGTTGGGTGCCCACCACCACGCCCGGCTAATGTTTTGTATTTTTAGTAGAGATGGGGTTTTGCCATGTTGGCCAGGCTGGTCTCGAACTCCTGACTTCAGGTGATCCGCCCACCTCGGCCTCCCACAGTGCTGGGATTACAGGCTTGATCCACCGTACCTGGCCTAATTAATGATTTTAACACAATTGATGAACCTACAATGACACATCATGGTAACCCAAATGGTGTTATACATTCTACAGGTTTGGACAATGTATGATGCCGTGTATCCACCATTCCAGTATCAGACAGAGATGGTCCCCGGCCCTAAAACTCCCTGTGCTCTGTCTCTTCATCCCCCCGCCCCCGAGCTCTTGGCTACCACTGATCTTCTTCCTGTCTCCACGGTTTTGCCTTTTCTAGAATGCCATTCGGTTAGAACCACGTAGCATGGAGCGTTTTCAGATGGGCTTCTTCGACTTAGTAATATGCATTTAAGATCCCTCCAGGTCTTTTCATGGCTTGAGAGCGCTTTTCTTTTTAGGGCTGAGTGATACTCCACTGTCTAGATCTACCACTGTTTATTTATCTATCCATCTACTGAAGGACACGTCGGCACCACTGTTTATCTATCTATCCATCTACCGAAGAACATGTTGGCACCACTGTTTATCTATCTATCCATCTAACGAAGGGTGTCTCGGTACCACTGTTTATCTATCTATCCATCTACCGAAGAACATGTCGGCACCACTGTTTATCTATCTATCCATCTACCGAAGGACGTCTCGGCACCACTGTTTATCTATCTATCCATCTACCGAAGGACGTCTCGGCACCACTGTTTATTTATCTATCCATCTACCGAAGGGTGTCTCGGTACCACTGTTTATCTATCCATCCATCTACCGAAGAACATGTCGGCACCACTGTTTATCTATCTATCCATCTACCGAAGGACGTCTCGGCACCACTGTTTATCTATCTATCCATCTACTGAAGGACATGTCGGCACCACTGTTTATCTATCTATCCATCTACTGAAGGACATGTCGGCACCACTGTTTATCTATCTATCCATCTACTGAAGGACGTCTCGGCACCACTGTTTATCTGTCTATCCATCTACCGAAGGACGTCTCGGTCACTTCCAGGTTTTGACGATCATGAATAACGTTTCTGTCGACATCTGTGTGCAGGTCTTTGTGTGACCATAAGTTTTGAATTCATCTGGGTAAATACCAAGGAACGCACTTACTGGGTGGTATGGCAAGAGTATGTTTCATTTTGTAAGAAACTGCCAGACTGTCTTCCAAAGTCGCTGTACCATTTTGCATTTCCACCAGCAATGAGGGAGAGTTCCTGTTCTCCACATCCTCGCCAGCGTCTGATGTGGTCAGGGTTCTGTTTGTAGCATTCTCCTGGGTCTTTATTAGTGTCTCATGATTGTGGTGATTGTGTTGTGAGACAGGGTCTCACTGTGTTGCCCAGGCTAGTCTCAAACTTTCAGGCTCCAGCGATCCTCCCGTGTCAGCCTCCCAAAGTGCTGGGATTGCAGGTGTGAGCCACTGTGCCTAGCCTCCATTTCCTTATGAATTTCTGAGGGTATTTTATAGAAAAAACTTGTAGATACAGAATTGCTAGTCCATAGTGGTATATGATGTTGAGCATGTGTTCATATGCTTGTTTTCCATCTGTATATATTTTTTGGTGAGGTGACTGTTCAGATTGTTCATTTTTAAATTGTTTTCTGGCTGGGTAAGGTGGCACACACCTGTAATCCCAGCTGTTCGGGAGGCTGAGGCAGGAGAATCACTTGAACCCAGGAGGCGGAGGTTGCAGTGAGCCAAGATCTTGCCATCCAGCCTGGGCGACAAGAGCAAAACTCTGTCTTAAAACAATAAAAATAAAAAATAAAATTATGTTTTCTTATTGTTGAGTTTCAAGAGGTCTCTGTATACTCTAGGTAATATTCCTTTATTAAGTGTGTGCAAATATCTCCTCCCAGTCTGTGGCTTGTCTTCCCATTGTCTTAAAATTGTTCTTTACAGAGCAGAAGTTTTTCATTTTAATGAAGTCGAACTTATCAGTAATTGCTACTGTGAGGAGCTGAGGGTCCAGTGGCAGGGCCCATATGTTTCCTGTGGGGAGGTGGCACTCACAGAGCCATTGGAGGTTGGGACCGTTCAGGAGGGAGGAAGTCACCTGCCCAGACACAGGCGTGACATCCAGGGCGGTTGCCCAGAGAAGCTTGGTTGGGTATTGGGGTGCCTGTCTGGGGATCTGGGATACTTGTTGGGTATTGGGGCACAGAGGGAGTGGAGCAGCCTTTGTCCATGACTTTAGACATCACCCCTCGAGGCGGGCAGGGCTGCCCCTGGGTGAGGTTCCCACTGCATGTGCCTGTGTCTGGGTTTCAGATGCTGAAAATGCTGAGGCAAAGCTCAGGGGCCTCCCGGGGCAGCTTGTGGACATCGCGTGCAAGGTGTGCCAGGCCTACCTGGGGCAGCTGGAGCATGAGGACATCGACACGTCAGCAGATGCCGTGGAGGACCTCACTGAGGCCGAGTGGGAGGACCTGACCCAGCAGTACTACTCCCTCGTTCAGTAAGACTTACGCAGGCCCCTGGCACATGTCGGAGCTGTGAGTGCAGATTGCAGGAGCTGCCGGGGCAGTGCAGCCTCTGGGAACTGGGTCACCTGTCTGGGCATTAGGCTACCTGTGGGGTATTGAGTGTTGAGATGCCTGTCCTGGCGTTGGGGCTCCTGTCTGGATGTCTGGGATGCTTGTTGAGTATTGTGGTGTCTGTCTGGATGTCTGGGATACTTGTTGGGTATTGGGGTGTCTGTCTGGATCTTGGGGTGCCTTATGGGTGTCGGGGTGCCCAGGCCCTCTGTTGCCTGTCCCACCAGGACCCTGATGACTGTTGAGAGGATGATACCCCCTCAGGGTGCCTTTGGGGAGTAGCATTGTCTTGTGCATCTTCAAAATCCAGAAGGTTATGATGTCATTTGAGCCCCCCACAGCCCGAGACAGGCAGGTGGGGTTTGTCTGTCTCTCCACTGGGGCACCTGCCTCACTCTTGGTGTTGGTGAGTGACTGGCAGAGGTGTGCCTGGGCCCAGAGCTCCTGGCAGCTGGCGAGTGACTGGCAGAGGTGTGCCGAGGCCCAGAGCTTGGCAGCTGGTGAATGACTGGCAGATGTATGCCTGGGCCCAGAGCTCCTGGCTCGCTGACTCTCATCATCACCATTTGCCACTCCAGGGGTCCAAAGGCTGACCCTGGCCTTCTTGCCCCCTGCTGAGGGCCCAGTTCTTCCTGGGGCCAGGGGTTCAGCACTCCCTTGACAGCGGCCACCAGAGAGAGGAGCTGGGCAGAGGTGGGCCTGGCACCCCCGGAGCATGAGCAGGTGCCGGCTGATGGGCAAGTCAGGAAAGTGACTTCTTTCAGAGGGTCTGCGGCAGCTTCATGCTTCATCCCAGGGTGGTGTTTATTCTTTTGTCTCTTTCTTCTTCTTGTGAATTAATCAAATATTTTTCTTTTCCTTTTATTGAGGGATTACATAAATACGGTTAAGGGCACACAGTGTATAATCATATTTGTACAGGTGGAAGAAATTTTGCTTACGTGTCCACCTGCATAGCCACAGCCCACTTGAGACACAAAACGTTTCCAGTCCCCCATCAGCCCCTATTAACCTTTCCCGGGAGAACCCCCACAGGGGTCACAACCCATTCTGGCTCCTGCAACCATGAACCAGTTTTGTTTTCAGATTTCACATTTGGGGAACAGTCTGTGCTCTCTCGTTTATGACTTCTTGTGCCCAACATGAAATCTGTGAGGTCCGTCCACGCTGGCACACATGAGATCTGTGAGGTCCGTCCACACTGGCACATGTGAGGTCCTTGAGGTCCATCCACGCTGTTACACGTGAGGTCCATGAGGTCTGTCCATGCTGGCACATGTGGGATCCATGAGGTCTGCCTACGCCGGCACAAGTGAGGTCCATCCATGCTGACACATGTGAGGTCCGTGAGGTCCGTCCACGCTGGCACACATGAGGTCCATGAGGTCCATCCACACTGGCACATGTGAGGTCTGTGAGGTCCGTCCACGCTGGCACACGTGAGGTCCATCCATGCTGGCACATGTGAGGTCCGTGAGCTCTGTCCACACTGGCACACGTGGGGTCTGTGAGGTCCGTCCACGCTGGCACACCTGGGGTCTGTGAGGTCTGTCCCTGCTGGCACACATGAGGTCTGTGAGGTCCATCCAAGCTGGCACACATGAGGTCCGTGAGGTCCGTCCACACTGATACACGTGGGGTCAGTGAGGTCTGTCCACACCGACACACATGAGGTCCATGAGGTCCATCCACGCTGGCACATGTGAGGTCTGTGAGGTCTGTCCACGCTGATACATGTGAGGTCTGTGAGATCCATCCACACTGGCACACATGAGGTCCATGAGGTCCGTCCACACTGATACACGTGGGGTCAGTGAGGTCTGTCCACACTGACACACATGAGATCCGTGAGGTCCATCCACGCTGGCACACGTGGGGTTGGTGAGGTCCATCCACGCTGGCACATCTGTAGTTACGAGTTTTGTTCCTTTTGAAGGTAATATCTTTTCCTCAGGATGCTTTAAGATATTCTCTGTCTTTGGTTTTCAACAGTTTGATTATAATGCTTCTACAAGTAGTTTCTTTGTATTTCTCCTGGTTGAGGTTCGTGGGGCATTTTGATCTGTGGGTTAGAATTTTTCCTCAAATTTAGAATACTCTAGGCCATTATTTCTTGGATGTTCCTTCTTCCCTGTTCTCTCTTCTCTCCTTCCAGGGCTCCAGTTACATACGTGTTAGTGCTGGGATTACAGGCATGAGCCACTGCACCCGGCCTAAATCTGTAATTTAAAAACTTTCCTACAAAGGAGGATCCAAGCCCATAATGATTTCACTAGTTAATTAAATTTAATTAATTCATTAATTAAAATTAATTCCAATAACACAAAAATGCTTTCAAGTAACAGAGAAAGAGAGAACATTTTCTAATCATTTTATGAGGCCAGAAAAGCCTGATATCAAAACTTGAAAAAAGTAAAATAACAAAAAATCATAGGCCAGTATTTCTCATGAATATATATGTACACAAAACTTTAACCGAAATATTATTTAATTAAACCAGTGAAATGTGAATGAAATAATACATCAGAACCAAATGGGCTTTATTCCAAGAATGCAAGGTTGGTTTAACATTGAAAAGTTAATCAGTGAATTTTATTACACTTTCAGAATAGAAAAGAAAAGGTATAAGATCATCTCAATAGATGCAAAAATTGATGAAACTTAATACCTGTCCTAGTAAATTTGTTTAGCCAACTTGGAAATGAAAAAACTCTTCTTTTTTTTTTTTGAGATTGGGGTCTCACTCCGTCCACCTAGGCTGGAGTGCAGTGGTACAATCATAGCTCACTGCAACCTCAAACTCCTGGGCTCAAGCAATCTTTCCACCTCAGCTTCTCAAGTAGCTGGGACTCCAGGCACGTGCCACCACACTGGCTAATTTTTTAATTATTTTGTAGAGACAGGGTCTTGCTATGTTGCCCAGGCTTGTCTTGAATGCCTGGCCTCAAGCAGTCCTCCTGCTTTGGCCTCCCAAAGTGCTAGCATTACAGGCGTGACTGACTACACACAGCCAGATCTTTTCATTTGAAAGTTTAAGAATCCAACAGCTAACATATTTCGTAGTGGTTATATATTATTGAGAGTGTCCTCCTTGAAATCAGAATGAGACGAAGTTGCTCATCATCAGACTTCTGTTCAGCATAGACTGAGTGGTCTGACTAGTTAAATAGTACAGGAAAAAAAAAAGTAAGGCATAAAGATCAGAAAGGAAGAAATAAAGTTCCTATTTGTAGATGATATGATTGTTCATATAAAAAATTTAATATTTAAATAATTTAAATAAATGATAAAGTATTAAAATTAAGTGAAATCAGCAAGGTCACTGGGTACAAAGTTAATATACAAGACTCCATCATATTTCTGTGTTCTAGCAACAAATCGTGAAACGAAATTCTAAAAACACAATACACTAACATCAAATAACAACAAACCTCTAGAAATAAATCTAACAAAATACATTCAAGACCCTAAATTTAAAGTTATAAAGTTAGAGACAGTAAATACCTAATAAACGTGTGTGTGTGTGTGTGTATAACATGTTAATGACTTAGAAGACTCAATAGTGTAGAGATGTTTGTTTTTCTCAGACTAATCAATAGAGTCAATGTAATCCCAGCCAGAATCCTGAGAGGTATTTTTTTTGTTGGGGGGCAGGAGGAATTAATGAACTGATTTATATAGAAATATGAATGATTTAAGAAGAGCCAAAACAGACTTGATAAAGAAAAACAAAATTGGAAGACTTGTGCTCCAAATTTCAAGACTTACTCTAGGTTTACAATAGTTAAGATGTGATATTGGGATAGGATCAGTGTAAGAGAATAGAGTCTAAAGATAGACCCTCCTATCTGTGTTCACTGCATTCGAGACCAAGCTGCTGCTGCAATTCATTAGGGAAAGGTTGGTCTTTTCACTAAATGATGCTTAAACAGTGGTCAGCCATACGAAAAAAAAATGTACCTTGAATTCTGCTTCACAAATACACAAAAATTAGTTTGATATATCATATATGTGAAAGGTTTTTAAGAATGGGAAAACATTGGGCCGGGCGTGGTGGCTCACGCCTGTAATCCCAGCACTAGGCCGAGGCGGGCAGATCATGAGGTCAGGAGTTCCAGACCAGCCTGGCCAATATGGTGAAACCCATCTCTACTAAAAATACAAAAATTAGCTGGGCGCGGTGGTGCGTGCCTGTAGTCCCAGCTACTCAGGAGGCTGAGGCAGAAGAATCTCTTGAACCCAGGAGGCAGAGAGGCTGCAGTGAGCTGAGATGGCGCCACTGCACTCCAGCCTGGGGCAACAGAGCAAGACTCTGTCTCAAAAAAAAAAAAAAGTTAAAACGACATCAAGTATTTGCCAACGTGTGGAGCAGCTGGAACTCTAGCACACGGCTAGGGGAGTGTAAATTGGCACAACCCATTTAGAAAAGTCTTTGACAGTTTCTTACACGTTTAGGCATCTACATACCCAATGGCCCAGATAATCCATTCCAAGGTATTTATGCAAGAGAAATGGAAACATGTGTCCTCAGAAAGACTTCATGATGGCCCAAATCTGGAAACTGCCAAACTGTGTCCAAGGAGGGGCTGAGCTATGCTGCAGCGTGGATGAATCTCACAGTCAGGTCGAAGGAAGCCAGACACTGGCTGGGCGCGGCGGCTCACACCTGTAATCCCAGCAGTTAAGGAGGCCGAGGCGGGGGGATCACCCGAGGTCAGGAGTTTGAGACCAGCCTGGCAAAAATGGTGAAATCTGTTTCTACTAAAAATACAAAAGTTAGCTGGGCATGGTGGCTCATGCCTGTAATCCCAGCTACTTGGGAGGCTGAGGCAGGAGCATCGCTTGAATTGGGAGGTGGAGGTTGCAGTGAGCCAAGATCGTGCCACTGCACTCAAGCCTGGGTGACAGAGTGACACTCAGTCTTAAAAAAAAAAAAAAAGAAAAGAAAAGAAAGAGGCCACACACAAAGGAGCACCAATTGTGTAGTTTCATTGACAGGAAGTTCAGGAACAGGGCAGCCCTGTCTGCAGTGATAGTCAGCACCGTAACTGGTCTCCGTTCCTGTTGAGGAGCCCAGGCGTTCCTGTCTCGATCTGGGTGGTGTGTACACGAGTGTACAAGGACGTACACACTGTTCAACTTGACTTTTTTGAGTATGGCAGGATGCACCCCACTGCGTTTTCTTAGACCTGAATTAAAAGGAAGACCCAGGGGTGACCACCAGTGGCAGCATCGGATCCCCGCAAGTCCCTGTGGTCGTCTCATCCCAAACCATGTCAGGAGGGTGGGCGTCCAGGGGAGATTCCCGGCTGCTGCCGGAGGGGGTCTCTCTGGAGTCCCTGGTGCTTCGGGCCCGTCAGTCCTCACCTGCTGGGCTCAGCTGGGACCCCTGGCAGGTGTGCCCTGGGGTCAGGACCCAGAGAGCCCTGGCTGTGGCCCCTGCTCGCCGTCAGCATCTGGAGGCCCGTGCTTGTTCTCTGATGAGTTTGGGATGTGCATCTCATGGTTCCTGGACTTTGCCAGCTCCTGCGCGGTGCTCCGCTGGGCTCCTGAGCAGCTGTATCCCTCACTGCTCACAGCCTTCTCCCCCCAAAGCAGGGGCAACACAGTGGCGCGTACACTTGTGGGGACAGTGGTCCTGCCCAAATACCACCTTCCAATGTGAGGGCTGTCACAGGCTCGGGGCTGGGCTGTCCTGGGAGGCTGTGAGGGATTCCTTCCCACAGATCATCCTCCTGAGGGAGTCGCTGTAGCCCCGTGTCACTGGGAGCTTGCTGGTATCCTGGGCGGCCTTGGCAGTGACCAACATGGTGGACGTCATGGGTGACCCACCCTATTTAGACCACAATAGTTGGGGACTGACCTGTGCTGCACAGACAAGGCTGCTTCAGGGGCGCGGGGGGCTGGCTGTGCCCGGTTTGCTCCAAGTTCTCATCACAGTTGAGCAGTCCTGTTGCCATCCTGAGGTCAGGAGTGCTCGGCGCTCACCACGGAGGAGGCGTGGCAGCCGGTGAGAGCCAGGAGGTGCCACTGCCTGAGGTCGCCTTCAGTCCTTCCCTGGGAGGGGCTTGTCCCTACAGGGGCTCTCGCCCAGGCACCCCCGGCCACAGTTCCACAGTGGTGGGGCCCCTCCCATGTTGTCAGGGACACCCCAGCCTCACTTCTCCCTTCAAGCTGCCCCCAGCAGGTGTGAATGGAACCCCGATGTCCTGTGTCTTCAGGGGCTTCCCCACCCCAGCCCAGGCCGGCTGTGAGAGTCACGGCTGGCGTCCTTGGAGCCCCACTGGCTCTCACTCCTGTGCTGCAGCCACCTTGTCAGGACGTCATGGGGTCCCCACCAGGTCTTCACAGCTCTGAGTCTGCCCACGCAGGACGGCTCCAGCGGGCCCTGGGGCAGCTGCTGGTACTGGCATGGCTTCCCCCCAATCCATCCGGGCAGCAGGAGTGCACCCCCGAACTCTAAAAGCCCCTCAAACAGCTCTCCCCACCCTCTCCTTATTCCCTGTGGTTATGATGATTTCCTGAGTCTAGCCCGTGACTGCAAAGGGTCTTGAGTCAGAATGATGCTGAGCTCCCAGGATGTGGTGCTGGCAGCTGGCCGGGACACAGGAGGCCTGCACGGGCCGGCCACTTTCCTACCAGGGGTCGGTCCCAGGCACCACCAACCACAGGCGGAAGCTGGGCATGGCTGCGTCTGCCCCCGCCTGTGTCTCCCACGTTTCCGCGTGGCTGCATCTCCCCACCCCCACCCGTGCATCCCACCATTTCCACCCAGGCAGGGTGCTGCTTGGGGTCTGTGGCCAGCTCCGACCCACACACCGGGGTCCCCACTGTCTTAACACAGCCCTCGTCTGGAGCAGCCTCACAGGGCTGTGTTTTCCAGGTGTCCATACTGTTGGGAGAACTTCCTGGGCCGACCCGCAGCCCTTTCCCGCCAGGCCAGCCCCAGACCATCCTAGAGCCGAGCGCCTGCTTGGTGGGTGAGGCGGGGCCCAGGCCTCCAAGTCTCATGCACTTTCTGGATCTTGCTTTGTAGTGGCGATGCTTTCATCTCCAATTCAAGAAATTACTTTTCGCAGTGCCAGGCTCTGCTGAATAGAATCACGTCTGTGAACCCTCAGACGGACATTGACGGGCTCCGGAACATCTGGATTATAAAGCCCGCGGCCAAGTCCCGGGGCCGAGGTGAGTCCCCTGGTGCGGATGCTCCCTGCACCGCGTTCATAGCCACCAACGGCCACACTTGATGCCAGGAGCCGTGAGTGAGGGACAGTTTCAGGCCCACAGCACCACAGGGAAGGAAGGGAGGGAGCAGAACGCCGAGGCAGGCGTGGGGGTCAGGACTCAGGCGCTGGAGCAGAGCTGGAGGCGTCTTCACAGCATGTGTTCCGATCACAGGGCAGGATCCGGGTTGATGGGTTAATCAGGATTTCCTCCTTTGTATTCACAAACTGGTCTATGCTTTCCTTTTTAGTTTTTTATTTTTATTATTTTATTTTTAGTTTTTTGAAACGGAGTTTCACTCTTGTTGCCCAGGCTGAAGTGCAGTGGCGCAATCTTGCCTCACTGCAACCTCCACCTTCCAGGTTTAAGCAATTCTCCTGCCTTAGCCTCCCAAGTAGCTGGGACTACAGGCGCCCACCACACCCGGCTAATTTTTTGTATTTTTAGTAGAGATGGAGTTTCACCATGTTGGCCAGGCTGGTCTTGAACTCCCGACCTCAAGTGATTCACCTGCCTCGGCCTCCCAAAGTGCTGGGATTACAGGCATAAGCCACCATGCCCATCCTCCTGGCTCCCTTTTAAAAGTGTCTCTGTCCCTGCCCCTTCACTGATCTCTGTGTCCCCTCTGGGGTCTCAGAGGCTGGTTCTGTTGGGGGAGAGCCTGGGGGACTCAGGCACTGGCTTTAGCCTCATCCATGAGCGCTAAGCCTTCCCTGCTCCCCCATCGCCCCCACCAACCATGCTGCCTGCTGGCCTTGGACAAAGCCAGTGCAGGTCTCAGGGCCAAGCTGCGACCCTGCCCCAGGGCTCAGGAGCTCAGGTCCCGCTGCA
Organism: Homo sapiens; assembly: GCF_000001405.40. Classification (NCBI taxonomy): domain Eukaryota; kingdom Metazoa; phylum Chordata; class Mammalia; order Primates; family Hominidae; genus Homo; species Homo sapiens. The sequence goes on along the minus strand of NC_000022.11, from coordinate 50,033,486 downwards.
CAGTGGCTGTGCATGCTGGGTTGAGCGGTGGCCTCTTGCAGACATAGTGTGCATGGACCGTGTGGAGGAGATCCTGGAGCTGGCAGCTGCAGACCACCCTCTTTCCAGGGACAACAAGTGGGTGGTCCAGAAGTACATCGAGACGCCGCTGCTCATCTGTGACACCAAGTTCGACATCAGACAGTGGTTCCTCGTCACGGACTGGAACCCCCTGACCATCTGGTTCTACAAGGAGAGTTACTTGCGGTTCTCAACTCAGCGCTTCTCCCTGGACAAGCTGGACAGGTCAGTGCGGTGGGCGACCTGGACACCTCGGGCCAGGGAATGGGCTGCTGCCTGCATGCCTGGAGCAGCCGCAGTGAGAAGCAGCACGGGCAGGGCCCCCTCACTGCCACCTGCCACCACGAGAGGCACAGATGGGGAAACTGAGGCTTGGGAGGCTGATGATCTCCCCGAGGGACAGGCCCAGGCCCACCGGCCTTCAAAGCCAGCGCCCTACACCCCACGCTCTGTGCATCATCTCTGGAAAATCTTAAAAGGCACCATTTTGCCTGTGCCCAGGGGGATTGGAATGGTGTGGGCAGCACCTGGGCCCTGGCGCAGGGGAGGCGGCCTGTGGGGTGCCTGGTGGAGGCTCAGATATCCGCAAGTGTGCTGCCCAGGGTGGATGGACCCCCACCTCACCCGGGTCCCCGCGTGGGCAGGAGGGCGAGAGCCTGTGGAGTCCTCAGGAGTGTGCTGTGCACACAGCGACGCCTGCCACCCTCTGTCTGCACCAAGGCTTCCTCTGACTATTGTGTGGCCCTTGCTTGGTGTGAGGCGCTAGGGGACCTGACGGCTGGGCAGGAAGGGGGTCTGCTTTTTACGAGTGAGAATCCAGGGAGGCCTGAGAGTCACGCGACACAGACCTTGCAGGGGAGTTAACTCCGGCCCAGGCGAGCGGCTGCGGTCATGCCTGGTGGGTCATGCTCGAAGTCACACCCAGAAGAGGCCTGGGAGGAGCTGGCCAGGGGCTACGACCCTCACCTGCTCACTGCCTCTGGTCAAGTGGGCCTGGAGGGGGTCCAGGAACTCACCTGTGCAAAAGCAGCTCCCAGGCAGGGCAGTGAGAAGCCAGGGCCCCCTGCCAGCGCCCATTTCTGGGCCTCCAGCTGTGAGCTGTGCGCCTGGCCAATCCCATGGCCTCTCTGAGCCCTGTTTCTCCATCTGGGACAGTAACGCTCATCCCAGCTGGGCCCCTCCAGCAGAGGGTTGGAGTCCTCAGGGGCAGGGTTCTCTAGAGCCAGCTGGGTGGGCTCAGCACGGCTGGGAGGACCGGCCTTGGGTGCCCTCCTGGGCCAAGGGAGGCTGAGCACCTGCCCCTCGTCCCCCCTGCAGCGCCATCCACCTGTGCAACAACGCCGTCCAGAAGTACCTGAAGAATGATGTGGGCCGCAGCCCCCTGCTGCCCGCACACAACATGTGGACCAGCACCAGGTTCCAGGAGTACCTGCAGCGCCAGGGCCGTGGCGCCGTGTGGGGCAGCGTCATCTACCCGTCCATGAAGAAGGCCATCGCCCACGCCATGAAGGTGGCCCAGGACCACGTGGAGCCTCGCAAGAACAGCTTTGAGCTCTACGGGGCTGACTTCGTCCTTGGGAGGGACTTCAGGCCCTGGCTGATCGAGATCAATTCCAGCCCCACCATGCACCCGTCCACGCCGGTCACGGCCCAGCTGTGTGCACAGGTGCAGGAGGACACCATCAAGGTGGCCGTGGACCGCAGCTGTGACATCGGCAACTTCGAGCTCCTGTGGAGGCAGGTGAGCCACGCCCGCCCCTGGGGACTTTGGTGGCCGCCCGCCATGTGGATGCTTTGCCACCTGGTCACTGGGCGAGGGTGGAGCTGCAGGCCGCCAGTGCAGCGGGGTCTATGGAGGACACCGATCCTGCTCTGTGACCATGCTCGGTCCCGCTGAGGGCCCAGGCCTGCCCTGCTCTCCCATGGGGCTCAGTGCCTCGTCGGCACCGAGGAAGGGGCTACTCCAGGCGTGCGGGCGGAGCGGCCCCGCTCACTCAGGCTCAGTGCCTCTGTCCAGCTTTCCTCCCTCTTGTTCCCAGCCTCACCCAGTCCTGACTGTGGTTAGAGGTGGGGGCTCCATGCCCGCAGCCTCCAGGCCACCTATGCTGCTCCTTTGCCTTGGCCTGCAGTGCCTCCTCCACTCTGAGGATCTTTCGCGGGCCTCCCTGTGCCTGCGGATGTGCTGGAGTCATTGGGAAGCGTGGCCAATGCCTCTCTCTTGCGGCCTCTCTGTGGCTAAACTCGGGAAAAGAGCAGCTGAGTCCCTGGGTGTGGGGCCCCCCAGGCTGACCCCCAAGCCTCAGGAAGCCTTGGTTCCCCGCAGGTTCTCCAGAGCCTGGGGGCCTCCTGGGGGTCTGCGTGGGACCCCAGGTGTTCACTGTTCACTCCTGAGTCAGGTGGGGGTCTGTGCCCCGACCAGCCCCTCCTGCACAGACCCCTCCTGCAGGGACCCCCCCTATCCCGGCCACAGCCCAGCACCCCAACCTGTTCCTTCCCCACAGCCGGTGGTTGAGCCGCCCCCATTCAGCGGGTCCGACCTCTGCGTGGCGGGCGTCAGTGTGAGGAGAGCCAGGAGGCAGGTGCTGCCCGTCTGCAACCTCAAGGCCTCGGCCTCGCTGTTGGACGCGCAGCCGCTGAAGGCACGGGGCCCCTCGGCCATGCCAGACCCTGCCCAGGGACCCCCATCACCAGCTCTCCAGCGGGACTTGGGACTGAAGGAAGAGAAGGGGCTCCCCCTGGCCTTGCTGGCACCCTTAAGGGGGGCAGCCGAGAGCGGTGGAGCCGCACAGCCCACCCGCACCAAAGCTGCTGGGAAGGTGGAGCTCCCGGCCTGCCCCTGTCGCCACGTGGACAGTCAGGCCCCAAACACCGGTGTCCCCGTAGCCCAGCCCGCCAAAAGCTGGGATCCAAACCAGCTAAATGCGCACCCGCTGGAGCCTGTGCTGCGGGGCCTGAAGACAGCAGAGGGCGCGCTGCGTCCGCCGCCCGGAGGAAAAGGTAACCTGCGCCGCCGGCGGTGCGCTGTGGGCTTGGGGGCCGCCTGCTGCATCCCCAACCCTCGCCAGCAGCCGCTGCATCCTCCAGAGCGGGGCGCAGGGCAGGCTTCGGTGCTGGGGCCCGGGGTGTCCCCTGACGGAGGCGCCGGCGGGAGCCGGGGAGCGGGGTTGGGGCACCTGTCCCAGCCCGGCACGGGGGTCTCGGGGTGGGGGGCGTGGGAGTGCCGGCCAGGTGGATGGTGGGGTCCCCTCTGTAGAACCTGGCGGGTGACGCCTTTGTCCCCATACCTCTGGGGTGTGGCGCGGGTCGGAGGATTTGAGTTAGGACCTTGAACAGCGCCGTGAACAGCACCAAGCTCCCTGGCCGAGCGAGGGGCCAAAGTGACCGCGGGGCTTTGGCGTGCGGTTTTCTGAAGGCTCTGGAGGCTGAGGTGACAGGCCTGAGCCACCACGCCCGGCCCCCATCGGGCTCTTCCGAGCCTCGGCCACACGTTCAGACTTCAGGGGCTGCCACAGGCTGCTCTTGGCCTCAGAGTCGCGGAGAAGGACGTGGGGCAGGGGCGCGGCTGACCAGCAGGGCAGCATCAGCCGTTCCTCCCGCGTGGGGGTCTTCAGGACGGCGCGGTGGGGGGTCCTCGCGAGGGCGTGGTGGGGGTCTTTAGGCAGCATGACGAGAGGGTCTTGTTTTTTTTGTTTTTTTGAGACAGAGTCTTGCTCTGTTGCTGAGGCTGAAGTGCCGTGGCGCGATCTCGGCTCACTGCAGCCTCCGCCTCCCGGGTTCGCGCCATTCTCCTGCCTCAGCCTCCCGAGTAGCTGGGACCACAGGCGCCCGCCACCGCGCCCGGCTAATTTTTAGTAGAGATGGGGTTTCACCGTGTTAGTCAGGATGGTCTCCACCTCCTGACCTCGTGATCCGCCGCCTCAGCCTCCCAAGGTGCTGGGATTACAGGCGTGAGCCACCGCGCCCGGCAATAGGGGGGGTCTTTAGGACGGTGTGATGGGGTCTTTACGAGTGTGTGTGGGGTCTTCAGGATGGTGTGATGGGGTCTTTACGAGGGTGTGTGGGGGTCTTTAGGACGGTGTGATGGGGTCTTTACGAGGGTGTGTGGGGTCTTCAGGATGGTGTGATGGGGTCTTTACGAGGGTGTGTGGGGTCTTCAGGATGGTGTGATGGGGTCTTTACGAGGGTGTGTGGGGTCTTCAGGACGGTGTGATGGGGTCTTTACGAGGGTGTGTGGGGTCTTCAGGACGGTGTGATGGGGTCTTTACGAGGGTGTGTGGGGTCTTCAGGACGGTGTGATGGGGTCTTTACGAGGGTGTGTGGGGTCTTCAGGATGGTGTGATGGGGTCTTTACGAGTGTGTGTGGGGTCTTCAGGACGGTGTGATGGGGTCTTTACGAGGGTGTGTGGGGTCTTCAGGATGGTGTGATGGGGTCTTTACGAGTGTGTGTGGGGGTCTTCAGGACGGTGTGATGGGGTCTTTACGAGGGTGTGTGGGGGTCTTCAGGACGGTGTGATGGGGGTCTTTACGAGGGTATGTGGGGTCTTTAGGATGGTGTGATGGGGGTCTTTACGAGGGTATGTGGGGGTCTTTAGGACAGCGTGATGGGGGTCTTTACGAGGGTGTGTGGGGTCTTCAGGACGGTGTGATGGGGTCTTTACGAGGGTATGTGGGGGTCTTTAGGACGGTGTGATGGGGTCTTTACGAGGGTGTGTGGGGTCTTCAGGATGGTGTGATGGGGTCTTTACGAGTGTGTGTGGGGGTCTTTAGGATGGTGTGATGGGGTCTTTACGAGGGTATGTGGGGGTCTTCAGGACGGTGTGATGGGGGTCTTTACGAGGGCATGGTGGGGGTCTTTATGACGGCACGCAGGTGTTGCCGCCTCCCTGATTCCCACTGCGATTCAGGGGCTGGGACCCACTCACGGAGATGCCTCTTGCCCCACGGGAGGCGAAGTTCCTCCTGCAGCAATCCCGCGGCTATGGCCCGCAGGGCACATTCCCAGGTGTGGGGATCACTCAGGAAGGCCAGTGACGTGGCCTCCCAGACACCAATGACTCCCCAGTCCCCACGTGGTCTGCCTGCCACAGGGCAGTGTTGCCGTAAGCAATGTTGCCGACCAAAGGAGTTTATGTTCCCCTTTACCAGGTCACCAGCGGGAGGCAGCTGGAGGCTTAGCCCAGTGCCAAATTACCATGCTGAAGAGGAAAGATCTCCTCTGCCTTTGATCCTCACACACCAGCCATGCCACCAGGGTTCTCCCTCCAGACCCTCCTGCCCGGTGCTGCCAGTTCACTGGGCGGATTGCCTGCCTTCAGAGTCCCCGCAGATGACTGTTGATTCAACCTGGCATTTTGACACCACCTTACAGAGGCCTCTGTCTTTCCAGAGCTGTGACATTTCCTCACCACCCACCAGCTGCTTCCAAAGCCGACACCACGTGTCTGAGGCGCCTCTCACTTGTGGGTGCTGGCGTCCGTGCGTGAGTCAGGTTCCTGCCGCAGTTGCCACGCGTGGCAAACAACTCCAACCCGTGCGTACGAGCGTTTCGCGGTCAGGCCCTCGAGGGCACGGCCGGGAGGAGCTGGGCTTGCTTCCAGACTCCTGGCTGGGCTCAGGCCAGCTCCATGTGCCCCTCGGCCTCAGGCTAGTGCTCGCCTGGTGTGTGTTTGTTCCGTGACAGTCAGGCAACCGCACCGTTGCTCTCAGAGCCTGTGCTGCAAAAGGCCTGCGGCGACAGGGTCACCAGGCCCAGTCCGGCCAGCAGGACAGGAAGTGCGTGCTGGCCCTTGGAGCTTGTTGGCTTAAGAACAGCAAACTGCTGGGACTTTGACTGGGATCACCTTGAATCTGCAGATCTTGGGGAGAACGGACATCCTTTTTTTTTTTTTTTTTTGAGACGGAGTCTCATTCTGTTGCCCAGGCTGGAGTGCAGTGGCTCGATCTTGGCTCACTGCAACCTCCATATCCCGGGTTCAAGCAATTCTCCTGCCTCAGCCTCCTGAGTAGCTGGGACCACAGGCGCCCACCACCATGCCCAGTTAATATTTTGTATTTTAGTAGAGACAGAGTTTCACCATGTTGGCCAGGCTGGTTGGAAACTCCTAAGCTCAGGCAATCCACGCACCTTGGCCTCCCAAAGTGTTGGGATTACAGGCGTGAGCCACCACGCCCAGCAGATTTTTTTTTTTTTTGAGACGGAGTCCCGTTCTGTCTCCCAGGCTGGAGTGCAGTGGCACAATCTCAGCTCACTGCAACATCCACCTCCTGGGTTCAAGCGATTCTCCTGCCTCAGCCCCCTGAGTAGCTGGGACTACAGGCGCGCACCACCACGCCCAGCTAATTTTTTTGTATTTTTAGTAGAGATGGGGTTTCATCATATTGGTCAGGCTAATCTCGAACTCCTGACCTCAGGTGATCCACCCACCTCGGCCTCCCTAAGTGCTGGGATTACAGGCGTGAGCCACCGCACCTGGCCGACTTTTTTTTTAAATAAAGTTTTCCAACCATGATCCAGATCTGGTTCATTTAACCGGGTTCTTTGACTTTCCTCAGTGGTTTTCAGGATAGAAGGTCTGGCAAGTCTGGCATGTCATTCATTAGATGTTTTTCTAGCCATTTGGTGGTTTTTCTTGCCTAGTAAATAGTATCTCTTTCCAAACGGTCTTGTGAAGGTATGACTTACCTACAGTGAGGACAGACCGTAAGTAGACACAGCTTGATGGATTGTCACATGTGTGATACCCACACAGCCACACGGAGCCTCCTGCCTTTTCTAGTCTCTTCTCCAAATGGTGATCATCACTATTGGACTTAAATCATCATCAATTACCTTTGGTGGCCCCTGCACGTCTTACAGGTGGAGCGGCACGGTCTGCGCTTCCATGTCTGACCCTCCGCTCTGAGGTGGCGGCGGTGCAGAATGGCGGGTGTATTTCCGTGTCTGACCCTCCACTCTGAGGTGGTGGCTGTGCAGAGTGGCAGGCGTATTTCCGTGTCTGACCCTCCGCTCTGAGGTGGCGGCGGTGCAGAATGGCGGGTGTATTTCCGTGTCTGACCCTCCACTCTGAGGTGGTGGCTGTGCAGAGTGGCAGGCGTATTTCTGTGTCTGACCCTCCCCTCTGAGGTGGCGGCTGTGCAGGGTGGCGGCTGTGCAGAGTGGCGGGTGTATTTCCGTGTCTGACCCTGCACTCTGAGGTGCAGCGGCTGTACAGTGTGACGAGTGTGCACCCTTTGTCGGTGATAACAGTACTGCATTGCACACATGTGCCAGAGCCCGCCTGGTCCCCTGCTGACGGACAGCTGCCTTGCTTCCACTGTAGGACTGTGATAAATGAAGTTGCTCTGATCATCCTGTTCTGGCCTTTACGGGGACATGTGCCTTTGTCTGTCTTGGCTGTGTGTCCAAGAGTGGCACCACTACGTCATGAAGGATGCTTGGGTTTTGCTTTAGAAGAAACTTCCCATTTCCAATATGGTTGTGGCGTTTTGCACTCCCACCTGCCACGTGAGAGTCCTGGTTGCCCCACATCCTGGTCAACACTGGGTATTGTCAGGCTGTGTTTTTAGCCAGTCTGGTAGGTGTACGGATATCTCATCGTGGTTTTAATTCGTGTTTCTCAGGTGACTAGCCATGCTGAGCACTTTGTTCATTAGCCTTTCAGATATTTTGCTTTGCAAAATGCCTTACTAAGTCTTTTTCCTATTGTAAAATTAGGTTGCTTGCCTTTGGTTAGTTACTTGTAGTGGTTTTTATAGATTCTGTATATTTATTTAATTTATTTATTTTTGAGACAAGGTCTCACTCTGTTGCCCAGGCTGGAGTGCAACCGCACGATCTCGGCTCACGGCAACCTAAGCCTCTGGGGTTCTAAGCGATTCTCCTGCCTCAGCCTCCCGAGTAGCTGGGATTACAGGCACGCACCACCATGCCCAGCTAATTTTGTATTTTTAGTAGAGACGGGGTTTCACCATGTTGGGCAGGCTGGTCTCGAACTCCCGACCTCAGGTGCTGGGATGACAGGCCTGAGCCCCCGCGCCCGGCCTCTTCTGTGTATTTATTTGTCAGATATGCACAGTGGGACTGTTTCCTCCCAGTCTGTGGTTTTTGCCTTTTTGCTTTCTTAGTGATGCCTTTTTTTTTTTTTTTGGAGTTTTTGCTAATTTGTTTTTTTTTTTATTTCTGTGGGTACACAGTAGGTGTATATATTTGTGGGTTACGTGAAATATGATGATGCAGGCATGCGGTATGTAATAATCGCTCAGTGTAAACAGGGTGTCCAGCTTCTCAGGCATTAAATGCTCTTCTGTGATTCCTTCGACAAGCTTTATGGTTTTGACTTTCACATTTTGGTCAATGATGCGTCTTGAGTGAATTCTTGTGTATGGTGTTGTAAAAGCCAATGATACAAATGGGCTCACTCTTGTGCTACACAACTAAATCAGAATCAAGGGGCCAGGGGAAAAAAACACTCAGAACATAACCTGGCACCTGCTCCAAAAATTAAACATTTTGTGAGCCCAGCACCTAAAGCAGCCCCTGTAATCTGAAGACAGTTTTATCTGCGAGCTGCTGAAACAACCTGCTGGGACTCTGAACGTGCTTTCACCCACACCATCATTCACCCATCAGAGCCCCACAGGTCTCCTGGTGCTTACTGGTCTTGCTGGTGAGCTTGCTTGTGAAACAACACAGATCATTTATGTTTCTAAGAAAACTCCCAACCTTGTCTTTGTTCTTCGGACGTAGTGAGATCACCCCGTCTGTGTATATGCCCTGAATTGCAATTCTTGCTTCCTAAATAAAACGTTAAATTTAGATTTTCCTGTGACTGTCCAGTTGTTCCAGCACCATCATCAAAAAGACCATCCTTCCTCCCACTGAATTACTTGGGCATCTTTGTCAAAAATATACTCTCTTGAAGGAATTCTGGATTATTTATGCTGTTTCAACAATCTATTTACCTATCCTTATGTCAATACCACACTGTCTTCGAAGTTTTCAAATACGACAGTGGTGGCTCACACCTGTAACCCCAGCACTCTGGGAGGCCGAGGCGGGCGGATCATTTGAGGTCACAAGTTGGAAACTAGCCTGACCAACATGGCGAAACTACTAAAAAAAAAATAGCCAGGCATGGTGGCAGGCACCTGTAATCCCAGCTAGTAAAGAGGCTGAAGCAGGAGAGTTGCTTGAATCCAGGAGGTGGAGGTTGCAGTGAGCCAAGATCGCGCCATTGCACTCCAGCCTGGTTGACAGAGAGAGACTCCACCTCAAAAACAAAACACAAAACAAAACCAAATATGATAGTATACATTTTCCAATTTTGTTTCTTCTTCAAAATTGCGTTGGCTACTCTATGTCATTTGAATGGTTTTGTTGTTGTTATTGTTGTCTGTTTGTTTGTTTTGAGACAGAGTCTCGCACAGTTGCCCGGGCTGGAGTGCAGTGACATGATCTCAGCTCATTGCAACCTCTGCCTCCTGAGTTCAAGTGATTCTCCTGCCCCAGCCTCCCAAGTAGCTGGGATTACAGGTGCCCACGACCATGCCCGGCTAATTTTTTGTATTTTTAGTAGAGATGGGGTTTCACTGTGTTGGCCAGGCTGGTCTCGAACTCCTGACCTCGTGATCTGCCCACCTCGGCCTCCCAAAGTGCCGGGATTACAGGCGTGAGCCACCGCACCTGGCCTGAATTTTCATGTTAAGTATTTATTTATTTATTTATTTATTTATTTATTTATTTTGAGACGGAGTCTCGCTTTGTTGCCAGGCTGGAGTGCAGCGGTGCGATCTTGGCTCACTGCAACCTCCGCCTCCCAGGTTCAAGCGATTATCCTGCCTCAGCCTCCTGAGTAGCTGGGATGACAGGCGCACACTACCACGCCCAGCTAATTTTTTTGTATTTTTAGTAGGGACGGGGTTTCACCGTGTTAGCCAGGATGGTCTCGATCTCCTGACCTTGTGATCCACCCGCCTCGGCCTCCCAAAGTGCTGGGATTACAGGCGTCAGCCACCGTGCCCAGCCTCATGTTAAGTTTTAAAAAGACCTGCTGGGATGTTTATTGAGATTGTGTCAAATCTATAGATCATTTTGGGGAGAATTGATATCCTACAATATTGAGGCTTCTGATCCCTGCACATGATGTATCTCAACGTTTATTTAGGTTTTTTTCAGTTTCTCCAAGCAATATTATTGCATAGTTTTCATTACATTTATTCCTAGGTATTTGATGGATTTTTGATACTTTTATAAGTATATTTTACAAATAAATTTTGATAATTTTATCAATAGTATTTGAAATTTTATTTTCCAATTGTTTGTTGCTAAAATGTGCGAAATGCCCTGGTTTTGTACATGGACACTGTGTCCTGACGTGTTGGTAAATTCACCTCTTGGTTCTGGTTTGTTGCTAAAATGTGGGACATGCCCTGATTTTGTACATGGACACTCTGTCCTGACGTGTTGGTAAATTCACCTCTTGGTTCTGGTTTGTTGCTAAAATGTGGGACATGCCCTGATTTTGTACATGGACACTGTGTCCCAACTTGTTGGTAAATTCACCTCTTGATTCTGGCAACTTGTAGATGCCTTTGGGTTTTCGACAAAGTCACATCACCTGCAAATCAATTCCGTTTCACTTCTTCCCTTATGATCTTTATGCCTTTTGTGTCTTATTCTTGCTGCTCCACACCTACATGGACCTGCAGAGTTAAGAGTGGGCAGGAGTTTCTTAACTGTGACAGGGGATGCTGGGTTTTCATCAAAACACATCGTCAGATGGAGGAGTGCACGTCGTCAGATGGAGGAATGCGCATCAGATGGAGGAGTACACATTGTCAAATGGAGGCGTGCACATCAGATGGAGGAGTGCACATTGTCAGATGGAGGAATGCATGTCAGATGGAGGAGTACACATTGTCAGATGGAGGAGTGCACGTCAGATGGAGGAGTACACGTCAGATGGAGGAGTACACATCATCAGATGGAGGAGTACACATTGTCAGATGGAGGAGTGCATGTCAGATGGAGGAGTACACATTGTCAGATGGAGTAGTACACATCATCAGATGGAGGAGTACACATTGTCAGATGGAGGAGTGCACGTCGTCGGAGGAGTGTGCATCAGATGGAGGAGTGCACATTGTCAGATGGAGGAGTGCACATCAGACGGAGGAGTACACATTGTCAGAAGGAGGAGTGCATGTCAGATGTAGGAGTGCACGTCGTCAGATGGAGGAGTGCACATCATCAGATGGAGGAGTGCACGTCATCAGATGGAGGAGTGCATGTCAGATGGAGGAGTGCACATCGTCAGATGGAGGAGTGCACGTCAGATGGAGGAGTGCATGTCGTCAGATGGAGGAGTACACATCATCAGATGGAGGAGTGCATGTCAGATGAAGGAGCGCACATCATCAGATGGAGGAGTGCACGTCAGATGGAGGAGTGCACGTCGTCAGATGGAGGAGTGCACGTCAGATGGAGGACTGCATGTCAGGTGGAGGAGTACACATCATCAGATGGAGGAGTGCACGTCAGATGGAGAAGTGCATGTCATCAGATGGAGGAGTGCATATCAGATGGAGGAGTGCACGTCGTCAGATGGAGGAGTGCATGTCAGATGGAGGAGTGCACGTCGTCAGATGGAGGAGTGCACGTCAGATGGAGGAGTGCACATCAGATGGAGGAGTGCACGTCAGATGGAGGAGTGCACATCATCAGATGGAGGAGTGCATGTCAGATGGAGGAGTGCACGTCGTCAGATGGAGGAGTGCACATCATCAGATGGAGGAGTGCATGTCAGATGGAGGAGTGCACGTCGTCAGATGGAGGAGTGCACATCAGATGGAGGAGTACACATCATCAGATGGAGGAGTGCACATCAGATGGAGGAGTGCACGTCAGATGGAGGAGTGCACGTCATCAGATGGAGGAGTGCATGTCAGATGGAGGAGTGCACGTCGTCACATGGAGGAGTGCACGTCAGATGGAGGAGTACACATCATCAGATGGAGGAGTGCACATCAGATGGAGGAGTGCACGTCATCAGATGGAGGAGTGCATGTCAGATGGAGGAGTGCATATCAGATGGAGGAGTGCACATCAGATGGAGGAGTACACATCGTCAGATGGAGGAGTGCACATCAGATGGAGGAGTGCACATTGTCAGATGGAGGAGTACATGTCGTCAGATGGAGGAGTGCACGTCAGATGGAGGAGTACACATCAGATGGAGGAGTGCACGTCAGATGGAGGAGTGCACATCAGATGGAGGAGTACACATCATCAGATGGAGGAGTGAATGTCAGATGGAAGAGTGCACATCAGATGGAGGAGTGCACATCATCAGATGGAGGAGTGCAGGTCAGATGGAGGAGTGCACATCAGATGGAGGAATGCACGTTGTCAGATGGAGGAGTGCACGTCAGATGGAGGAATGCACGTCAGATGGAGGAGTGCATGTCAGATGGAGGAGTACACATCATCAGATGGAGGAGTACACATTCAGATGGAGGAGTGCACGTCAGATGGAGGAGTGCACGTCAGATGGAGGAGTGCACGTCGTCAGATGTAGGAGTGCACGTTGTCAGATGGAGGAGTGCACGTCAGATGGAGGAGTGCATGTTGTCAGATGGCGGAGTGCACGTCAGATGAAGGAGTACACATCATCAGATGGAGGAATGCACATCAGATGGAGTGCACATCGTCAGATGGAGGAGTACATGTCAGATGGAGGAGTGCACGTTGTCAGATGGAGGAGTGCATGTTGTCAGATGGAGGAGTGCACGTTGTCAGATGGAGGGGTACACGTCGTTAGATGGAGGAGTTCACGTCAAATGGAGGAGTGCACGTTGTCAGATGGAGGAGTGCATGTCAGATGGAGGAGTACACATCATCAGATGGAGGAGTGCATGTTGTCAGATGGAGGAGTGCATGTCAGATGGAGGAGTACACATCATCTGATGGAGGAGTGCATTTCGTCAGATGGAGTAGTGCACGTCAGATGGAGGAGTACACATTGTCAGATGGAGGAATGCACGTCAGATGGAGGAGTGCACGTCATCAGATGGAGGAGGGCACGTTAGATGGAGGTGTGCACGTCAGATGGAGGAGTGCACGTCAGATGGAGGAGTGCACATCAGATGGAGGAGTGCACGTCAGATGGAGGAGTGCATGTCAGATGGAGGAGTACATGTCAGATGGAGGATTGTGAGTCATTAGATGATTGTCAGTTGCTTTTGGTCATCAATTTTTGTAAATATTTCTTGGTGCAAATAATATGTAATTCTGAAATTGTTCAGTATCATGAGTTGGGCCAGATTTGTTTATTGTGTTGTTGACATATTTCATTTTCTTAGTTTGCTTATCAGTTACTAAGAAAAGTATGATAAGATGCATGTAATTCTGTCAGTTCTTGCTTTAGAGTTTTCAGATTGTTACTAATTTTATTTTGGTGAGGATTTTCCTGGTATGTTTTTTCTTTCATCATTATATAAGCTTATGTTTTACATATTTCTCTGCATAAAATTCCGGACTGCCAGTGTCTTTTAACCAGTGCATGTAACATTTACGTTTAATGTAATCATGTACATGGATTCTGTGGTGATTGATTCTGCATAAGAAATCACTGCAAAGCAGAGCTGTGGCAAAGCAAACATTTATCCTCCACATTTTCTGTGGCTCAGGAGTCCGAGAAGGGCTCCTCGGCATGGTGCTGCTTCAGGGATGCTTCTGAAGCTCAGTCCCGGTGTGAACTGAGGCAGCCTCATCTGAAGGTTTGCCTGGAGCTGGGGACCCACCTCCCTGATGGTGCACCCCCCATCAGTCCCTCCCACGTGGACCTTCCACAGGGCTGAGTGTCCTCACAACATGGCAGCTGGCTTCCTCCAGTGAGTGATTCAAGAGAGACCACTAGATTCATGAGGTCTTTATGACCTCACCCAAGACATCACATACCCCTGCTGCCCCTATATTCTACTGGCCATGCACCTCAATCCTGATCCAGACAGGAGGGGAGCACACATGCGTGATTGCCTGGGGGTGAGGATCACTGGGGGCTGCCTTGGAGCCTGATGACCACAGTACCTACCATTTGATTTCATTTAACTTTTGTTGATCTCATCTATTCTATGTTCCTTTTTCTCTCTGTTCTTGCCTTAGTTTTCATTGACGCTTCTTCTCTCATTTTGGTTTTTCCTTCTTCTGGTTTGGAGGTTACAGACTCTGTTTCTGGTGTTTTACTCACTGCCTACAAATTACTCATTGCACGTTAAACTTATCAAAATCTAAAGTGAAGGAAGTCACACTTATACCCACCTGGCAATATATCGACTTTGAAGCCTGGAAAATGTGAAGTCCCGTGCTCCCTTCTGACTTCCTGCTATTGCTGTCAGCCTGTTTAATAATGTTTTTAACAGTCTACTGGGCATGATTATCATCATCGCTTGCACAGCCAGTGGTTTTTAGATTTACTACATACATTCCTCTTTGCCCTTCACTCTTCCTGAGTCTCAGACTTCCAACCATGTTCATTCTGAACCACTTTCTTTCTGCTCAAGACAGTGTCCCTTAGGAAGGTGCCAGTGATGGGACGTTCGGATGAGCTTTTGGTCTGTCAATATCTTTTCCACACAGGTTCATGACAGCGTCAGATTCTCTGCAGCAGGAGTACAGGTTGCAGCCACTCTCCCGCCGAACATTGAATACGTCTTTCCACCATCTTGTCTTTGCTGTGGCTCTGGGAAAATCAGCAGAGTCAGCCATCACTCTCCAAGGGGAGCTGTCAGTTCTATCTGCCAGCTTTTGAGTGTTCAGTTTGATTTTTACTTATTCAACCTGGAATTTGAATGTCTTTGATGTGTGCGCTGGTGTCATTATTCAATTATGGGACTCTCTCAGCCATTATGTCTTTAAATATTGCCTCCACCCCGTTCTGTCTCTTTCCCTTTGGAATACAAACTAAATGTTTGCTAAGCCTTCTCTCTCTCCCGGTATCTTTTAGTCTCCCACTTCTTTGTTTGATTTATTTAGCTGCCTGTGCTGCATTCTAAAAATATCTCCTCGCCTGTCTTCCAGCTCATTTCAGAATGCTATCAACCCATTGAAGTTTTAATTTCTTAAAGTTTTCATTTTTAGAAGTTCTACTTTTTAATAAAATTATTTGATCTTTTTTCTTTCTTTTTTTTTTTTTCTGAGACAGGATCTCACTCTGTCACCCAGGCTGGAGTGCAGTGGTGCAGTCACAGCCTCCAACTGCAGCCTCCAACTCTCAGGCTCAAGCGATCCTCCTACTTCAGCCTCCTGAGTAGCTGGGACCACAGGTGTGCACCATACCCTGCTGTTTTTGATTCACCCTTGCACCCAGCTGTTTGGGGCTGCATATTGTTGGGGGCATGGGGTGTCTTCTGTCCCCACACTCCAGGGCCTTGGGACCCAGAGCTCCAGGTGGCCCTGGTGGCAAAGTCTCAGAGGGAGGAGCTTCGGGGCCGGGCACCTTTCAGAGCGCCCTCTCCTTGGGCTCACTCACCTTCCCTGGCCTGGACCTGGTCCTCCTTTACCGTCTTGCCTGCTGCTTTTGCTTGTTTTTGTGATGCTTTTCCTATCTTATGCCCTTATTTGGTGGTTTTCCCTGGAAGGGCTGGTCTGGGTCCCAGACTCCCAGGTACTGAGTGCACCCCATGGGCTTTAGTGGCTCCCCGGAGCCTGCTGACACCCCACAATGAGTCTCACCCCAGCCCTGGCCTCCATACAGGGTTGGGGCCCAGGCCTTGGGCCTCCCCTCCCTCAGCAGGGTCCAGGCCCCACACCAGCTGCTCGGTTAGCTCATGCATGCTCCATTAATCACGCACAGACACACGGAGAGCCGCAGACACCACGTCCCCTCCTCCTTCACTTAGGGTGGGCCCAGCCTCTGCCCCGACTTACTGGACACACACTTTCTGGGCACCCCGGTGGGTCCCATCAGGCCCTGGGTGCCTGGGGGACAAGGCCCTGCCCCGCAGTGCTACCTGGCCTGCTGCGCTGGGCCACCCTGGCAGATTTGACCTCCCAGTCCTGTGCCCGGCCTCCGTGCGTCTCTCCGCTGGGATGAGAGCCCTGGGGAGTGGGAGCTGTTCCCACCTCGTTCTTCCTGCTGCTCATGCCCTGCTTGTGCCACGTGGGCCCTGGCCTGTCCTATGGGCCAAGCTGGCCCAGCCCTTCCGAGGTTCCCGGAAGCCAAGGACTGCTTTGCATAGGCACTGGGGGCTCTCCCCACCCAGCCCCCCAGGAAGAGTGACTCAGCCTGGGGCTCGGAGTTTGCCGTGGGCGGTGGGTGCCCCAGCAGGGTGGTGCCTGCACTTCTGGGCTGGGCTGTGGCTGCTTGGGAACCTACAGCCCTGGCGGCTAGGAAAACCAGGGAGTCCCCTCTTCACCCCACATCCCTACCCCACCCTGGGGCTCCTTCTGTCCCTCCCCCACCAGCTATAGCTGCAGCAAGTGTGCAGGCTGGCCTTCCCCTAGTCCTTCCTGGCCTGGGCAACCTGAAGTTTGACTCACCAGCCCCAGTACATGGGGGACGGGGCTTGGCACAGGCTCACCCCACTGAGAAGGGCTGGCCAGGGACCCGGGACAGCCCCAGGGCAAGGACAGCGGTTGGAGGCCAGTGAGAGCCAGGCCAAGGCCCCAGCCTCTCGGATGAAAGGGACACATGGTGGTCACACCTGCCAGCCTTGCCTATCCTGTGACGCTCCGAGGAACTGCGTGAAAGTTCTCAAAACGCAGCAGCTCCCATGCAGGGGGTGGCCTTGCTGAGTGGCCAGCCCTGCGGTGGACGGCAGCTACCTGCTCTCACCCATCACGGCTGCCACCTTTGAGTCCATGCAGGAGAGGGCACGGTCTGCAGCCGCCTGCCACACCACGGGCACCACGTGGCCGCCTGCCAGACCACGGGCACCACGTGGGATGGTGGGCCTGGGGTGTGCTTCCTCCGGCAGCTCCTGGCATCAGAACTGCCCATGGGCCCTGGTGAGGTCTGACCACAGGTTGTGGGTAGCAGGTCTTCTAGCTCCACCAGGAGCCCCAGCCCAGGCCCACTTCGAAGGTGCCAGTGTGTCCAGATGGCCTGCACTGGGTGCAGCCTCTTGTGGGGACTCGGTGGCTCCTGGAGCACCCCCAGTCTTAACACTCCCACCTCCCTCCTGACCCCTCCAGCTGCTGACCCATCCTGGGACTCTGTGGCTGGCCCAGCATGCTGCTGGCCCTCGCCTGCAGGCACCGTCCTGAACCCACCACCCACTTGGTCCTGGCCCAGTGGGGATGGGTCCTCAGCACCAGGCATCTGAACCTGAGCCCAGGCACAGCAGGGCAGGACGAGTTGGGGTGGGGGCTGCTCTTCTCCAAATCTCCTGGCCGGTTGGGTCCTTCTAGGCAGGACTCACCTGGAGGAGGGCTGAGAGAGGCTGACAAGCTAGAGGCAGAGCTGGACTGCCCCTCTGGGGTGGGGGGCCAGGTGGAGGGGCGTTAGGGAGGGTGAGGGGGGTGGGGAAGGGGACCTCCCATCCGCAGAGCCTTCATCCCAGAGGGACGACACCCTACCCCCGCCCCCCTGCGTTTGAGTGGAGGTCTTGGTTTTCCGAAAGCTGGGGGAAGCAGGTGGGCTCCATGCAGGAGCGAGTTGGGAGCCACCTGGGGCTGGTCTTGCAGGTGATAAGGGTGACCCTGGGGGGCCTGCCTGGGGGCGTGGCCTTGAGGGGCGCGGGCGTCGCCTGTTGGTGGGTGTGGATTGAGGGACGGGTGGGTGCGGTCCGGGGACCTGGGGTCGAGGTCAAGGGGCGCTAGGCACAGTCAGGGGGCCTGGGGCGCGGTCGGGGGTGGGCTGGGGTAGGAGAGGACAGGGGCGAGGTTTCAGGGATCTGTGGGCTCAGGGTCTGTGGACGCAGTCCAGGGTTCCCGGGGGGTGTGGGAAGGTCAGTGGGCTGGAGGAGCGGTGGCGGGGGGCGGGGTGGGCGGGGCCCGGGGACGCGACTGCAGGTGGAGGAAGGCGCTGTAGGGGGTGGGGAGTCCCGGGGCGCGCCGGGGCGGGCGAGTGCTGTCGGGGTGGAGGGAGGCGCGGCCGGGGAATGTGGGGCCGGCGCACGCGGTCTCAGCGCCCCTCCCTCCCCAGGGCTGCCGAGGGACCCCCGAGCGCCGCCCTGCCTCGTGTGCCGCGGGCTGCTGCCACCCGCCGGGCCCTGCAAGCGCTGCCGCTCGTTCTGCGCCGCGGTCCTGCAGGGCGCGTCCTTCGTGCGGCTCGGCGGGCGGAGCTGCAGCCCGCGGACCCCGTGAGTCGGGACCGGCGCGGGGACCAGGACGACGACCCGGAGCCACGCGCGTCTCCGTGGAAACCTGCGCGGAGCTGAGGCCGAGAACACAGCGCTGTTGTGGTGAACCCGCGTCCTCGCCGTGGTTTTCTTGGGAACCTCGTGCCCAGCACCCCCGCACCCGCTCCGGACCCTCCGAGCCGCTCTGGGGAAGGCTCCAGCCCGGGTCCCGGGCGGACGCTGGTTCGTTCCTTCCCGCGTTCGTCCGACGAGTCTCGGCGCCGCCCAGGGTCTCCGCACCCCGTTTCCTCCCATCTGGTGCCCAGCGCGGGCGCGGAGGGAGCCCCCGGGGTTGGACCCTCAGATCCCTTCACCGTTGGGCTTCTGGGCGACCGATGGTCACTGGGCTGTGTGGCCGTGCTGCCCTGGAGACCCAGACTTGGAAAGACCCCACCCCCACCCCAGGCCTCGCCCAGCTGCGGTGGGTGATCTCGGTGGCCGGGGCCCGCCCAGGAGCCCGTGGCCTGGCTCTTCATGGATACTGAGCAGGGCCAATCCCCCAGCCCTCAGAGACAGGGCTGGAGCCCTCTGACCTCAGGCTGGAGAGGGTGGCCGGGGGCCTGGGGCAGAGGGCAGAGGCCGGCCCCACTGTCCTTCCCTGGGCCTTGGAACCAGCACCAGCCACACCCCGTGGGCCGTCCCTACACGAGATCACCGACTACTGGCCACCTGCAGCCCCTGCCTGCGTCACGGCACGCTGGGATGGCGCCTTCAGGCAACGGGTGTGTCGTGGTGGGGGCCTGTCCCAGAGAGGCCTGGAGAGAGGTTTGGGTGTGAGTGGGCCCATGGGGGAGGGACATTTGTCCTTTCCCAATGATCCTGCTGGCCGTGCCCATGGACATCGTCTGGGACACCCCTGCCACAGTACAGCAGCCCCCATCGTCCCCTGGTATAAGGAGGGCTGGAGGCCAGGCTGAGGGGCGAGGCCCAGCTGGAGTATCTGTCTTACAGCTCAGCCAGCCTGGGATAGGGGATGACAGTGGCCCGTCCTGAGCCACCCCCAAATGTGCCTGCCTGCTGCTGACCATGCCGTGGCATGGAGGCTGGCACTAGCCACTCTCTCCAGGGCATTGTGGCCACAGGCACGCTGCTGCAGGGGGCGGGCTCAGCCCCATCTACTCTGCCCAGCAGTGAGTGCATAAGTTCCAGCCCATGGAGGGCTCTAGGCCAGGCGGGGGCAGGGTCGAGGTGCTGGCCCAGGAGGCAGGGAGGTGGGCAGTGCGGGGTGGTGGGAGGGAGGGAGGACTTCACGGTCACAGCAGCCCCTGCCGCCTTCCCTCCCCTGGGACCGAACCCCAGAGCTTGTTTCTCAAGCTCCCTCCTGACTACCCGAGCCCACAGTGTGAGGCCCACAGCCTCTCCCAGCCTGGGGGTGGTGCCGCCCTCCACACTTGGGGTGTCCTGTGGGTATTCCAGGCAGAACACCCCAGCTAGACACTCCCAGGCTCCCCAGCTATTAACTCCCGCCATCCCCCCCCCACACACACACAGACACACACACACACACACACACACACACACACACACACACACACACACACGTGGGGCAGTGCCCTCCCAGAACCTGAGGCAGGTGCAGAAGCCTCTGTGCCTGTCCAGGAAGGGAGGAGCCAGGAGGACCCAAGAACTGCACCCTGGTTCTCTCCAACCCCCTGCCCTGGCTGGAGGCAAATGGGAAGCAGTAAGCTTCTGCCCAGAAACTTTCCTATGCATTTGATGCTCCAAATAAGAAGATGACACAGAACGGCTCCCTGAGCAGAGGCTGGGCCCCAGAGTTCCCAGCCTCGGGGGGTGCCCTCCGGAGTGGGGGGGGGCTCATAGGGAGGACCACACAGGGGAGGTGGCCTTTTGCATCTTGAGGGGAGGTGGAGGCCAGGGACTTGGGTGGAATCTCAGGTCTTAGGAGAGGGCTCCCCTTAGGGGCTGGGGCTGAAGCCAGGGGCTCTGGGGTATGAGTGCCCAGGACAGATTCCACCCCTCTGCCAGCCCAGCCAGCTTTCCAGGGCCCTTGTCTACCCTCCTGGCCTCATGCATGCCTGAGGGAGGTGCACGCCGGCGGCAGCCTATCCCGCCGGCCTGGAGCCATCTCTGCACCAGTGGCCGCCCTGTGGGGAACCCCATTAGGGTGTCCTCGGACCCCAAAGGCCCCAAGGTTTCTGGATGCTTCCTTTGGAAACCTAGAAACTCCACAAGTGTCTGGCCACAGTCTTCTGGCCCCAGGCGGTGGAAAGTCTCCCGGGCTGCTGTCTGTGAAGCGAGCCCTGTTTTGCCGGGAGGGGGAGTGTCTCGCTCGCTCCAGCTGTGAAGAGCAGCCTCCACCCTCTGTTTGTCTTTGGGGCTGGAGCTGCAGGGTCAGCCTGGAGCCGCTGCCACAGGGCATCCTGCAAACTTGCCCCACTCACATCCACGCTTACCAGTGGGAGCTCTCACTGCACAGCCAGATGCTGGCTGGGCAAGCACTCGCGTTCTTGGGCCTGACCTGGGGCACTTTCCAGAGCCTGGCCATCCCCCGGATTACAGAATGTGGCCTCTCCTGTTCTCAGGTAAGCTCCTGCCTCCTCCTAGGCCCCTACACTGTGGCAGATAAGGCCCTGGTTTCTCCTCAGGTGGGTCTGGCCTGACGCTCTCAGCACATCAGCAGGTGAGGGGTTGCAGGGCCCTGGGGGGTCCGAGGGCAGCGCTGGTGAAAGAAGGATGGGAGACCTGGCCTGACCCTGCCGAGCTGCTCCGGGAAGTGTTTGCTGGAAGCTCAAGGCAGGGTGAGCCCACCTCGGACCCACCTGTGACCTCCAAGGAGGCTGTGTTAGAATCTAGGGCAGCCCGCAAGCCCATCCGGGGCTCCCACCCCACCCCGCTCGGCTGCTCTGAGCCATCGGGAGCCCGCAACACCTGGGCTTGTGTAGACACCTGCCAAGGAAACACTCGGAGAACGTGCTGAGAATGAGATGTTGGCAGTGGAGGTGGCTGGGTTGGGGTGGAGGGCTCTCACTGCACAGCCCACTCACTCAGCCTTACAGGAGAGGGCGCTTCATCAGCACCTGCAGCAGGAAGTGTACCCAGCATCCCAGGAAGGGGCCCCGGTGCCCAAGGCTGGCCGGGCACAGTGGGGACACAGGCATGGAAAGGGCACAGAAGGTGTCCCGGAAAGGGAGGACTCACTGAGGACCTGCTGGGTGCACCGTTCCTGGCATGGGGACAGCAGTTAGCAAGATGTGCCTTTAGGGTGGTGGCCTGGTCACCTCAGGGGACACTTGCGGGGACATCCAGCAGCTCCACAGGGCCTGAGACGGGTCCAGCAGAGGGCTCAGCTCAGGGAGGGGAGCAGCAAGGGCTGGAGTGCTGGGTGCCATGGGCAGGCTCAGATCCACAGGGCATTCGTGGAACAAGGAAGAAAGCAGGCTGGGATGCGTGGGAACCGGTGGCAGCAGGGGAGATGGGCGGGTTCAGGTGGGAGGGGTGTCCACCGGATGCCACCCTGCAGTGGAGATGGAAAACAGGGAGGGGGCAGGCCTGGGGATCCTGGCTAGGAGGGGGAAGGAGAAGCGAGAGATGAGACCTCAGAATCGACTTTTGCCTCTGGGAGGAAATGGTCCCTGAGTTGGGAGACATGGGGGGAGGCGGCCTTGAAGTGCAAGCTGGAAAGCTTTGCTGAGGCGGCTGCGGGGTATGCAGGCAGCCTCCCGGTCCGAGGTGTGACCGCGCTGTCCACGCTAGGACGGCCAGGTGATCCTGGGGAATGGGTGGGGACCAAGATTGAACCCTCAGTACTCCAAGGAAAGGGGCAGGGGCAAGGGCAGGGGCTGAGGCGGGTGGAAGAGGCCAGGAAGGAGGGGAAGTGCTGGAGGGGAGAGGAGAGGAGGGGTTTGGCGGGGCTGAGGGAGGGTCTCATGGAAGATGGGGTGGGGAGGGTTGAGCAGGAGGGGTCAAGGGGTGACAAGAGGAGCGGGAAGCTGGAGGTGGGTGTAGGGGCGCTGCCTGGGCAGCCTTGGACAGGGCGGTGGTTGCGAGGGGGCGCGGGAGCCCCTGCCCGCGGGGGGAAGCCAGGGAGGGGAGGCTGGGGCTACAGCCGCGCCCTGGGGGGGGACCCGCGCGGGTGACGGCGGGAGGCTGGGCCGCATGCAGGGGAGCTTGGGCGGGGTGGGGCCGCGAGCAGCCGCCCTGGGGGTTCCCTGCACACCCCCCGACGCCGGCCGCTGGGAAGCCCCGAGAAGCACGACGGAAAACCCCGTGCGGGGGAGGCGCCCAGCGCCCGGGCTCAGCCCCCCCCCGCCCCCGCTCCCCCCACCTTCCCCCCAGCGCGCCCGGGTCCCGCTCCCCGTGCCGTGGGGCAGGGGCGGGGCAGAACCGCGCGACGTTCCGCGCCCCCGACAGCGGCTTCTCCTGCAGCCCCAGACACTCGGGCCACGGGGCCAGCCCTGGGTGGGCTTCAGAGTCCAGGAAGTCAGGAGAGAGAGCAGACGCCCTTCGCCTCTCCAGCCCACCCCGGCCTCCGAGCCCCCAGCGGGGATTCTTTCTCTCCTGAAGGTGGATGCGGGGAGTCCAGGCCACAGTGGGCGCCCAGAGGGGCTTCAGGGCACCTGGCGGGAGGGAGGCCCGGGGACCCACGCCACTGCCCCCCTGCAGTTCCACACAGGCGGCCTCACTGGGCCTCCCCACGCTGCCTCCGCCGCTCCCTCTGTGCCCGGGCTGGTCTGGGCTGCCCTCGCCTGCCCACCTGAGGCCTGCTCGGATCCCGTTCCCCAGAGGCTGCCCCGGGTGAGCCCGGCCCCTTTTGCCTGGGCGGAGCCCTCAGCAGCCTGGGGTCAGCTCCGCCGGCCCCTCGTTTGAGGCCCTGCTCCCCACCAGGGGCCGAGGCCGGGGCTTCCATCAGGACGCTGGGTCCAGCCTGTATACTCCGCCCACGGGCGGCGGGTTTCGTGGCCATGGCAGGCGGAGGAGGGTCACTCACGGCAGTCTCTGGGGAGTTATTGGGGTGGTCGGCAAATGGGTAGAGACGGTGGGGTGAGAACGAAGACTCAGAGGCCATCTGCAGGGTGGGGTCCTGCGCTGGACCCTGGAACAGAAAACAGTTCACTAGTAGCACGTGATTCCACACCAGACTGAGGGTCACTGACTGCCGCCGATTCCACACCAGACTGAGGGTCACTGACTGCCGCCGATTCCACACCAGACTGAGGGTCACTGACTGCCGCCACCCATGTGGCTCCCCAGGTTTTGCAGATGCACGGGAAACTGTTGAGATGAGGGGATCCTGGGTAAACTCTCTGTAAATCTAAACATATTCCAAAATAAAAAATATTTAGAAGGAGGTGTAGCCACCGGTAATGCCCGCTCCACAATTCAAGGAACAGAAGTGGGCCCGACTTTTATTTTTCCGTGTTCCCACCTGGGCTAGGAGCAGAAGTCCAGGTCTCCATCTTGAGCTCCCCCCACCCCCACCCCCACCCCGACAGCCTGGGCTTCCCCGTCCGGTCTGTAGAGGGTCAGCTCTTTTCAAGAATGGAGCGGCTGTGTTGACCGCGGGCTGCACAGTCCAACACCCCAGGCTCAGTGGCCGCCCCCAGGGGGCCTGGACTCTGGGGGTCCTGCCCTGCTCTGAGGGCGCCAGTGCCACCCTGTGCTCTCGGACCTCAGCTCCCACGCCGTTGGTGCCGGGGTGCCGGGCGCCTTCTGCCTCACCCACAGGCTGTCTGCGAGCAGCCTGTCCCACAGGACCCTTCTGCCCCGTGGGAGCCTGGCCACAAGTCCTCATGCCCCTCTTTGAGTGCCCTTGGTCAGGTTGGGCTGGGGATGATCATAAATCAGGAGTGCAGCTTGGACCTGGACCATCCAGGACCTGTTCACTGCACGGCATGCCCCCGCCCCGCACCACCAACTCAGCCTCACTTGCTTCCAGGCCCATGAAATTGACCTCTATGAGGCCCCCCAAGCACCCCTTAGATTTATAACCTGCACCCCCCACACTATCCGGACCCCTCTTGCTCCTCCTGACCCCTCTGTTATTTTCCCACCCCTTTATTTTAGTTACACAGAATATAAGTTGCTGATTTCCCAGGTTTCGGATCGTTCTGTCTCCCCCTTCTCGGAATGTGAGCTCCTGGAGAGGTGGGGATGGTTCAGTTTTCCTCTGTTCATGAATCCCAGCACCTAAGCGAGCCTGGCACGTAGTGGGTGCTCTGCTAGTGTCCACTTAAACGCACAAGTGGGTCGGGGAGCTGGGGCCTGAGGGTCCAGAGGGATTCAGACCACACTGTTTACTAAGTGACCGCCGCATGCCAGCCTTGGGCCAGGCCCCTGACACTGAGGAGAAGCCAGGATTCAGGGCAGCCCAGGACCCCCAGGAGTGAGGGACAGGGCAGGAGCAGGATGGGCTGGGGAGGGGGTGCCCTCAGCCGCTCACCCCTCTCACTGTTCTGTCCCCAGGGCTTTGCCTGCAGGAGCCACAGGAACCGTGAGTACATCTCAGCCCCGGGGGATGCTCAGGGCCTGGACTCCCCACCCCAGGCTACCAGGGCCGCTTTGTCCACCGTGGGAGGCAGGTCTGTCCTGCAGTGTCCCCAGCAGCTGGGGTTCCCTTCTGGGCAGGGCAAACCTCTATCACTCACCGATGCGTGTGGGACCCTGGCCACACCCAGGCAAGGCCACCCTGGCTCCTGGCCAGAGGTGGGCCTGCCAGAGAGTCCCACGTCTCCACTTAACGCACAATGCCTCGTTGCGTTCCAAACCGGCCGCCCAGAAGCAGCAGGTGGAAAACCCCGTCTCCTCTAGCAAAGCTTTTTCCCTGTGTAAAGTGATCCCTACTGGGCCTTTAACAACTACCTTGTCTTTGTTAAACAGCGTATCTATTTATAAAAGGACTCTGAGTGATGCAGATGCCACAAGGAAGAAAGTTAAGGCTCACTGGAAAGCCTCCATGTAGAAATAAACAGTGTTTACCTAGGCAAACATTGCTCTAGGCATTTTGGGGTTTTTTTTCTTATTTTTGATTTTCATAGGAATAGACCTGAAGTCTTCCTATCTCTGGTTGGTCAACCAAACCCAGGCTGTTCTCAAACTCCTGGGCTCAAGCGATCCTCCTGCCTCGGCCTCCCAAAGTGCTGGGATTGTGAACTTGAGCCACCATGCCTGGCCTGTTCTAGACATTTGTGTAGCCAAATATACAGATATTTGCAGGATAAACAGATAAAAATTATTTTATAGAAATGAAATTACCTTATGTCATTTAAACTATTTTATTTTTACTTGAATTTAACAGAAAAATAGATGGCTAAACTTTACTTAAATGTTTCTTCACCTCAAGGACCTCTAAGCTTAAGGGAGGAGATTAGATCAGCTTGGCCCCTGCGCAAGGATGACATGCAAATTCACAAAGCGGACTATAGTAACAAACAAACAACAAATGCAAAGCATGGCTGATGCGGTGGCTCACACCTGTAATCCCAGCACTTTGGGAGGCCGAGGCAGGTGGATCACCTGACGTCAGGAGTTCGAGACCAGCCTGGCCAACATGGTGAAACCTGTCTGTACTAAGAATCCCCCCCCCAAAAAAATTAACTGAGTGTGGTGGCACTTGCCTGTAATCCCAGCTACCTGGGAGGCTGAGGCAAGAGAATCACTCGAACCCAGGAGGCAGAGGTTGTAGTGAGCCAAGATTGCACCATTGCACTCCAGCCTGGGCAATGGAGTGAGACTCTGCCTCATAAAAACATAAATAAACAAATAAAAGATAAAGCTCTTTAGTATTTCTAATAGATTTCCTATGGAGTCTCCTTTTTTAATGATGATCACATATTCTGCAGCTAATGACAGCTCATAAACCTACGCATTGGGTGGAGGGGGCGGATCTTGTGGAATTGGCTCAGCTCTCCAGGGCAATGGTGAATGAGGGAATTCCTGTTTGAGTCCTGATATTAATAGTAATGATTCCAAAGGTTTACTGTTCAGTATTAAGTTTATTGGATGTTTGCACTAGATGTCCCTGATCTAGACAAAGAGGTGCCTTTCTTTTCCTAGTTTGCTAAACATTCTTTCATCATGAATAGGTATTGAATTTTATGAAAAATTTCTGCATCTATGAAAATTGTCATATAGGTTTTTTAGTTTAACATCCCCTCCCTTTTTTTTTTTTTTTTTGAGACAGAGTCTCACTGTTTTGCCCACGCTGAAGTGCAGTGGTGCAATCTTGGCTCACTGCAACCTCTGCCTCCTGGGCTCAAGCAATTCACCTGCCTCAGCCTCCTGAGTAGCTGGGATTACAGGCATGTGCCACCATGCCTGGGTAATTTTTTGTGTATTTTTAGTAGAGACAGAGTTTCACCATGTTGGCCAGGCTGGTCTCGATCTCTTGACCTCATGATCCGCCCGCCTCGGCCTCCCAAAGTGCTGGGATTACAGGCGTGAGCCACTGCGCCCGGCCCCAATCTGCTCTTAAAAATCACCCGTTGTATTTTAATTCTGTCGTGGTGGTTTTGTTTCTAGGAATTCCATTTCTCTCAAGTGTGCCTGGTCCCTCATCACAGCCTTTCCTGCTGCCTGTATTTTCAAGCCTGTTTTTTCGCCTGCTTGGCCTGTGGCTTGTTACTGGAGGACACCTGGGCCCACCCTCTCCACAGCGTCACTCTGGGCTCTCTGCTTCCTGGTGTGCTTGTTTACCTTCAGCGGCTCAACGTCCCAGGACTCAGGGCCTCCCGGAGGCTGGATTCCTGTTGCTCCTGGGTGGTGCCAGGAGCAGTGTCTGACTGTCGGGGCCGTTTAAACCAGATTCACAGACTGAGGTTTCATGGGTCTTCCTGGTGGGCCCAACCTGGGCTGTGAATCTGTACTGGGTTGTGGGCTTTGGGGGAGCTTTCTCTCCCTGCTCCTCCACTCAGCGAGTCTGGAACAGTGCCTGGGCTTTGGGGAGAGGGTTGGTCCAGCTCTGGCTAACCCAGGTCAAGGCCTAGCTCAACGTGGGGAAGTTCTTCCTCACCATGTGCTGGGGCCTCCCCACAAAGCCCTCAGCTCCCACTGGGTTGGAAACGTTCCCTCCATCCTCCACCCCTGTAAAGCAACCTCCTACGCCCTGCTTTCCTCAGCACCCCCATCCTGATTATTTTCGCAGCTCTCCTACGTTTCTAGGAAGGTTTTTAAAAAAACATATGTTTTTTTCTCCAGCCCAATTGGTACTTTTCAGCAGTTGAGTTGGTGCAAATGGCCGGGTCTCCCATATGAGGGAAGTGTAGTCCCAGGGTGTTTTTATTTTTATTTTTGGTATATTTTATTTTTTTATTTTCTGGGGGGTAGGGGGACAAGGTCTCGCTTTGTTGCCCAGGCTGGAGTACAGTGGCGCAATCTCGGCTCACTGCAACTTCCGCCTCCCGGATTCAAGGGATTCTCCTGCCTTAGCCTCTCAAGTAGCTGGAATTACAGGCGCCCAGCAGCACCATGCCCAGCTAATCATTGTATTTTTAGCAGAGACGGGGTTTCACCATGTTGGCCAGGCTGGTCTCGAACTCCTGACCCGAAGTGATCCGCCCGCCTCGACCTCCCGAAGTGCTGGGATTACAGGCGTGAGCCACCGCGCCCGGCCCAGGTATTTTTAAACACACAGAGTTGTCCTCAGCCTCCTCCTCTGTCAACACCAGCTTGAATTCCCAATTCCCCATCGTGTTTTCCCATTCCCTGCTCCTCGCTGCTCCTTTCTGTAACCCACTTGTTCCTGTTGAGCTCCCTTCTCCTTCCTGAAGCAAGCACATCTGTTAGGCGTTTTTTCAGTAAGACTCTGTGGATATTATTTTTATGCCTTATTTTGAATAAGGCAAAACATATTTATTGCTAAGTGTTTATGATGAATTGTAGTTTCACAGTTTTTTCCACACAGTAACAATGAATTCTGTTTTGTACCACACTAATCTTGTGTGTTTCTGCTTTACTCACCCTTCCTTCTACACAGCCTCCTCTTCATTTTGTCAGCTTAGTTGGGACAAGATCCTGTTCTTATTTTTATACATTTTATTTCACAATGAGCAGCTTCTCCTCCTGCGCCCGTTTCACTAACTCTGTATATGTCCTCATTTTCCTTGCTCACCGTGAGTCCTTCTCCTCCGTGGCTTCACCTTTTTTTTTTTTTTTTTTTTTTACTTTCTGGTTTTGATTCTTTCTTGGTTGCCTGGAATAAGTCTTTGTCTTTTTTCTAGAAAGGGTCAAAAGATGCAGATTTCTCATTTCTTGCATAAAGGAGGTTGTCTTTTTTTTTTTGAGATGGAGTCTTGCTCTGTCATCCAGGCTGGAGTGCAGTGGCATGATCTCTTCTCACTGCAACCTCTGCCTCCCTTCCTCTCCTACCTCAGCCTCCCGAGTAGCTAGGACTACAGGTGTGTACCACCACACCTGGCAAATTTTTGTATTTTTAGTAGAGACAGGGTTTCACCATGTTGGCCAGGCTGGTCTCGAACCCCTGACCTCTGGTGATCTGCCCTCCTCGGCCTCCCAAAGTGCTAGGATTAAAGGGGAGTTGTTGGCCTCACACATATGGATGACAACATACACACCGAGCTCTAAGGCACAGTCATTTCTCTGAAGATTGCTGCATACCAAGCCCCGGGGATGATGCTCCAAGGGAAGGAAACACCAGCCTTGGGAACAAAGCTCCCCTCACTCCCCTCCCCACTCCCTAGCACAGCCTGGCTTTTTATCCCCAAACCATCCAGCTTTATTTTTAAATTTTCAATTTCTAGTTATTCTTTGCTAGTATATAGAAATACAGTGTTTGGGAGGCTGAGGCAGGTGGATCACTTGCCGTCAGGAGTTCAAGACCAGCCTGGCCAACATGGCGAAACCCTGTCTCCACCACAAATTAAAAAATTAGTCGGGTGTGGTGGTACGCACCTGTAGTCCTAGCTACTCAGGAGGCTGAGACACAAGAATCGCTTGAACCCGGGAAGCAGAGGTTGCAGTGAGCCGAGATCGCACCACTGCACTTCAGCCTGGGCAACAGAGTGAGGCTCTGTCTCAAAAAAAACACAAAAAAACAAAAAACTAAAACAAACAAAAAAGAAATAGTGGATTTTTGTATATTGATCTTGTATTCTGCAACTTTGCTAAACTTATTAGTTTCAGTGCCTTTTTTGTAGATACTAGTGTTTTCTACAGAGACAATCATGTCATCTACAAGGGTACACAACTTTCCTTCTTCATTTCAAAGCGAGAAGCCTATTTCTTTTCCTGCCTCATTGTGTGGAGTAGGGTCCCCCCTGCAGTATTGAGTCGAAGTGAGAAGAGCAGGGATCCTTGTCTTGTTTTTTATCTGAGGGGTGGAAATAATCTATTATTTCACTGAGAAATGTTATGTTACATATAGATTTTTCACAGATCATCTTTATCAATTTGAGGAAATTTCATTCCCTGTTTGCTGATATTTTTTCTTTTTAATCGGGAATGGATGGTGAATTTTGTCAAAAAATTTTTCTGTGACTATTGAGATGATAAGTGGTTTTTAAAATTTTGTCAGTTGGGTGCAGTGGCCTCTCAAAGTGCTGGGAATACAGGTGTGATCCATGCCCAGCCTTTTTTTTTTTTTTTTTTTTTTTTGAGATGGAGTCTCACTCTGTCTCCAGGCTGGAGTGCAGTGGCACGATCTTGGCTCACTGCAACCTCTGCCTCCTGGGTTCAAGCGATTCTCCTGCCTCAGCTTCCTGAGTAGCTGGGATTACAGGCGTGAGCCACCACATCTGGCTAATTTTTGTATTTTTAGTAGAGACAGGTTTTACCATGTTGGCCAGGCTGGTCTCAAACTCCTGATCTCAGGTGATCCGCCCGCCTTGGCCTTCCAAAGTGCTGGGATTACAGGCATGAGCCCCGCCCGGCCCACTCCCTCAAATTCTCTTGGGTTGTTCTTTCTCCACCTCTGGTCGTTCCCTCACATGCCTGTGTTCATGAATACTCCACAGAGTATTAGCAAAGTGGATATTCTCCAGAGCTCTCTCTGCGTTATCCTCTCCCCTCTCATACTCGGTCCGGCTGCCCAGACTCTCTATCCCAGTTTCTCCTCTCAGGGAGTGTGCCAAGCTCCACTTGGGATCCACCCCCACCACTGCCTGAGAACACTCCCCAGACAGTGGCGCATTCCCAGAGCTCACTGTGGCCGTTTCCTGTCTCCCAGGACTCACTGTCCCTCACTTTCTCACGCCCACTTGTCTTGAAACCATTGCTCATGGATTTTGCCTTGGTTTCCCAGCTGTCTCAGGCAGGAGGATAAATCAGATCCCTGTGAGTCCATCCGGACTACAGTGGGAATTTGTAAGAGTTGGATTTCTGGCTGGGCGTGGTGGCTCACACCTGTTATCCCAGCACTTTGGGAGGCCGAGGTGGGCGGATCACCTGAGATCAGGAGTTTGAGACCAGCCTGGCCAGCATGGTGAAACCTTGTCTCTATTAAAAATACAAAAATTAGCTGGGCGTGGTGGTGCGTGCCTGTAATCCCGACTACTCGTGAGGCTGAGGCAGGAGAATTGCTTGAAGCTGGGAGGCGGAGGTTACAGTGACCTGAGATCACTCCACTATGCTCCAGCCTGGGCGTCAGAGCGGGACTGTCTCAAAAAAAAAAAAAAAAAAAGAAAAGAAAAGAAAGAGTTGGATTTCTTACCCATAGCATATTCGGACTTCATTCCCAGTGCCCCTTTGAGGCACAGAGTTACTGGGTGGAAGGTCTCAACCGTCAGTTGTCTAGGTTCTTGCTGTGTTGAACAAAACACACAAGTAAAGCAACAAAAAATAATGGAGTAAGGAGGGCACAGATTTACTGAAGCGAAGGAGCACTCCACAGAGCGGGAGCAGGCCGAAGCAAGCAGCCAAGGCCCCAAA
Source organism: Homo sapiens (assembly GCF_000001405.40). Lineage (NCBI taxonomy): Eukaryota > Metazoa > Chordata > Mammalia > Primates > Hominidae > Homo > Homo sapiens. The sequence continues at coordinate 50,002,247 of NC_000022.11, read as the reverse complement.
TGCAGTGCTCCGCAGGGTTTTCATAAAGCTAAAAGAATTTGGTAACACTCCTAGCTGCCCTTTGGAGGTTTCCAGTGGGTTACACCCTGTGGAGGATCGGCCTGCAACCAATCAGAGGCTGAAGTGAAGTCTCATTATCACAGGAGGGAGGCTGTGGCCTGTGCTGCCTAATCTTGCCTGGAACTGGCTGCACCTGCTGTTCTTTTGCTTCTCCCTTCACCCCCAGTTACCCTCATTCCTTACTCTCCTGCCTCAGCAGGGTGCTGTGTTCAGTGTGGGCTCCGCTGAGCAGCAGCCGCACTGTCTCACCAACAGCATGTGGGTCCCACGCCTCGGTGGCCATGCCTTCTATAAAGAGGGTGGCAGTCCTCCTGTGGAACAGCTGGGTTGCCAGGCTCTGTGGCTCACGTGAAGTTCTGCTCTGAGTCCCACCTGCAAACCTGGCTGAGCAAAGCCCCCAGTGCCCAAAATGATACCCAGCTCCACACTGCCCACGTCTGGTGAGGCTGCTCAGAATGGCGTTTGGTCTCAGAGCAGAAGGCCCTGGGGGCAAGTCCTCCCTGTGAGGATGCGGCCGCTTCCCTGTGGACAGAGGCCTGGGCTGCAGCAACCTTGGGGTCGCCTCCCAGGTGTCCCAGCAAGCCCGTGTTGGCCTTTTCTGCTGTTCGTCTTTGAGCAGAGTCGACAGAGCTTGCCAGCAAGTCGTGGTGGGCTTCCTGCCCCCTTGCTGGCCAGGTGGGGCAGCAGCTTCCACTGCTCTGATGCAGACTGGTGTGCAGCCTGCCCCCCTGACCCAGGCCCACTCCTGGGGTCCCACAGACATTTTGGAGTGTGTCTCGGGGTGGGGGCTCACCACATGCCAGGGGACTTGCTCTCCAGTTGGCCTGGGGCAAGATAGTAAAGACCCCCTGGCAAAGACTGCAGCCCCAGGGCTCTCTCCCCCTTCCCAGAACCACCCACAAAGCCTTTCCGAGCACCAGGGAACTCGAGGCCTCACGCTCCTTCTCCCTCCCCAGGGAACATTTTTAACAGCTTCTGCCGGCCACGCCCCGTGTCCATGTCCAGGTCAGTCCTGGAGGCCCTGACGTCCTCCACTGCCATGCAGTGTGTCCCCTCTGACGGCTGCGCGATGCTCCTGCGTGTACGCGCCTCCATCACCCTGCATGGTGAGAGGTGGCCTCGAGGGTGGGAGTTAACACCCGCAGGTCCAGCAGTGGGCCCAGGTGCCTTTTATTCCCATCAAACCTTGGGCGGCCTGGTGAGGGAGGGGGGCTGCTAACCGCACTTCACAGAGAGAAGGCAGAGGAACAGGGTCCCACGGCCCCGTCCGGAGCCAGGGGCGGCCCTGCTCTGATGCACCCTGCCGGGTCCTTCCTCCACCCAGAGCGCCTGCGGGGCCTGGAGGCCTGTGCCATGAGCCTGGACACCCAGGAGACGCAGTGTCAGAGCGTGTGGGTGGCCAGGGCCTCCCACCGGCAGCAGGGGGGGCAGCAGGTGAGGCCAAGGCAGGGCTCTGCCACCCAAGTCCCGAAGACTGGGCGCCACTCCTCCTGGGCGCCATCCCTGGCTCTAAGCTCCAGCCATGCAAGTGGAGCTGGCCGGGTGGGGTGGGCAGTGCCTCTGAGTCCACGCAGCTCACACCTGCACCTGCTCAGCTCCAAGTGCACTTTGGCTGCTTTGCGGTGAGCGTGGCCCAGCACCTCTATGTCACCCTGAGGACCATCCCTCATTTCTGCGGGGTCCAGCTGGACCAGAGGCACCTCGTGGAAGGTAGGGTCCCCAGGGCCCCCTGAGCACAGCTACCGTTCAGCCTCCAGGGCCTGGCTTGGGGTGGGACTTGCCCAGGGCAGGGGCCTGGCCCTCACACTGGACAGATCCCCGCAAGACCTCTGGCTTAATTCGAGGTCGCATGACAGAGGCACAGCGCGTGGATGGGGGGCGGGTGGAGGAGGATGGCCCCTGAGGGCAGGGCAGCCCGCACCCCGCCATTGCCTCTGCGGTTTGCAGACTGCGGAGAGGAGGACGTGGGGAGGAGCGTGCCCGACTGCCTCGGTGAGTTCCCTCCTTCGACGCCCCTGCGAAGACCCTCAGACGCTGCGACAGGCTTCCTCTCCCCGGGGTCTTCTGCCCCATTTGGGAAATCCTGAGGGGCCCTCGGGCGGGCGACTCCCAAACGTCTGAACCCAGCAGGAGCCACCACGTCGGGGCTCTCGGGACAGACAGAGCCCCGCGTCGGTGACCGCTGGTCCCAGCGCGGCCCCGACTTGCCGCCTCCTGCAGCGGGGAAGCTCAGCTACTGGGTGGACCGGAGGCGCAAGGCGATTCTGGTGCAAGTGCCCAGGGCCTCCGGGAGCCCCGACTACTACCTGCGGCTCTGCCTCAAGCGGTTCACCTGCGAGGACGCCGGCGCCCCTGTGCGAGTGAGCGCCCGCGCCCCGGGCCCCGGTCAGCCTTAGGCCCCGCCCACCTCCGCGCCCCGGGCCCCGGTCAGCCTTAGGCCCCGCCCACCCCGCGCCCCGCCCACCCCCCGCGCCCCGCCCCCGGCCAGGCCTAGGCCCCACCCACCTCCGCGCCCCGCCCCCGGCCAGGCCTGGGCCCCACCCACCTCCGCGCCCCGCCCCCGGCCAGGCCTAGGCCCCACCCACCTCCCGTCCCCGCTCCCGCCCCGTTCGGTGCAGGTCCCGCCCACCCCAGACCACCCCCGCCCTCCCGCGCGGCCCCTCAGCCGCCCTTTCTGGGTTGCAGGTGACCGCCAACAGCGTCTCCCAGGCCGTCTTCCTGCCCTACAGCCAGGAGCTGCCGTGCCTGTGCCTGGAGGTCGGTGGAGGTGTGGCCTGGACTTGGGGCGGGTGAGGGGAGCACAGGGATGGGTGGGCTGCGCTGACCCCAGCCCCTCCCACAGGGCTGGTCTGCGACCCCTGACGCGGTGCGGATCCAGATCTGCCCCTTTGAAAACGGCAAGTGTCCTGCGATGCCAACGGGCGGAAGGGTGGGAATGGCTGCGGCCAGTCTGACTCCACCATGAGGACTGACGTGGGGGGATGAGATAAGGAGCAGGCCCAGCCTAAATCCCTGAGCCTGCTCGGAAGGGCTTGTCACCAAGGGAACCTGCGCACAGATGTGGATGTGCATAAGTGTGTGTGTGTGTGCAATGTACATGTGTGCGCACGTGGACCAGCTCACCTGGGAAAACCAAGCCTGTCAAGAGGGGCTGTCTGAGGGGCACAAGAGAGACGTCCTGCTCTCGGTTCTGCTCAGCGACGCTGCACACACACACATGCACAGACACCCACGAACATACACGCCCATACACATGCACAGACACCCATGAACATACACGCCCATACACATGCACACACACATGCACAGACACCCATGAACATACACGCCCATACACATGCACACACATACACATGCACACGCACACCCACGCGCAGGCAGGCACACCCATGCATACGCACACCCACACCCATGGACACGCACCCATGCACACGCACCCATGCACATACACACCCATACACATGCAAACACGTACACATGCACACACACCCATGCACAGGCAGGCACACTCACGCACACCCATACCCATGACACCCATGCACAGGCAGGCACACTCACGCACACCCATACCCATGACACCCATGCAAACACGTACACATACACACACCCATGCACAGGCAGGCACACTCACGCACACCCATACCCATGACACCCATGCACAGGCACACACATAGGCGCACGCACCCATGCACATGCATATCCACACACATGCACATGCACCCATGCACACACGTGCACAGCCTTGAGCCAGGGCTCAGAGACCCATAGGACTGCGCTGGACCCTGGCCCAGTGGTCACTTGAGTGGGTGCTAGACCCCATGGGCCTGGCAGCCAGGGTAGGGCCCAACTGACCTGTGTTTCGGGGAGGGTTCCTGCAGACACTGAGGCACTGGAGGTGCTGTGGGACACGGTCTACTACCACCCGGAGAGCCAGACACTGAGCTGGGAGCCCGCCTGCCCTGTGAGTGGCCATGTGAGCCTGTGCTGGCGCCCGGGGCCGGGGGCCGGCTGCCGTAAGCTGCAGCAATCCAGCCAGCTGGTGCATCGCAGAGTGAGTGCCTGCTCAGCAGGGATGGGGGTGGGCATGGATGCCACAGCCTGACCCCAGCCCTCCTCAGGTGCAGTACCCGCTGGTGGACACCCAGCCCCAGCTCTGCCTGAAGGTGAGGGGCTGCCACAGCCTGCCAGTGCCCTATTTGGGGAGGGGCCAGGGGGCATCAGGGCGGGGAGTGGGGCAGGGGCCCTTGCCCAGCCCTGGAGCCTAGCCTCCCAGGCGTCCCTCAGAGCCCCCTCCTGGTCTGACAGTGGGTGAGCTAAGGGCCTAAGGAGGAGAACTGGGCCCAGAGCACCCTGAAGCTGACCCAGCCTGTCCCTGTCCCTGCCCCTGTCCCTGCCCCTGCCTCACACACACTCCACCCTCCTGCACCCCTCACCCCACTTTGCAGTTCTCTACCAGTTGGGGGTCCTGGGTGCGGTGCCCTTTCGAACAGCGTCGCTTCCCAAGTAAGTTCTCCATGAGGCCTACGCAATGTGGACGCAGCACAGAACATCCTTTATATCACTCTGTGCTGGTCAGGGAGGTGGAATAACGGTGCCAAGCCAGTGTGGGGGAGGTACAGTGGGCAGGCGCCAGGCCCACTGGGGAAGGAAGGGAGGCGGTGGGGTGCTGGGCCGGATGGGGGTCTCACCCTTCACTCCCCACAGCCTGGAAAATGACCATCCAGCCTTCGCCCACAAAGGGCCACCTCCGGGTCACCTTCTTCTCGTCCAGCCCCGCCCACTTCCAGGTGCACCTGTGTCACAGGAGGAAGTCACAGCTCCCTGCCTGCCAACGCACACTCCAGGCCAGCCCGCTCCCTTCAGCCTCAGTGAGCCGAGAGAGTGGGGCTCCATCCTGGGGAGGTGGGGGTGGTGGCGGCAGGACCCCATCACTTCCCTGTGGTGGTCTCTGCCCCACCCGGGCCCTGAGCCCACCCAGGGTCTAGTCTACCTGGCAGGGAGGGATGGGAGGCCAGCCCTGCTTTGTGGGTGCTGAGAGGATGTGGGAGAAGGACAGTGTTTAGCCTGATCCACCCTTCCTCCCATTGCCTGTGACCTGCCCTCCCCCACCCAGGGTGACCTGGCAGCCGCCCCTGCTTTTGCCTTCCTAGACCTTCCCAGGGAGGAGGCCTGTGCCCCAGGCATCTGCATCCAGGTGGGTGTCGCTGCTGTGCCCAGCCCCTAGCCATCTCCTCCACTGCAGGACCTCAGTTCACACCCCCCCTTCCCATCCCCCATCCCCGGGGGAAGCAGGAGGCCATGTTGACGGAGCTGCCTTATGCCTGCAGGGCTGGAGGACCGATGTACACTTCTCCGTCCCCCAGCAGCTCTGCAACCTCCGCTCCAGTGGGTGCCCATCTCTCAGGGGCCGCAGGAGGCCGAGGACTAGACCTAGGCCTCCCACGGCAGGCTGGGCGTGGCGTGCACTGAACAGGAGACTGGGTGGGGGAAACGGGGAGACCATCCGGCCCTGAGTCAGGTCAGGCTTCTGCGCCAAACCCAGGTCTGTGCCCAGCACTGCCCTCCAGCCTTGCATTTCCCTCCACCACACACCGCTGGGCCTCCCGCACGCCCACCCTGGTCTCACTGTCACTGGCCTTGCCTCCTCCTCCCTGGGGGTCCACCTTCCCTGATCAGAGCTCTGGTTCCAACCGCCAGTGACTTGGGATGTCCCTTTGCCCACCAGCCACTGAGGCCCAGGCTCCCAGGACCCAGGGTACATCAGGACAGGACTCTGCCCAGTGGACAGAACTAAGCACATGTGGCCTGGGTGTGGTCAGGAGCGTGGCTCTGCCTTGGAGTCCAGGAAGGGTCAGAGCTGGCACTCCTACCTGCACCCCTCCCTGTGAGCAAAAGAGCTTGCCTAGCTTCGGGTGGGGTGAACCGCAACAGCCACAGAGGTGGGAGGGGTGGGAGGGGGTGGATAGGACAGCCTGGCACCCAGGGCCTCTGGAGACCCTTTCCAGGGAGCACCAGTGGGCCAGGCAGGGGTCTCTGGAATGTCTCCTCAGCTCAGCTGAGCCACAGCCATTTCAGGGCAGCCTGCTGCCCACAGGACATGCCCAGGGCCGTGGCAGTACCCGCAGACCTTCAGCTCCCCCTTCTCCCAGCAAGACTTTTTGGCCAAGCCTAGGTCCCCCTCCCTAGCAAAGGTCACCTCCAGCAGATCACAGACTAAAGGGGCAATGGCCACCTGCTGGTCAGGTGTCCCTGGGGCTGGCACCTGCCACTGTGGAGTGCCCATGCTATGCTGGGCAAGTCCACGGCCCCAGGGACAGGCCTGGAGGCAGCAGGAGGACCGGGCCTGGCTCAGGTGGGGGGATCTGGGGGTCATACACACTCCTCTTGGGGCCAGGGTGGGCTCCTCCTTCACTTGTCTGCTGAGCCTCCCTGCAGATGGAAGGCTGCTGTCCACAGCCACTGGCACCCCAGGACTGGGCAGCCCCCTCCCCTTCCCTCACATGTCTCAGCCTCGCACAGTGGGGGCAGGGCTGGGAGGTGGTGTCCCAGCCAGTACCACCCCTACGTCTCTCTCCAGCTGCACCCACCCACATGGGACGGCAGCCTGAGGCCAGGAATCTCCTCACGAACAAGTAGGTGCCAGGGACACATTGCTGGGGGGCAGGAGGCCAAGGCACAGCCTCGGACAGCTGAGCCAGGCCCCCCTCCGAGAGTGTGGGGTGTTCTCACCTGACTGTGGGGCCTAGGCACCTGCTGGCTGTCCTGGGGCTACAGCTCCATGGGGCCCTCAGGGGCTCTGGGTCACATAAAAGACCTTCAGCCCTGTCCTGAGTCCCCTGGGAACAGCAGGAGCTGGGTGGGCTACCCCTTCCCCGGATGGCCCAGGTGCTGGACCCCAGCCTCCCTCTCAGACAATTCATGGTCATGGCCACTGTCCCTGGCCCTGAAGACAAGGCCCTGGCAGCTGCCTGGAGCTTCCCCAGTGCTCTGGGGTGCAGGGTGCAACCCCACCCTTCCTGTAGCTGATCAGGCCCGAGGTGGTCAAGGATCACCCCAGTTTCTGCCCAGGGCACCCCACACTGGCTGGAGTCCACCTCTCCTGTCTGTGCATCCTTGGGTGCTGAGCTTCACTGGGGCACCCGCCCCACTCGGACCCCTCCAGAGGGTCTCAGCTTCCCCAGATCCCAGCCCCACTCACCCAGCAACGGTCAGTCACTTCCTGTGGTCTCAGAGGCCACCTGCCTGGGGGCCACCTGCTGGGATGTGCGGTTCTCAGACATTCCAAGTGGCACATCCAGGTCCCAGCCAGGGGTGCCCAGCAGTGGCCTGTGCAGTGGGCCATGGGGTCGGCCCTTGAAGACTTCTCGTGTGGGTCACGTAGGCTCTCCGGCTTCCCCGCTGAGCCACCCTCTGGAGCCTGGACATCGTCTCACCTGAGTGCTGTGCAGGACCACATGCCCAGCCTGTCCCAGCGGTGGTCGCACCCCATCTGCAGATGCACTCCCACCGCAGTCTGGGCCCAGGCTGCCCTCTTCCAGCTGGCCGTGGGCCGCTGGGCCTTCTTTTCCCTCCTGCAACAGAGGCTGCTATGTCCCATAGACTGGAGAGGGGGCTGCAGAGCGAGTAAGTCCCCGCCACTCAGTAAACATTGGTCCAGGGGTAGCTGTTAAAATGGAGCTTGGGCCTGGCTGGATGGTGACGGCACCAGGGACAAGTCTGGAGTGCGGGTGTCGTGGAGCCATCCCCACCAGGCTGGACCCAAGAGCACCCCAAAGGCGTGGGAGGCCGCACCCCCATGGGCATGTGGGGGGCAGGGAGCACCTTGGGACTCAGGGGAGGTGCCGGGTCTCTGGGAGTGGATTTGAGGTCAGCGTCACATGGTGTGACCAGACATCCCCATCCAAGTGTCCCCATAAAGGACCAGTGGTGGAGACACCCTGGGGATGCGGAGGTCAGGCCAGGTGAGGGGCTTTAGAAGCTGGGTTTGAGCACCAGGGGCAGGGAGGCCAGTGGGGGGCATGGACAGGGTGTCCCTCCCTAACCTGGAGATCAGGGGCATGGGGGGATGCAGGCTGCCACTCGCCCAGGTGCCCTTCCCTAACCTGGAGATCAGGGGAATGGGGGGATACAGGCTGCCACTCACCCAGGTGCCCCTCCCTAGCCTGGGGGAGGTCAGGGGCACAGTGGGGGTGGGGGGCACAGCACAAGCTGCCACTCTGCTCTCTCCATGTCTCCTCTGGAGACCCCGTCCGCCCCCAGCCAGAAAACAAGTGTCCCGGCTCAGCAGGGCAGTCCCCGCCCCAGGTTCCTGCTCCTGCCTCCTGGACCAGCCAGGGGTGCTCCCTGTGGTGCACAAAGACCCCTGCTCTGACCCAGGGCTACTCCGGGAATCCTGGCCACCGTGGAGGTGGGGCTGGGGAGGATTGGCCAGACCAGGGTCACAGAGCTGAGCTCCTGCCTGACGGGTGTGGGCTCCCTCAAGCCTTCCACAGATGGGGGAAACTGAGTCTTTTCTTCTGCAGATGGGGGAAACTGAGTCTTTGGGGACTGTTAAGAGGCTGTGTTCAGATCTCAGCTGTCCTACTGTCCCTCCCAGACAAGGGAGGAACCTGCTGGAGGACACACGCGTGCTGCCACCAGGCGGCAGTGGCTCTTAGTGCTGGTGCTGAGCCGGATCAGCCGCCCCAGCACCCAACACGGAGCGCCCACAGCCCAGTGCACCCACCGCCTCCTTGGCCAGGGACGCTGCCCTCCCTCCACCACCACCGCCGGAAACCCACCCCCACACCTGCCAGGAGAAAAGTGCTGAGGACCCCGGGCCCCAGAAAGGGGGGTGCGGTAGGGGCGGGCAGGAGCACCTGTACTGGGGTGCACAGCCCTGCTCACATCTGGGCCACAGTATAACACGGGTGAGCCTTGGACGCCCGCCTGCCTCATTCACTCATGACACACAGCTGAGCAGGCCTTGGGCCCTGGGCCCCGACCCAGCACCGGGAACAAACAACACTGGCAAAGATCCCGGGCCCTGCAGCTGGGGGACCAAGTCTGGGGCTGCCTGGCACTAAGGAGGGTCTTGGGTCAGAGTGTCAGTGCTGACACCAGGACAGTCCCAGGCAAACTGGGATCATGGAGCTGACCTTTGCATGAGAGAGACAACCAGAGCCAAGTGACATAAGTAAGCGAGGGGGCGTGGCTGGTGCCAGTGTGGGGTGAGGAATGAGGCTGGGAGCACGATGGGGAGTGTGGGGAGCTGCAATCTGAAATAGGGTGGGTCTGGGCACGGTGGCTCCCGCCTGTAATCCCAGCACTTTGGGAGACCAAGGCGGGTGGATTACTTAAGGTCAGGAGTTTGAGACCACCTGGCCAACATGGGGAAACCCCAGCTCTACTAAAAATACAAAAATTAACCAGGCATTGTGGTGGGCACCTGTAATCCCAGCTACTCAGGAGGCTGAGGCAGGAGAATCGCTTGAACCCAGAAGGCAGAGGTTGCAGTGAGCTGAGATCATGCCACTGCACTCCATCCTGGGTGACTGAATGAGACACCATCTTAAAAATAATAAACTAAAAATTAAAATGAAATAAAATAGGGTGGGGCCAGGCATGGTGTTGCACACCTGTAATCCCAGCACTTTGGGAGGCCAAGGCAGGAGGATTGTTTGAGCCTGGGGGATTGAGGCTGCAGTGAGCCATGATTGCACCACTGCACTCCAGCCTGGGTAACAGAGCAAGACCCTATTTCAATAGATATAAAATTTCAAAAATAGGGTGGTCCCTGGGAGGCTCAGACAAGGTGATGTGTGAACAGAGACTGCAGAGGCAGGGCCTTTGCATTGCCCGGCTCTAACAGGGTCCCTGACTGCCTCACGGAAGAGCAGCGAGAGTCAGCTTGTGGAGGGCAGGCAGGTGGGGAGAAGTGCAGAAGGTGAGGCCTTCGGGGTGTCCTGGCACGCAAGTGTGAATAAAAGTGACCAACGTTTTGGCCTCAGCTCCTTGTGGACAAATTTGTGTCCACAAATTTGTGGAAAAATTCTTTGTGGACAAAGGATAGACAGAACTCAAAGTCATCCGTCTGCTCACTGAGATAAATGCATATCTGATTTCTTCCTTTGGAAAGGCTAATCAGAAACTCAAAAGAATGCAACTGTTTGTCTCTTATCTGTGACCCAGAAGCCCCCTCTCCAATTTGAATTGTCCCACTTTTCCAGACAGAACCAATGTACTTCTTACATATATTGACTGATGTCTCATTTCTCCTTATAATGTATAAAACCAAGCTGTGCCCGGACCACCTCAGGCACATGTCAGGACCTCCTGAGGCTGTGTCATGGGCTCGTGTCCTCAACCTTGGCCAAATAAACTTCCTGAATTGACGGACACTTGTCTCAGGTATTTGGGGGTCACAGATACATCTTTATATATTGTATGTCCATTAACATAGATTTATAATTACTGTTTTATGAGTTGGTCTTTTGAATCATAGAAAAAAACAGGAGTTACAAACCAAAACTATCATAATCCTTGATTTTCTATTTTCCTGTGTAGTTACCTTTACTTATACGACTGCCCTCTGGTCTCCAAGGCTTCTGATGAGAAATCTGCTAAAAATCTTATTGAGGCTCCTTTGTACGAGACCAGTTGCTTCTCTCTTGCTGCTTTGTCATTGTTTTTTTGACAGTTTGACAACAGTGTTTGTCACTGTGGATCTCTGAGTTTATCTGGCTTGCAGTTTGTTGAGATTCTGGGATATGTAGATTCATTTATTTCATCAAATTTGGGGAATTTGGGGATACTATTCCTTCAAGTTTAATTTTTTCTTCCCTTTTCTATTTCTCCTCTCCTTTCGGGACTCCTGTGAGGTGTATGCTGGTACACTCGATGGTGTCCCAGATCCCTCGGGTTATTCCATTTTTCTGCATCTTTTTTCTTTCTGCTCTTCAGAGTGGATAATTCCAATCGCCTTGTCTTCAGGTTCCCTGATCCTTTCTTCTATGTGCACAAATCTGACATTGAACCCCTCGAGTGAACTCTTCACTTCTTTCTTTTCTTTTTTGAGACAGTCTCACTATGTTGCCCAGGCTGCAGTGCAGTGGCATGAATGTGACTCACTGCAGCCTTGGCTTCCTGGGCTCAAGCAATCTTCCCACCTCAGCTTCCCAAGTAGCTGGGACTATAGGCATGCACCACCACACCTGGCAAATTAAAAAAAATTTTTTTTGTAAAGACAAGGTCTCACTATGTTGCCCAGGCTGGTCTTGAATTCCTGGGGTCAGCATCCCAAAGTGCTGGCATTACAGGTGTGAGCCACCGTGCCCAGCCGAATTCTTCATTTCTGCTATTTTGCTTTTCAGCTCCATATTGTCCATTTGGTTCCCTATTATAATTTATGTATCTTATTGACATTGCCTCTTAGTTCACACCTTGTTCTTCTGCTTTTCTTTAGCTTCATGTCCATATTTCCCTTTAGCTTATTGAATATAAATACACACACACACACACACACACACACACACACACACACACACACACAGAGAGAGAGAGAAAGAGAAAGAGACTCTCCCTCTCCCTCTCTCTCCCTGTCCCTCTCCTCTCCCTCTCCCTCTCTGGTCTCCCTCTGTTGCCGAGGCTGGACTGTACTGCCGTGATCTCAGCTCGCTGCAACCTCCCTGCCTCGGGCTCCCGTGATTCTCCTGCCTCGGCCTGCCGAGTGCCTGGGTTTGCAGGCATGTGCCGCCACGCCTGACTGGTTTTTGTATTTTTGGTGGAGATGGGGTTTCACCATGTTGACCAGGCTGGTCTCCAGCTCCTGACCTCGAGTGATCTGCCTGCCTCGGCCTCCCGAGGTGCTGGGATTGCAGACGGAGACTCGCTCACTCAGTGCTCAATGTTGCCCAGGCTGGAGTGCAGTGGCATGATCTCGGCTTGCTACAACCTCCACCTCCCAGCCGCCTGCCTTGGCCTCCCAAAGTGCTAAGATTACAGCCTCTGTCCAGCCGCCACCCCGTCTAGGAAGTGAGGAGCGCCTCTGCCCGGCCGCCCATTGTCTGGGATGTGAGGAGCGCCTCTGCCCGGCTGCCCCGTCTGGGAGGTGAGGAGCGCCTCTGCCCGGCCGCCCATCGTCTGGGAGGTGAGGAGCGCCTCTGCCCAGCCGCCACCCTATCTAGGAAGTGAGGAGCGCCTCTGCCCGGCTGCCCCGTCTGGGAAGTGAGGAGCGTCTCTGCCTGGCCACCGCCCGTCTGGGAAGTGAGGAGTGCCTCTGCCTGGCCGCTGTGCAATCTTCCAAGTGTGAAGTGACAGCCTTTCTGCAGGTGTATCCAACAGCTGTGAAGAGACAGCGACCATCGAGAACGGGCCATGATGACGATGGCGGTTTTGTCAAAAAGAAAAGGGGGAAATGTGGGGAAAAGAAAGAGAGATCAGATTGTTACTGTGTCTGTGTAGAAAGAAGTAGACATAGGAGACTCCATTTTCTGTACTAAGAAAATTCTTCTGCCTTGGGATGCTGTTAATCTATAACCTTACCCCCAACCCCGTGCTCTCTGAAACATGTGCTGTGTCCACTCAGGGTTAAATGGATTAAGGGCGGTGCAAGATGTGCTTTGTTAAACAGATGCTCGAAGGCAGCATGCTTGTTAAGAGTCATCACCACTCCCTAATCTCAAGTACCCAGGGACACAAACACTGCGGAAGGCCGCAGGGTCCTCTGCCTAGGAAAACCAGAGACCTTTGTTCACATGTTTATCTGCTGACCTTCTGTCCACTATTGTCCTATGACTCTGACATATCCCCCTCTCTGAGAAACACCCAAGAATGATCAATAAATGCTAAAAAAAAAAAAAAGAAAAAAAAAGAGAGAGAGAGATGGAGTCTTGCTCGGTCACCCAGGCTGGAGTGCAGTAGCGCAATCTCAGGTCACTGCAACCTCTGCCTCCCAGGTTCAAGCAATTCTCCTGCCTCAGCCTCCTGAGTACCTGGGATTACAGGTGTGTGCTACCACATCCGGCTAATTTTTCTATTTTTGGTAGAGACAAGGTTTCTCTATGTTGGCCAGGCTGATCTCGAACTCCTGACCTCAGGTGATCTGCCCTCCTCGGCCTCCCAAAATGCTGGAATTACAGGCGTGAGCCACCGCACCCAGCCTGCTTATTGAATATTTTTAAGATAGTTGATTTAACATTTTTGTCTAGTACTTCCAATGTCTGGACAGCTTCAGAAGTGACTTCTATAAAATTACCTTTTTTTTTTTTTTCCTGTGAATGGGTCATACTTTCCTGTTTCTTTGTATGCTGTGTAATTTTGTATTGGAACTGGACATTTCAAGTATTATAATGTGTGTCTGCATCCACTTGTGTTGCCAAAGGAGCACCTCAGGCTGGGTAATTTATAGAGACTCTGTCTTGCTCCTGGTTCTGCAGGCTGTACGGGAAGCATGGCACCAGCATCTGCTTCTGGCAAGAGCCTCAGGCTGCTTTTACTCATGGCAGAAGGTGAAGGGGAGGTGGCACATCACATGGTGAGAGAGACACAAAAACGAGGAGTGAGGTGCCAGGGTCTTTCTAACAAGCAGATCTCAGAGGAGCTACTAGAGGGAGAACTCACTCTACCGTGAGGACAGTACCAAACCATTCACGAGGCGTTCACCCCAATGACTCAAATACCTCCCACCAGGCTCCGCCTCCAATGGGGATCCAATTTCCACATGAGATTTGGAGGACAAATATCCAAGCTATATAAATGTGGTTAACTCTGAAAATCAGATTCTTCCTCCTCAAAAATTGCTGTTGAGGGCTACAATTGTCGGTTTTTTTTTTTCTTTTTGAGATGGAATCTCACTGTGTTGTCCAGGCTGGACTGCAGTGGCCCAATCTCAGCTCACTTCAATTTCCACCTCCTGGTTTCAAGCAATTATCCTGCCTCAGCCTCCCGAGTAGCTGGGATTACAGGCACCCGCCACCACGCCCGGCTAATATTTTTGTATTTTTAATAGAGACAGGGTTTCACCATGTTGGCCAGGCTGGTTTCAAACTCCTGACCTCAAGTGATCCACCCGCCTCAGCCTCCCAAACTGCTAGGACTACAGGTGTGAGCCACTGCGCCTGGCCAATTATCTTTTTTTTTTTTTTTTTTGGAAGACAGAGTCTCACTCTGTCACCCAGGCTAGAGTGCAGTGGTGCAATCTCAGCTCACTGCAACCTCCGCCTCCTGGGTTCAAGCAATTCTCCTGCCTCAGCCTCCCAACTAGCGGGGACTACAGGCTCCTGCCACCATGCCAGGCTAATATTTTTGTATTTTTAGTAGAAATGGGGTTTTGTCATGTTGGCCAGGCTGGTCTCGAACTCTGGACCACAGGTGATAAGCCCGCCTCAGCCTCCCAAAGTGCTGGGATTATAGGTATGAGCCACAGTGCCCGGCAACATGTTTAGCAACTTTTCCAAACTATGTTTGCAAAGTCGGTATCCCTTCTTATGAGTAGTCTTTGAAGTTTATTTCATTACCTCTGCAGTCAGCCAGTGATCTAATCAAGATTTTCTTACATGTCAAAAAGTATATCTCTTTACATCTTTCAATACAGGCCACATTAAGGAACTAAAAAAAAGAGAGAACTAAAATAACCCAATTCTAGCAGGAAGAAGAGAATAATAAAGATTAGTGTGGGCTGAGTGCGGTGGCTCATGCCATAATCCCAGCACTTTGAGAGGCTGAAGTGGGAGGATCACTTGAGGCCAGGAGTTTGAGAACACCTTGAGCAGCATAGCAAGATATTGTTTCCACAAAAAATTAGAATTAAAAAATTAGCTAGGCATGGTGGCACGTGCCTGTAGTCCTAGCTATTCAGGGGGCTGCGGCAGAAGGATTGGTTGAACCCAGGAGTTTGAAGTTACAGTGAGCTATGATCATGCTATTACACTCCAGCCTGGATGACAGAGCGAGACCCTGTCTCAAAAAAAAAAAAAAAAAAAAAAAATATATATATATATATACACACACACACACATATGTGTGTGTGTGTGTGATTAATGACATATAATGACATAGAGATAAAAATAGAGAATATCAACAAAAGCAAAATTAGTACATTGAAAATATCAACAAAATTGACAAACTCTTAGCCAGATTGACAAGGAATAAAACAAGACTAAAATTACTAAGATCACAAATGAACTGGAAACATTACTACTGATTTTACAGAAATAAAAAGGATTATAAAAGAATGCTATAACCAACAAATTGGATAGCCTAAATGAAATGAACAAATTCTTAAATGCAAAAACATACTACCAAAACTGACTCAAGAAGAAACACAAAATCTAAATAGACCTATAACAAAGAGATTGAATCAATAATCAAAAACCTTCTAACAAAGCAAAACTCAGGAGCCGAGAGCTTCACTGGTGAACTATACCAAACATTTAAAGTAGAATTAAAGTAGAATTCTCAAACTATTCCAAAAAATTGAGGAGGAAGAAACACTTCCTAACTCATTTTGTAAGGCCGGCATTACCCTGATATTAAAGCCAGAATGGCACTACAAGAAATAAAATTACGGACCAATGTCTCTCATGAACATAGATGTAAAAATTCTCAACAAAATACTAGCAAACTGAATTCAACAGTGTATTAAACAGATCATATGCCATGACCAAGTGGGATTTATTCCAGGAATGCAAGGATGGTTGAACATGCAGAAATCATTATGATTCAATACATTTATAGAATGAAGAGAAAAAAAACACATAATTTCCTCAATGCAGAAAAAGCACTTCACAAAATCCAACACTCTTTCATTATATAAATGCTTAATAAACTAGGAATAGAAGGGAACTTTCTCAACATGATAAAGCCCATATATGAAAAGGCCACAGCAAACATTATATTCAATGGTGAAGGGCTGAAAACTTTCCCCCTAAGATCAGGAACAAGACGAAGATCCCTACTTTCAACACTTCTATCTAACATAGTACTGAATATTTTAGCCAGAGCAATTAAATAAACAAACAAGCGTTCAAATTAGAAAAGAATTAAAATTATCTCTATTTGTAGGTGACATGATCTTATATGCAGAAAATCTTAAAGAATCCACAAAGAAAAACACTTTTAGAGCTAACAAACTGGACAAAGTTGCAAGGCATACAAAACCAATACACAAAAATTAGTTGCATCTGTATACACTCTCAAGGAACAATCCCAAACAGAAACTAAGAAAACAATTCCATTTGCAATGGCACCAAAAAGGCAAAATACTTAAGAATTAACCAAAAATATGGAAGGCTTGTACACTAAAAAACTTGCACACTGCAAAAATACATCTGAAGGAAATTAAACAAGACCTAAATAAATGGAAAGACATCTGTGTTCATGGATTGGAAGACTTGATACTGCTAAAGTGGCAATACTACCCAAAGTAGCCTACAGGCTTGGTGTAATCCCTATCAAAATCCCAATGGTGTTTTTTGCAGAAATAGAAAACTCTATCCTAAAATTCACCTGGAATCTCAAGGGACCTGAATGGCCAAAATAATTCTGAAAAACAGCAAAGTTGGATTCATACTTCCTGATTTCAAAACTTACTACAAAGCTACAGTAATCAAAATTGTATAGTATTGGCATAAGGATAGACGTGGAATAGAATTAAGAGTTAAACTCTCACATATGATCAACTGATTCCCAACAGGGGGAAAAGGCCATTCAATGGGGGAAAGGACAGTGTCTTCAACAAACGGTGCTGAGAAAATGTTAACTACATGCAAAAGAATGACCTTGGACCCTGACCTTACCCCATATTCAAAAAGTAACTCCAAATGGATTAAAGATTCAACTTAGGAGCTAAAACTACAAAGCTTCTGGAAGAAAAGACAGGAGAAAATACTGGATTTGGCAACGTTTTCTCTCTCTCTCTCTCTCTCTCTCTCTCTTTCTTTCTTTCTTTCTTTCTTCTTTCTTTTTCTCTTTCTCTTCTTTTTCTTTCTTTCTTTCCTTTCTTTCTCTCTCTCTCTCTCTCTCTCTCTCTCTTTGAGGCAGAGTCTCACTCTGTTGCCAGGGAGTGCAATGGCGTGATCTCGGCTCACCGCAGCCTTCACCTCCCAGGTTTAAAGTGATTCTTCTGCCTCAGCCTCTCGAGTAGCTGGGACTACAGGCGCATGCCACTATTTTGTATTTTTTCAGTAGAGATGGGGTTTCACCATGTTGGCCAGGCAGGTCTTGAACTCCTGACCTCAGGTGATCCACCCACCTGGGCCTCCCAAAGTGCTGGGATTACAGGCATGAGCCACTGTGCCCAGCTAGCAACGTTTTCTTAAACATGACACTGAAGGCTGGGTGCGGTGGCTCACGCTTGTAATCCCAGCACTTTGGGAGGCTGAGGCAGGCGGATCACCTGAGGCTGGGAGTTCGAGACCAGCCTGACCAATATGGAGAAACCCTGTGTCTACTAAAAATAAAATTAGCCGGGTATGGTGGCACATGCCTGTAATCCCAGCTACTCAGGAGACTGAGGCAGAAGAATTGCTTGAACCTGGGAGCCAAAGGTTGTGGTGAGCCGAGATCGCGCCATTGCACTCCAGTCTGGGCAACAAGAGCAAAACTCTGTCTAAAAAAACAAAACAAAACAAAAAAAAACGCTGAAAGCACAAGCAACAAAAGAAAAAATAGATAAATTGGATTTCATGAAAATTAACAACTTTTGTGAATGAAAGGACACTATCAAGCGAGTGAAAAGACAACCCACTGAGTGGGAGAAAATATTTGCAGATCATATCTCTGATAAGGGTCTAGTATCTGGAACATATAAAGAATTTCAACAACTCAACAACAGAAAGACACACAACCCAACTAAAAACTGGACTTGAACAGACATTTCTCTGGAGAAAATATGCAAATGGCCAATAAGCACATGAAAGAGCTCTCAACATCATTAGTCATTAGGGAACCGCAAATCAAAACCACAGTAAGATTCCACTTCACATCCATTAGGATGGCTATTATTAAAATACTAATGTGGGGCCGGGCACGGTGGCTCACGCCTGTAATCCCAGCACTTTGGGAGGCCGAGGCGGGCACATCACTTAAGGTCAGGAGTTCGAGACCAGCCTCGCCAACACGGTGAAATCCCCGTCTCTCCATGGGAGCGGCCCTGGCCCCGCGGGTGGGAGCCGGCGAGAAGGGGCGCCCGGGCGGTGTGGACGGGCTGCGGGGAGGGGGGGGAGGGCGTTCCAGGCGCGAGGCAGGAGGCCCTGTCCTGAGCCCTGCAGAGGACGCGAGTCCGGCGCCGCCTCCACGCCACGTGGGGACGAACCGCCTCGAGCTGGGGAGCGGGGCGGCCACTTGCCTCTGGGCGAAGACCGACGTCGCTGGGCGTTTTGCGGAGAGTCCTCGTGGCTCCGACTCGCCCCGATACCTGCCCCCGGCGGAGCAGACGCCGCCCCGACCTCCCGCCCGGATTTCTCGGTCTGGTGTCCGCCCGCCCGGGGCCCTGAGGGAAGGCGGGGGCGTCGCGCTTCCCGGGGAGGCGAGAGGGAGCAGCTGCGGGGGCGGGAGGAGGGGGCGGGCCCGGGGGCGAGGCTCGGGCTTGGCTTACAGGCCCTGGAGGGCCGGGCAGGACCCGCAGCTGCTGTGGATGAGGGGCGGCCTCCGTGGAGCCCCCTGGCGGCGGGAATAAGGGCGGGGCGTCCTGCCCCCTCCACGCGCAGGAACCCGGAGCGAGGGCGCGAGGGCGCGAGGGCTCAAGGTCTCCCGTCTCCCCGCCCCCTCGCTTCAGCTTTTACTGGGGGAGATGTCTTTGAGGACAAGCTCCTGACTCAGCCTCAGGTTCCCAGGACGCGTGTTCCCCTCGCAGCTGAACCAACCCGACGGGGCGCTCCTGGAGAGACCCTCCCTTCACCCCAGGAGGGACCCCACGGGCGCCTGCGTCCTGCGAAGCTGGCGATTCCACTGCGTGGCAGCGCTGCTCCCCTACCCCGGGAGTCTGGAGGGAGCCGGGTGGACACAGGCTCAGGGTGACCCTCGCCACCTGGATGGCCTCAGGGTGACCCTCACCACCTGGGTGGCCGCAGGGTGACCCTCACCACCTGGGTGGCCAGGGCGAGCTTCTCCATCTCTGACCTGTGCCTTTTTATCCATGAACGAGGACCCGAGGGCAGGCTGCCCAGCGGGCCGGGCTCCCACCCGGGCAGGGCCTCAGGCAGCTCTGCGCGCCCTGGAGCAGTGGGAGGTGCCGGTTCGCTCATCTGGAAATGCCCCCGTCCCCAGCTCCCCTAGGCCTTCCCAGGAACACCCACAACGGTTCATCTCAGAATACCGATGACCAGTGGTTCCAGCACCATTTGCTGAGAAAATTTTCCTTTCTGCACTGGATGGCCCCTTTGCCAAAGATCAAAGGAGATGATGAGTTTCTGTGGGTGTATCCGAACTATCTGTTCCCTTCTGTGGATCTGTGCACCTATCACTTTGCCGATTCCACGTGGTCATCACTGCTGTGGCGCTATAGTAAGTGTTAAACTCGGATAGTCAGCTGGGCGAGGTGGCTCACGCCTGTAATCCAGCATTTTGGGAGGCCGAGGCGGGAGGATCACCTGAGGCCAGGAGTTCAAGACCAGCCTGACCAACATGGCGAAACCCCATCTCTACTAAAAATACAAAAATTAGCTGGGTGTGGTGGCAGGCGCCTGTAATCCCAGCTACTCGGGAGACTGAGGCAGGAGAATCGCTTGAACCCGGGAGGTGGAGGTTGCAATGAGCCGAGATGGTGTCACTGCACTCCAGCCTGGGTGACAGAGCCAGACTCCATCTCAAAAACAAAGAAAATCGGATAGTCTGAATCCTACAACTATTTTCTTGCTTTCAAATTTTAGTTATTCTAATTAATTACCCTTCCATATAAAGTTTAAAATCAGTCTACATCTACCAAAGGAAAAAAAATCCTGCTGGAATTTTGCCTGGTTTTGTGTTAAATCTGTACATCACTTGGGGAGAAAGGACCTCTTTACTACGCTGAGCTTTCAAATCCACAAACCCAGTAAGTCTTTCCCTTTGATTATTTTCAAGAGCGTTTTATAGTTGCCAATGCACAGGTTTCGTACGTTGTGTTGGATTTACATCCAGGCATGTTTTGGAGCTATTGTAAATTATAACCTTAATATTTTTTGGCTTCCTATTGCTCACTGTTTGTATATGGGAATAAAACTGATTTATTTATTTATTTATTTATTTATTTATTTATTTATTTATTTTTATTTTTCAGACAGAGTCTCCCTCTGTCGCTCAGGCTGGAGTACAGTGGCATGATCTCGGCTCACTGCAACCTCCACCTCCTGGGCTCAAGTGATTCTCCTGTCTCAGCCTCCCTAGTAGCTGGGATTACAGGCGCCTGCCACCACGCCCAGCTAATTTTTGTATTTTTAGTAGAGACGGGGTTTCATCATGTTGGCCAGGCTGGTCTTGATCTCCTGACAAAGTGCTGGGATTACAGGCGTGAGCCGCTGTGCCAGGCCTTGATTAATTTCTATGTGTTGACCTTGTAACCTGCAACCTGGCTAAACGCATTCATTGGTTCTATGTTCTTTGTGGGGTTTTTTTTTTTTTTTTTTTTGTTCGTTTGTTTTTGTGACGGAGTCTCACTCACGCTGTCGCCCAGGCTGGAGTGTTGTGCTGTCATACAATCTTGGCTCACTGCAACCTCTGCCTCCCAGGCTCAAGTGATTCTCCTGCCTCAGCCTCTCAAATAGCTGGGACTACAAGCATCCACCACCATGCCCGGCGATTTTTGTATTTTTAGTAGAGATGGGGTTTCTCCATGTTGGACAGGCTGGTCTCGAACTCCTGACCTCAAGTGATCCACCTGCCTCAGCCTCCCAAAGTGCTGGCATTACAGGTGTTACCCATGGCACCCGGCCTTGTTCTTGGTTTCTAATAGGTTCCCTGGGATTTTCTACATAAATAATCATGTTTGTCTGCAAATCAGGGCACTTTCATTTCTTCCTTTCCTGGTGGTATGCCTTTTATTTCTGGTCTCTCCCTTTTGCAGTAGCCGGAACTTCCAGCATGGTGTTGATAAAGAGGGTGAGGGTGGAAATCCTTACCTTGACCCTGGTCTTAGGACCAGGGGGAAGGCATCTAGGCCTTCACCACAAAGTATGCAGTTAGCTGCAGGATATTTGTTGATGTCTTTTGTCAGGCTGAGGAAATTTGCTGGACGTAGAAGTCTGAAAAATGCTGTGTCTTTTCTTTGTAGCCCCTATGAGTTCTGATGAGAAATCCAGTCATTCAAATCATTTTTCTTTATAGATAATACATCTGTAGATAGATAATACATCGATTTTCTCTGGCTGCTTTTAAGATTTTTATTTTTATTTTTGGGGCAGAATTTTACTCTATCACCCAGGATGGAGTGCAGTGGCATGATCTCACTGCAACCTCCGCCTTCCGGGTTCAAGCAATTCTTGTGCCCCAGCCTCCTGAGTAGCTGGGACTACAGGTGCACGCCACCACACCTGGCTCATTTTTGTATTTTTAGTAGAGACGGGGTTTCACCATGTTGGCCAGGCTGATCTCGAACTCCTGACCTCAAGTGATCTGCCCACCTTGGCCTCTCAAAGTGCTGGGATTACAGGGTGAGCCACTGCGCCCGGCCTTAAGATTTTTTTGTCTGTAGTTTTCAGCAATTTAATCTTCGAAGTGTCTTGGAATGGATTTCTTCATTTAACCAGGATGGAGTTTGCTCTGCTTCTTGAATCTGTTGGGTCTTTTACTAAACTTGACAAATTTTTCAGCTGTTACTTCCTTGAATATTCTTTCAGCCTCGTGGTCTCTCTCCTTCTAGGACTCCAGTGACACAAATATTAGCCCTGTTATCATCCCACAGGTCCTAGAGTCTCTGTTCATTTTTTTAAAATTCTTTTTTCTCTCTCTTGCTCAGATTAATTTTAATTTCTGTGAACATACCTTTGAGGTCATTGACTCCTCTGTTACTTCAATTCTGCTATTGAATCCATCCAGTGAGTTTTTTCTTCAGTTACATTTTTCAGTTCTGAAATTTCCCTTTGGTTCTTCTTTACATCTTCTATTTCTTTTCTGAGTCCTTCTATTTTAATATTTGTGTCAAGACTGTTTGCAGTTGCTGGTTTGAGCATTTTTACAACAGCTGTTTTAAAGTCCTTGTCAGATGATTCATGCAAGCCACCGTATCATTGGTGTTCGTTGTTTTTCCATTCATGAGCTTAGATTTTTGCTTTCTTCATATGCCAACTGATTTTTGTTTCTATCGTGGAAATGTTGAGTGGTGTATTATGACTCTCCGGTCTTTATTTTTTGTCATTCTTATTTTAGTCTCTTGTGCAATGTGGTTCCAGTATCAGTTCATTTTCCAGCCTTTACTGTTCTATTCAGGACTAGCCTTCGTGTGCACCACCTAGTGGTCACTCTGAGACCTCAGTGGAGGTCGGCCTGTTAGATCAATTCTCCAAGTATGTGATATGCTAATTAGAAGATCCACACACATGCAGATTAGGAGTGAACCTGGGAGTTTTAGGCTTTTTATTCACAACAGCATTAAAAAACAATAAAATACCAACCAGGCGCTGTGGCTCACACTTGTAATCCCAGCACTTTGGGAGGCCAAGGTGGGTGGATCACCTGAGGTCAGGAGTTCAAGACCAGCCTGGCCAACATGGCAAAACCTCGTCTCTACTAAAAATACAAAAATTAGCCAGACGTGGTGGTGCACGCCTGTAATCCCAGCTACTCAGGAGGCTGAGGAAGGAGAATTGCTTGAACCCAGGAGGTGGAGGTTGCAGTGAGCCGAGATTGTGCCACTGCACTCCAGCCTGGGAGACAGAGGGAGACCCTGTCTCAAAATAATAATAGTAAAATACCTAGGAATAAGTTTAACGAAAATAGTGCAAGACTGGTATGCTTAAAACTGTATAGCATTTCAAAGAGATATTGAAGATCTAAATGAATGGATGGACATTCAGTATTTGTGGATTATAAGACTCAATGTTAAGATGACAATACTCTCCAAATTGGTTTGTAGGTTGAATGCAATCCCTATTGAAATGTGAACAGGCTTTTTGGGTTTGCTTTTTTTTTTTTTTTTTTTTGCAGAAATTATCAATCTGATCATAAAATTTATATGGAAATGCAAAGGATCCAGAATAGCCAAAATAATTTTGAAAGGGAACAAAACTGGAAGATTCACACTTTCCATTTTAAAACTTACTATAAAACTACAGTAGTAGAGTGTGTGCTGGCATGAGAATCAAGATATAGATCAATGGAGAATCCAGCAATAAACCCAAACATTTAGGGTCAGTTGATGTTTGACAAAGGTGCCAAGGCTTTCAGTTGGGGAAAGGACTCTCTTTTTAACAATGGTTCTATGACAGTTAGATATCCACATGTAAAAACATGAGTTTAGACCCCTACCTCACTCCTTACACAAAAATTAAC
This sequence comes from Homo sapiens, assembly GCF_000001405.40. Lineage (NCBI taxonomy): Eukaryota > Metazoa > Chordata > Mammalia > Primates > Hominidae > Homo > Homo sapiens. The sequence goes on along the minus strand of NC_000022.11, from coordinate 49,978,745 downwards.
TTGAAATGAACCATAGATAGACCTAAATGAAAGAGCTAAAGCTATGAAATGGTTAAAAGGACGCATGAGGGGAAATCTTCGTGACTGACCTTGAGTGAAGCAAAGTGTTCTCAGCTGCAAGACCAAAGGCAGGATCATGAAGGAAAATAGAGATAAATTGGATTTGATCAAAACTGAAAATGGTGTCCTTCAAACAACGTCATTAAGAAAACAAAAATTGGCTGGGCACAGTGGCTCACACCTGTAATCCCAGTACAATAGGAGGTCGAGGCAGGAGTATCACGAGCCCAGCAATTTGAGACCAGCCTGGGGAACATAATGAGACCCTGATTCTACAAAAACAAAATAGAAATGTAAAAAATCACGCCTGTAATCCCAGCACTTTGGGAGGCCCAGGTGGGCAGATCACCCAAGGTCAGGAGTTCGAAACCAGCCTGACCAACATAGTGAAACCCCGTCTCTACTAAAAATACAAAAATTAGCTGGGCGTTGTGGCATCTGCCTATAAACCCAGCTACTGGGGAGACTGAGGCAGGAGAATCGCTTGAACCTGGGAGGCGGAGGCTGCAGTGAGCCGAGATCGTGCCATTGCACTCCAGCCTGGGCAACAAGAGTGAAACTCTGTCTCAAAAAAAAGAAAGAAAAAGAAAATAAAAGTTTTTTGTTACGTATATTTTACAATTAATAATAAATATATTTTAAAAAATAAGACAACCCAAGTAAAAAAAGAAGGCAAAAATTTTATTAGACATCTCAACAAAGAAGGTACATAAATGGCTTTGTCTTTTAAACACATGACGAGATGCTCAACATCATTAACTACTGGGAAAATTCAAATCAAAGCCCGTGGGAGCCCGCTCTGGCACGTGCCTGTGGGTCAGCCCTGCTCTGCAAAGGGCGGCAGGGAAAACGCCCAGTGGGTTACCACTTCACACACTTGTGTGTAACAAAAAAGGGCGATAAGAAGAAGGGGTGACAAGGGCATGGGAACACTGGAAACTTCATACGTTTCAGACATATGAAAAACGTATAGCCGCCAGGCATGGTGGCTCACACCTGTAATCCCAGCACTTTGGGAAGCCGAGGCGGTCGGATCACTTGAGGTCAGGAGTTCAAGACCAGCCTGGTCAACATGGCGAAACCCTGTCTCTACTAAAAATACAAAAATTAGCTGGGTGTGGTGGTGCATGCCTGTAATCTCAGCTACTCCGGAGGCTGAGGCAGGAGAACTGCTTGAACCCGGGTGGCAGGGGTTTGCAGTGAGCTGAGATCACACCACTGCACTCCAGTCTGAGTGACAGAGGGAGACTCTGTCTCAAAAAAAAAGAAAAAAAAAAAAGAAAGAAAAGTAGCTGGTCATTGTGGCAGGCGCCTGTAATCCCAGCTACTCAGGAGGCTGAGGCAGGAGAATCACTTGAACCCAGGAGGCGGAGGTTGCAGTGAGCTGAGATCAAGCCATTGCACTCCAGCCTGGGCAACAGAGTGAGACTCCGTCTTAAAAAAAAATAAAAAAATTTAAAAAAAGTATAGCCAATTTCTTCACAAGTAAAATGTATATTTACCGTCTGACCTAACAATGCCATTCCTATGTCTCCACCTGAGAGAAATGACAACATATGTCCACACAAGGAATTGTACCTTCACTTGAGCAACAGAGTAAGACCTCGTCTCTACTAAAAAAAAAAAAAAATTAGCCCGGTGTGGTTGTGCTCGCCTGTAGCCCTGGCTACTCAGGAGGTGGCTGGTGCCAGAGAATCGCTTGAGCTCAGGAGGTAGAGGCTGCAGTGAGCCATGATCATGCCATGGCACTCCAGCCTGGGTGACAGCTAGATCCTGTCGCAAAAACAAAAAACCATAAACAATTCTACCTGGATGTTCATAGCAGCTTTATTAATAACAGCCAAAATATGGAAACGGCTCGAACGTCCATCAGCTGGTGAATGGCTAAACAAAATATGGCTTTGCCGTACAATGGGAGAGAATTATAAGAACTACCCACCCATGATGCTACAGTGTGGACCAACCTCAAAGGATTATGCTCAGTGAGAGCAGCCAGACACCAAAGACTACCAGTTGTATGATTCTATTTATGCGGAATTTCCAAAAAAGGCAAATCTATCAAGGCGGAAAGCAGGTTAGAGTTTGCTTAGGGCTGGGGGTGGGAAGAGGAAGTGACTGCTCATGGCTGCGAGGGGACTTCGAGGTGATGGAAATTTCTAAAATTGGAGGGTGGTGATGGTTGCGCTGAAATCATTGAGTCGTGGGTGGATCACTGAAATTGCTGGAAGTGGGTGGATTTTATGGTATGTAAATCACACCTCAATAAAGCTGTTTTAAAAATACCTTTCACAGATTTTATTAGATTTCCATTTACATCTGAGAAATGTTTAAAGTGACTCAGTATTCGTTTCAGAGGAATTTTTTTTTAATTAATTTAGCCAGTGGAAAGAAATGAGCCTGCCCTGGAGGTGCCCCCGGTTGGACAAGAACTCCTGTCCCCACCCCAGCAGTAAGTCCTGGCCCCACGGCCTCCCACCATGGCCTGTCCCCACCCCAGCAGCCCCATGGCCCCACAGCCTGTCCCCACCCCGGCAGCAGGTCCTACCCCACAGCCTCCCCCACAGCCTGTCCCCACCCTGGCAGCCCCATGGCCCCAAGGCCTGTCCCCACCCTGGCAGCAGGTCCTGGCCCCAAGGCCTGTCCCCGCCCTGGCAGCAGGTCGTGGCCCCACGGCCTCCCTCGACGACCACTCCGGAGCCCCGCCTGCGCCTGCCCGGCTCCCCGATCCCTCCGGCCTCCTTAGGGAAGGAAGTCTTTCCCCAAAGGAACTTCCACCTCCCTCCCTATCTCCCTGCTGGGTTCTGCCACCACACACACCACACACACAACACCACACACACACAGCACACACCACACACACACCACACACAGCACACACCACACACAACACACATGATATATACACACCACACACACCACACACACAGCACACACCACAAAACACATAACACACACACCACACACAACACCACACACAGCACACACCACACAACACATGACACACACACCACACACACACCACACATGATATATACACACCACACACACCACTAAACACATGACACACACACCACACACAACACTAAACACCACGCACACCACACACACAGCACACGCCACACACAGCACACACCACAAAACACATGACACACCACACACACCACCACACATGATATATACACACCATACACACACAGCACACACCACAAAACACATGACACACACACCACACACAACACACCACACAAAACCACACACACAGCACACACCACAAAACACATGACACACACACCACACATCACACATGATATATACACACC